>NC_000011.10:42484242-42787272 GCF_000001405.40 Homo sapiens | reverse complement strand
GGAAAGTCTTATGTTAGACTGTATGCCTGACAAATGCCTGCAATTTCCTGTGGATCTATTTTACTGAGGGCTTCTGTCCCTGAAAAGGAAAACTGAAGATCCAAACAGCTCAATTAGCAATTGTTTTGAGCATTCACTTTTGGACCAAAAGATGTTTGGCTAATTTTACAGTTGGCTTTAGCTGGAGTCATTACTGAATGTCTCCTGCATAAATTATGGCATATTCTAAATGTAAAAATACTCATTTTGGCGGCAGCAACTCAAGTGGAAAACTGAAAATCCCCAAACAGAAAATTAGCAAACACTTGTTCTGTCATAGCTCAAGCATGTGGTGTTCTTTTCTACCCTGAACAAAATTATCCTGGCCTCCTAACCAATGCATGAAACTATTTTACAACATCTCAGGGGAAAGGCACTCGTTGCTACCAATGAGCTGATTATTTAATCATGAAAGACAAGCCTTTAAATAAGAGAGATAGAAATGTCTTCAGGAATAGTCACTGGGGACATCAGGACTTAGAGAGATCTTTGCATAACTCAATATTCTGAATATCAGGGATGTTGGAATGAGTATCAGAGTGGGTGTAGGTAAATGCAGCTTGGTCGATACTCAATATAAAAAAGCAGCTTTCCCATCTCACCATCATATTTTGTTGAGTAAGTGGATTATATTAATGTTGAACCAAGGTTATGAACCAGAAGAAACTTCTAAATATTGGATCATTTTTTTTCTCCTTTTTACTACTTGGTTTTTGTTGCATAGCAGATAATATTTTAAATATGATATTAATGCCTTTTGCCTTTTTTTTAATAAATGAGAAAACACCTTATAACACTCGCCTCCCCCCACCACTCTTGTCCTGTGGGTAGGATTAATGCTTAATGCAGAGAGAAGGAAGTGAGTTAATGCTTGTCTTTGAATTTAAAAATTGATTTTTAAAGCCCAGGGCAGAGACAATAAATATTTGAAAGTGAAGTGTGGTGTTTCTGTATAGTCAGAACCTACTTTTTGTTTTTGTTGATTATTTCATTTTGTTTTTGTTTCTTAAGCATCAAAAGCCAAAGTTTATGCCCTAAGTAGCAGATTTGGAGCTAACCAATAAGAAGACTGCTTTATCCCTAGAAGGTAGGTAAGGGCTGGAACTGGGAGGAGGGCACTCAGAATAAATGTGACCACAGCTAAGGCTTGAGGGAGTCCCTGTTTCCTCCCCACTGACAGCATCTCCGGTTATGGGGAAAGGATTGACAGAAACTTCAGCAAGTTTGGGGAGAAAATTCATAGACAGAGAGAACCTGCACTCAATCCTTGGGAGAAGCCTAGGAAAATGAAAAAGGATCCAGAATTTGTCTTCTCTCAGAGATCAGGGGCAGCCATTTGTGGAAAGGGTAATGTGCTATGTGTAGGAATGAGAGGGACTGGGGCAGCACTCTGAGTCTTTATCGTGTCCCAGAGTGGAATGAGGGAGCATCCGAATGTTTCCATGGGGCAGGGGCAAGAAAGCAGCCTAGAGAGGGCTAGCAGCCTTAAGGAGCCTCAATGGGAAAGAATCCGAGTGACCTCCAGCAGGGACCTGATAACTGAGGTCCTAGCGGGACTGTGGACACCAGCATTCGCTGCAGCAGGGATGGCAGAAGACCATGGAGGTCAAAGGATGGCCATGGGCATGCTACTCACCCTGCCACTGCCCGATGCTCCATAAACCCCTGCCCCAACCCAGCCCTGACAGGGCTAAAAACCCTGAACTGCCTAATCTCAAACCTAATTTGATGACATTTACTCAGAACAGACTGAGAGTAGCTGGAAATCACTAGATAAAATTACTATTACTTGGTAGAAAAATAGACGTTTGAGACAGAAACTAAGTTCAGTGGTAAGAAAAAGATAAACAAAATTGGATTTTTAATATTTGTATTTGTGACCTTTGAAATTCACAATCATTTCAACTGGGTTTACTAGTCATATGAATATTCTTATTCATAGCTGAAATTGCCACATCCCTCTAAAAACCTCCCCCTGGTCACTCTTTGCCCCCAGGTAGCAGTGAAATTTTTTCCTCACAATGAGATCTTCCAAGATTCAATTTATTCCTTTAACGGTGCTTAAGACTTGTCACATTTTACTGCAGATATATATTGTAAATGATACATTATTTATATATTATGCAACATCATTCTTAGAGAGGTTAAGTTATTGATAAATGACGAACCCCAAGTCATGCCATCACATTTTCTTGGTTTCTAATACTCTACTTTAGTTATTCCCTTTCAGTGGTTCTCAATCCTGGGGTTATATTAGAATCACCCAGGATTCTCTTAGGAAATACCAAATGCACTGGCCCAATCTGGAATCAGGAGCCTAGAAATAAATTCTTTTCTCCCTTTCTGCCTCCCTTCCTGCCTCTCTTCCTTCCTTCTTCAATGCTCAATGTTTCTCCCCCTCTCTTTCTCTACTTTGCAGCCAGGGCTGAGAACAATCTTCTTAGACCATACTGCCTCTGACTTTTCCCTCTTTGTTCCTGTGACTGACATGCAGGCTAAAGCCTACCCTGTCAGCTTTGTAGATAAGCTAGAAACAAGATAGCCAGCAAATAATCCAATATTGGGTCATATTTGATGGAGGAGCATCTGGGTAATTGATTTTCAACTCTTTTGTTCCCTTATTATTTGAGGTCACTAAAGGCAGAGTGAGAACAATGATTTTGCATAATGAATACAAATATTGGTTGAGGGAATAATTAGGCTGCAGACTCATCATGATTGTCACCCTGGAGCCCTCCAGGAAGGGGGTTGCTGTTTGTCTATATTGACCCTAGTAGATGCACCAGAGGACTCTATTCCCCCAACATCCTTTCTGGCAGTTGATAATTAATAAAACTAATCATAACAGCCATTACCATTGCTGGGATTTCTTTTCCCTGCTGATTGCAATTTTAGTGAAAGGGTCAAGAACTATATTGCTGGAAAGGAACATCAACAAAGTCTATTGTTTAGCTCTGAATAGACAGTGAGTACTGGACTAGCTGGAACTCTCTGCACATTGAACCTTTTGTACCATTAATAGGTCCTGTTTTTAACTTCCAGAGTTGATATCCAGATGCATGTAGGGGCAGTGCCAGTGAGGGTGAGATGAGGTGGAAAGATGTTGAGCGCAAAGGAGGGGCAGATGAAACCGAACAAATAGGCATCACTTTCTGATGGAGCTTTTTCTCTCATGTTCATGATATTTTGATTACTGCCACTGCCTTCCTCTACTATGCCTGAACTCTGCATCTTGGAAATAAATATAAAGCTCATTTGTTAGCACTTTGCTAACAGTCTCTTTTCTGGACCTTGGAGCCTGGGATTGCTTTCCTAGGAGTTGTGGGTCAGAATGTTGCTTGATTTTAGGTCCAACCCTGTCTGCCTTATGTGTGAACTGTGTACCTTCGAGCAAATCATTACCTGTAAATCTCAGTTTCCTCAACTGTTGAGATGGGGTGATAAAAATGGCCCTCTGCTAGTTTTCACCAAGGTGACTGGCTGCCTCTATCTTCATCTTTGCCATTGGAGCAAAGCCTTGTTCCCTGGGCCTGGGTGAGAGCCTAGCTGCTCTCAGGTGCATGGTGTCAAATTCATTTTGATACAGGTCTAGCTTGTGCTGTCATGTTTCATATTCTTTCACACAAAAGCAGAGTTTTTTGTTTTTTGTTAAAACCACCTGTATTTTGTGCAAAAAAAAGGATCTCAAACTTATTGGGGTTGTGGTGTCATTTGTATCAACTTGGTCAACCTTTAAATAACTGGCTAAAATGATGACTGCTGATGCTGCCGCTGGTGCCAAATATTTGTTGATATTTTATTGGGGTAAAGCTGGAATTTCCAGTGTTTATAGTATATAATTATGAATGGATATTATTTATGTTACCAGTCTGATGCTGGATGTTATTTTTCTAACTATAAAACTATAAACACACTGCAGAATATAGCTTTATTTTAATGCAACTGAATAGTCACATTTATTCTCTCTCTTTTTTTTTTTTTGAGACAGAGACTCGCTCTGTCACCCAGTCTGGAGTGCAGTGGCGCGATCTCAGCTCACTGCAAGCTCCGCCTCCCGGGTTCACACCATTCTCCTGCCTCAGCCTCCCGAGTAGCTGGGACTACAGGTGCCCGCCACCACGCCCGGCTAATTGTTTTTGTATTTTTAGTAGAGATGGGGTTTCACTGTGTTAGCCAGGATGGTCTCAATCTCCTGACCTCGTGATCCTCCCGTCTCGGCCTCCCAAAGTGCTGGGATTACAGGCGTGAGCCACTGCACCCAGCCGTCACATTCTATTCTTTTCTGTCCTCAAGAAAATCCTTTGGAAGCAATTGTGTGGATAAAAAGCATGGCTTGAAAATTTATAACGTGGGAAACAATGTATTTAAATCAGCCAGCACATAGTGGGATGCTTAGTAAGTGGTAGGTATAATGATGATGATTAAGCACAAGCAATTACTCAGTGTCAGCTCTGTGCCTGGGACTACATTTGGTGCTGGGAGTACATGGTTGGATATAGTCCCTAACCCAGTTTGTTCAGGGCCTAGCTTTCTTCATTATATGGCTTTTTGGTTATATGCCTGCTGATAGGGAAAACCTCTTCATTGTTTACAGCAGAATCAGTTAGCAGGCAGCCTGGTCTGAGGCTGAGTTAGATTCTGTCAATCTTACTGTCTTCTGATCCATCCTCTTCCTGTCCCAGGATACCCACACCTCATACTATTTACTGTACTTCTCAGCTATAATACAGTATGGTGTCACTTAAAACTTAGGCTCCAAAATTACCTATTTTACCTTAATATTTCCCAATATATATTCCTATATTGACATCAATGGAAAAATGATGCTAGTGAGAAAATTAATTTTAAAGATGTTTAAATTCTTTTTTAATTTAAGGTTTAAATGTAAATTCCTTGAAGTAGTAAAAATGGTTACTATAGGGAATGAAATTAACATATAAATTATATTAATCATCTCACACAGCTACCCATTTTTTTGTGGCAAGAACAACTGCAATCTACTCATTAACAAAAATCCTGAATATAGTATGCTATCATTAACTACAAATACACTATCATTAACTGTCCTCATGCTGTACATTAGATCGCTATATTTGTTCATCCTATGTATCTACTACTTTGTATCTTTTGACCTACATCTCCCATTTTCTTCACTCACCCCACCCTGTCCCTGGTGCTATGGTTTGAATATCTGTCTCCTCTGAAACATAGATTGAAACTTAATCCCCAATGTGTCAGTATTTAGAGGTGGGCCTTTAAGAGGTGATTGGATCCAAGGGCTCTGCCCTCATAATCCATTCATTAATTAATGAACTAATGGGTTAATGGATTAATGGATTATCATAGGAGTGAGACTGGTGGCTTCATAAGAAGAGGAAGAGAGACCTGAGTTAACACACTCAGCCCCCTTGCCATGTGATGCCTAGTGCCGAGGCTTTGCAGAGTCCCCACCAGCAAGAAGGCTTTCACCATAACTGACCCCTTGGCCTTGGACTTCCTAACCTCCATAACTATAAGAAATAAATTCATTTTCTTCATAAATTACTAAGTTTCAGGTATTCTGTGAAAAGCAACAGAAAATCGACTAAGACACTGTGTAACCACCGTTTTATTCTCTATCTCTTGATAGAGACAAACTTGACTGTTTATTTATTTATTTTTTTGATTCCACATAAAAGTGAGATCATGCAATGTTTTCTTTCTGTGTCTGGTTTATTTTACTTAGTATAATGTCCTCCAGTTCATCTATGTTGTGACAAATGTCAGGAGAGTCTCCTTTTTTAAGGCAGAGGCACAATTTCTTTATCAATTTGTCTATCAATGGACAGTTAGCTTGTTTTCATATCTTGGCCATTATAAACAATGGTGCAATGACCACGAGACTACAGTTATCTTCAAGAGGTGGTGATTTCATTTCCTTTGGGTATATACACAGAAAAGGAATTCCTGGGTCATATGATACCTCCATTTTTAGTTTCTTTAGGAACCTCCATATCATTTTCCATAATGGCTGCAGCAATCTACGTTCCCACTAACGGTGTACAAGGGTTCCCCTTTTCGCACACCCTTGCCAACAGTTGTTATCTCTTGTCTCTTTGTTAACAGCCATTCTAACAGGTGTGAGGTGATATTGCGGTTTTGATGTGCATTTCTCTGATCATTAGTGATGCTGAGCATCTTTTCATGGACTTGCTGGCCAATTTTATATCATCTTTTGAGAAATAGTCAGGTCTTTTGCCCATTTTTTAACTGAGTTATATGTTTTCTTGCTGTTGAGTTGTATGAGTTCTTTATAAATTTTCAATATTAGCTCCTTATTGAATATATGGTTTGCAAACATTTATTCCCAAGCTGTAGGTTGTCTTTCATTTTGGCAGTTGATTCCTTTGCTGTACATAAGCTCTTTAGCTTTATGCAGTTCAATTTATTTATTTATTTATTTACTTTATTAACATGAACTTTTGGTGTGATATTAAAAAAAATCATTTCCAAGGCCAATGTCAAGAACCCTTTCCCCCTATGTTTTCTTCTAGAAGTTTTATGGTTTGAGGTCTTATGTTTTGGGCTTTTATCCATTTTGAGTTGATTTTTGTGTATGTTGTAAGATAAGGGTCTAATTTCCTTATTTCCTTCTTTTGGATGTAATGCCAGCTTTTCCAGTATTAAATTTTTAAAAGCCTATCTTTGCCTATTCTGTCTTCTTGATGCCCTTGCCAAAAATTGGTTGACCATATATATTTAGATTTATTTCTGGGCTTTCTATTCTGTCTCATTTGTCTATGTTTCTGTTTTTATTCCAGTAACATATCACTGTATTTCCGAAGTTGAGCGCTGCCCTTGGGCTCCCAACCCTACATGAGGATTCTTGGAACTTTCAGGCCTTCCCCGAACCTAGACAGAGTTCCCTTCATGCTTGTGCATCTGGGCGTTCATGTGTGTGCATAAGTACACCTGTGTCTGTGTTCACAGTTATCCACGACTCTGGATCCATCTCCTCAATCCTCCTAGAGTAAAGCAGGGATACTTTGTTTTGCATTCTTTTGATAAAATTAAAGCTCTCTGTTTAAGGAAAGAATAAACAGGCAAAACAAATTTAGACTTGGCTCTTTTGCCATCAGTTGCATTTAGCAGCCTAATAAATACTCTTTGCATGGAACATACAGAAGGATGTCTCAGGATCTCAGAGACTTGTAGGAGTGCCACAAACGTGGTAGGTTCTTCTCAAAGTTGACTGTGGAACAGAACCACATAAAGGGCTTGTAAAATAACAGATTGCTGGGCCCTGTCCCCAGAATTTCTGATTTGGCAGGTCTGCAGCTGGACCCTAGAATTTGCATTTCTAATAAGTTCCCTGTTGCCACTGATGCTGTTTGGCTGGTGATCACACTCTCAGAACCACTGCTTAGATCTTTACCAAGGAGTGCTTCCCAGCCTGAAGAATGATTATTCTGGGCAAGGAAAGTCTGCAGATTTAGTGTTTTCAGAATGAGTTCAGCTGTCCCGAAAGTGCCAACAAAGAGGAGAAATACTTCTTTATAAGTGGGGTCGTGTTCTGGGATAAATCATATGATGACTTACTCTCTGAGACAAGTGCCACATTTGTTGAAAACATAAGAGTTATTTATCAGATATGGGAAACTCAAATTTCATTTTCAAAGGGCGGATTTTCTTTAGACAGATGGAAAGAGCATGAACTTTACCCTTCTGTGCTCAAATTATGGCCTACAATTTATTTGCTTCAAAGCCTTGAGCAAAACTAATTAATTTCTATAAACTAATCTAAAAATGAAGATGTTAATACCTATTCTTGAAAGGCTCTTGTGAGGGCCTGATGTAGTGGTTGGCTAACAGTAGAAACTGAATAAAAAGTAAATATTTGTGTTATTATTCAGATCACTTTCCTGTCATTTTCCTTTAGAGTGCTAAATGAGAGGATGAGTCCATACTTGTCTGCAGGCTAAACCCCCAAATATCTTTTCCCTTCAGTCTATCATTGAAATTCAAATTCATACAATTCAATTTAAAAGTCTTTATTGATTCAATGCCAAGTTAAACAGGATTGGTGGTTCCAATCCTGTATATCATTCAATCCTGTATATCAATCCTGTATATCATTCAATTCAATGTGCACATGTTGCAGACTAACAGATGAAAAAGAGTTAATTATATGGAAAAATGATCTGATTTTTTAAAGACATGAAAACCAGTATTCATGTGACCAGTTGTTGACATTTTTGAAGTTCACAAAAAATAAAGCAAACAAACATATTCATAGAGAGTTAGAAAATATGATGAAAGAAATTCATATGATTATATACAAAAATATTTCTTATAATTTATGAACAAAATTATGGGATTTTCAAGAGCACTGTTACCTATGTGGATTTTATGTCTAACGTAGTGACTGTAGTGCCTAATGCCTATGTAAGAAACAACTCTCCCAACTTCACTAATTTTAAAATTTGCCATTTAAAACAGGTTTTCATAAATTGATGGCAATTGTGTGTAGATATTGTGCTGGGTAAATGCTCACTTATTGGTAAATGCCAGTTGTGTTGAGTAAATGCTCACATAATTTAAATGGTCAGTCCTGTCTTTGATTTTTAAGACTTTATTATTCTTGAAGTAGTGTCAGGGTTAGTGCCAAGGAACAACACTGAACTTAATTTCTTACTCCTAATTAGGTAACTCCTTGTGGATGATTATAAGTTCATTGGTTAACTGATCCTATTTGACAGCCAGACAATGTGACTCTACTCTCAAGGAAGTTATCTGTGGACTTAAATAGGTTGCAGCAATAGAGAATCAGGTAACAAGAATGTTGCCCACCTAATTAACCTCTAGAGGGAGTTTCAGACATCATTTCCAGTCCGCTCCCCACCCTGATACCTTGCCATTCAAAGATGAGCAAGCTGCCAGTGTGTAAAGGAGTAGAATGGCATTCTCAAGGACACATGATTGAACAAAAGTTTCAAGAGAAAAACTCTAAATGGAGAAACAAAAGGGTTTTATCTAAAATATGAATGTGGCTCCCTCTTCCCTGAGTCTGCTGTAGTTGGGTCGTTTACTATTTTCTTTAGTAGGATGGGATAGGGAATGAGTCTCTTAGGCCCATTCTTTTCAGATCATACCTGACATTATTTGGTTTCATTTTGTGTACTGCATTGACTCTCTGAGTACTAAGATCCAGGAAGTCCAAATCAGTGTGTGACTCTGGAGTAGAGGCGGATGTTCGAAGGTGACTTAAATTACCTAGAATATACAACATGTGACACAGCATGTGATAAGCTAAATAGAAGACCAGCTGGTAGTATGGGTCCAAGGTCCATCCAGTAATAATGAACATACATTTGGACCTATACCACTTGAGAAGCTTTTGTGATTGCTGGTAGCATAATAGCAATTCTTTCAATAGTCCAATAATGTCCTCCTATCTGTGCGTCCTCTCATCAGGGCTAGGGATCATCAATAAAAATATCATCTCACTGTTACATGGTGCATTTGCTAACATTAAAAAGTGCTTAAAGGCTAGGGATGTTGGCTCATACCTGTAATCCCAGTGCTTTGGGAGGCAGAGGCAGGAGGATTTCTTGAGCCCGGGAGTTCCAGGCTGCAGTGAGCTATGATTATGCAACTGCACTCTAGCCTGGGTGACAGAGTGAGACTCTATCTCAAAA
This sequence comes from Homo sapiens, assembly GCF_000001405.40. Taxonomy (NCBI): domain Eukaryota; kingdom Metazoa; phylum Chordata; class Mammalia; order Primates; family Hominidae; genus Homo; species Homo sapiens. The sequence continues at coordinate 42,777,556 of NC_000011.10, read as the reverse complement.
TGCTTTAAAATGCATTTAAGTGTCTCATAAAATATATGAATTCATGTATAATGTTTTTACTTGCATAGTAGAATTTCAGGCCAAACAAAGCACTATTGATATTTCTTGCCATTCAGCCACTTTGGGTTCTGTTTATCCCAGGACTCTGGAGCCAAATAAATTCTTCCCATTCCTCATAGCCTGTGCGTGTGTATGCATGTGTGTGTGTGTGTGTGTGTGTGTGTGTGTGTGTGTGTGTGTACTATGTGCTTCTACTGTTATTAGTAAGTGTTATGGACTAAAATGGTCATGGCAGTGATTTCTAAGTCATATGATTAGAAGTGATCTATTTCTTCTTCTCTTTCTTTGTATATCTTCCTTTTTAAAAAATACATTTTCGGCCAGGCAGGGTGGCTCATGCCTGTAATCCCAGCACTTTGGGAGGCCGAGGTGGGCAGATCACGAGGTCAAGAGTTCGAGCCCATCCTGGCCAACATGATGAAACCCCGTCTTTACTAAAAATACAAAAAAGTAGCTTGGTGTGGTGGAGTGTGCCTGTACTCCCAGCTATTTGGGAGGCTGAGGCAGGAGAATCACTTGAACCCAGGAGGTGGAGGTTGCAGTGAGCTGAGATTGTGCCACTGAACTGCAACCTGGCAACAGAGCGAGACTCTGTCTCAAAAAAAAAAAATACATTTTTCACAATTATAATTTCTTACTTTAAAACAAAGCAAAAATAATTTAAGGGGATTCATCATTTAATCCCTAAAGCAACCCTATTGTATGAGTGACAGTGATATTAATCGCTCTGTGTTTCAGTTTCTAATAGGATTAAATAATTTGACCTTAGGATCTTATCTGGCGAAACCAGGACTCAAAGCCTGGTATTCTGACTCACTCCAAAATGCCAAACAGGCCTAATTGTGATTTTTTTTTTTTTTAAGCAACAGCTGAAGTCTCCTTAATGTTCACTTTCCTTCAGGACCCCACAGTCACAGTGCCATTCCATGATGTTTCCCTCCAGTGCCTCACCAAGATAAGTCCACTGGGACTTTGTGGATGTCTATTCGCCAAAGACTCAGGAGAAATGGCCTGAAAGAAGGGGGTACCACAGGGACTATGAAAGGACTGACCTTTTCTTGCCTATCTTTTTAAAAAGGTTACATTCCTTATATTTTAAAGCTGGATTTCACTGGGTACATTCACAAGGACCAGGAAGACTTATTAGAATTCAGTCCTTACTGTCTTCAGAAAGACAATTTACATATGGCACCAGCTCAGACATGCTTCTTCTAATTCATTTGAAGGGCACTGAAGGAGATCAACAGGGTTTAATATTCACCTACAGTCTCACTTGTTAACGTGCCTTTATGGTCTCATTTTGGCCTGGCTACCTTCCAGAAAGATTTACCAGACTTCTTGTGAAGAGGCCACTGTTTGGCTGAGGTGAAGGTAAGCCCAAAGCCAAAAATTGGATTTCTACTGGCCAAAGAATGTAGCTCACCAGGCAGAAATGGCCAATGTCTAGGCTAGAGGCCACTGCTCCTGCCCCCATGGCTGTGGCAGTCATTGCTAATTGATTTGTTGGCCTAGTTTGCATATAGTCTCAGGACTCTTGGTCACATCACTCTAGGAAATTACAACCAATGGACCATACTTGTCATGCAACAAGTTAAAACCTATTTGCTACCCCTGGAAATAGAGTGGGCATGGAATAGGAAAGTGCTTGGCTAAGACAGTCTATGTGTATGTATTTGCAGCACCAGCACCATGTTTTATTTCATTTTATCATTTCAAGTTTAGAACATTTTTCTTTGATTGTGTTTCAGTTTCTCTGGATGCTCTTTAAATTGTCTCATGAGGAAGTGAACACAACATGTCATTCCAGGAATGATCTGATTAGAGCAGAGACGGGAAAGCAGGATGCTCACCTTAGAAAGTTCTATATCTATTGATGTAGTAATATTAATGACCTCCTAGAACATGTGTTACTGTTGATCTATGTTTACCCTATCCTACAGAAGAGTATTTAAAAAATGTTTTTTGAACACACACATAGGATACATTTATCCCTATTAAATTTTATTATAAGATTTGGTTCATTAGCTCAACATTTGGCAGCCATTTGATGGAAAATTCCTTTGTAAAACATGTTTTCTCTTCCTGCAAGCTTTTCTCACCTACAGATGTGATTAGCAATGTCCTGTATCTTCATTTATGAAAGATCCATGATATTTAGCATCTCTACATCTCTGTAGAAGAAGAGAGTAAAACAGGTGCTTCTCCTTCTCTGATTAATTTCCACCCATTCTTCAGTTCTCATATGCTTTTCCCCTGGAAGACTTTCTCGACTCCCACCTCTGCTTATTTACCAGGATGTGTGACCTTGATAGATTAGGTGACTCATTTGTGATTTGAAAGGTCAAGAATTAGACACTATCCAAAGTCTCATACAAAAACCATAGAACTGCTCTGGTCTTAAAACAAAAAACAAAACCCAAAACCCTGTCATAACTGCCAGAATTCTTTATTGTTTAAACCAAAGCAGATTAAATAATGACTGAAAGAGGTGTTTTTATATGAAAATTATTTGCCACTTATGGCAAATTGAACAAAGTTTTTCTTTCTCACTCCCCTTTTGCCTTCATTGACTTTGGTGACTGCTAGAATATATATATTATATACATATATATATAATCATCACAGCTGCTAAATCAAGATAGAGAAGATCAGTACTTTCCTTCCCAGGGGATGCATCAACCATCATTAGAGATGCAGACAGCAAAACAGCAATTTGAGCCTCAGAGAGCAGGTTGGAAAAGGATAATTTACAGTTGTGTTTCTGCTGCTGGCATTACACTAAATCACACCAAGTCCCTTCATTTGTTAGGCATGCTTTCAGTCTTGAATCAGAACGAGCCTATCAGGGTATATGTTGCCTCCATTTTTGAAAATAACATTTTATTTTTCAGAAATCTAAGGCCAAGAAAAAAAATGAGTTTCCTACTCTGATGGAAATGCCTTAGGTGTACTTGGACCATGGGCAGAGGAAAAGCAGGGGGGCTGAATGTGAAGGCAGGACTTATGGCTGTGGAGTGGGAGAACAAAAGTCTCTTTTCCTCCTTTTCATTTTTCAGAAAGCCTCAATCAATACCCCAATTGTAACTGCACCAAGGGGCATAGGAGCAGAGAATCCAATACAAATGCATTAAAACCTTTTAAATTTGACAGACAGAGTGCAAAGGCAGATATATTCTTGACAGTGAATTTCTTATGTCAGAACAATGATTTCAAATCTCTTGGACAGAAGGGATCCTGGAAGAGAAGAGGTTAGTGTCAGTTTAGCATTGTCCTTTGTCTTCCCAGAATTTTATGCTGTTTTTTTAAAAAATGATAGCTTAGGATTTGGTTGAAATTATCAATAATAATGTTGCTTTGCAAGTTCTACAGGTCTTCAATATAGATACATAGAACGTGGAAACCACCTAGACCACCATTATCCATTTTAAAAATGAGGATTTTGAGATTTAGACTGGAGAAGACCTGGCCAGCTGAGGGCAGAGCTGGGGCTAGCAAAGTTCTGTTGGGTCTTTGTCCCAATTCAACCTCCGGGTAAATCTTTTACCATCTGGCCATGTCCATATGAGGTCATCAGCTGTGTGTCATCATTGCCATGGATATTCCGCAATTCGAGGGCAGGAGCCCCAGGAGGCAGGGTAGCCCGTCCTAAGCAGGACATGGTATCTCTCACAGGCTCACACTCTCTTGATTCATGGATTTATTCTGAATTGAACATGTTTTTTAGACAAAAGCCCTCATGATTTTAGAAAGTTAAAAAAGGAAAAATAAAAATACAAAACAGGCTTGGAGAGCAGAATAACATATGGAAACAATGAGTGAACATTTTGCTTTGATGATGTCAAGGGCATTTTTAAGTGCTCAGCCAAAGTTCTTTTACTGTGAACAACAAGATACTTTTAATCTTTTGACATTTATGCTAGTCCCATCTCTTTCCGCTTTTGGTCATGTGTATTGATTTTTAGTCTGTTATTCGGTGCAAGTATGAGTTAATGAGATCACCTGCCACCCCTAAGATTAACAGATAACTGTTTTCAAAAGAAGAAAGTCAACTTTTCAATAATCAATCCGTTTAGTTCATTTCTCTCTCTCCCCCCAATTCATTCTTTGCCAGATTCTGTGATATACAATGTTGGTGTCCTTGTACATTAAGATACTGTTGATTGGCCTAATTTGAGAATCCAGTCCATAACTTTAGCCTCAGCAGCACTATCTACAAATGAACTAAGCTATCCTATTTTTGTGCTTTTTCTGTTTTCAATTTTGAGTGACCATCCTTGGTCTATGGTTGCCAATCAAGGAGAATGAACCAGAAACACAAACCAGAAGACAGCCATAAACCAGAGGCGATCACAAAGGCCGGAAGAGATCCACCACCGTCTAATCTGAGACTTGTGGTTTCTGAGATAAAGGTTGAGGCAGCTAAGAACTGGCACACAGCTCTGTCAACTGCTCCACTGTAGACCAGTGATCCTCCTCCTCTGTTGTCACAGTCTTCACGTTCCCTACCCTGCTCCCCTGTCGACTTTAGTGATATGAAACAGTTTCCCTAACACCAGGGAACTGCATGAATCCCTCTGAAGCTAGAATCCAAAGGAAGGAAGAGCTCAAACAGAGTCCTGCAGAACACCTGGCAGTCGCCTCAGCGCCTCTGTGCTGTCCTTTTCTGTTATTTGAAGTGAGAGTACCACTCTGTTGAAACAAGTACAGGGAGTCTCTGAGATACCAGTTTCTGCCAAACTCCCTTGTTAGGGTTCCATGATTTCCAGGGCAGAGTCTCAGCAGAGCCTTCTAAAGACACAGCCACATCCTCCACCAGGTTTCGAAAATTGTGCCACATTCTTACTATTTCATCAACTGTTCCTTCTTCTGTAACCCAAATTTAGTTAATGAATCTGTTATTAATGTAAAAGGCAAAATAGAGAGCTCGGTCTTTCTGAAGTTGTTTTGGGACCTCCAGGACTGACAAGACACAGTACAAATCCAGTTCCTGTCCTGAAAATCAAGAACTCTTTTTTTGTATGTAAAGTTACTTTGTAAATTCTCCCTTGGCAATTTTCATGACAAGAAAGAATCACTTTTGTAGGAAAATGAGTAAAATTCTTGCACAAAGTTATCTTTTAAATGTCAGGACTTAAAAAATATCAAAAATAAGAAAGTAGTTTAAGGAGAAACTTATGAAACTTACAAAGCTTGCAGGATGTTGAAACGGTTTTGTCCCAAGTTATAATAGAATTTTGTTTTCCTAAGTCTTACTGTTGAGGGTCTGGCTTTGGATGTAAGGGACTCCTGTTATTGACAAATATAATGGGACATGTAATGTTTACTGAAATTCATTTTATCTGTTACTGAAATTCATTTTACCTTTAAGATCAAAAACAGCAGGTATTTTAGATTATATTAGGAAACAGATCAACTATTTCATTCCTTTTTTCCTCCATCTCCACATGGGGCATGTCCATACATGTAATACACACACACACACACACACACACACACACCCGTATCCATTCCAAGCAAATGTTTGAAGGAAAACAGGACCTTGAAAATGAATAAAAAGGAAAGTATATACATCACAAATGTGATTTTGAATCTAGACAAAAACAAGACCAGGCAATAGACAAGTGTTCTTCAGAATATGTTATTGTCAGTTAATTTTCTTCTGTGATTATTCATTTCATAACTGCAAAAAACCAGCAGTGTCATCCCAGAATTGTACAAATATAATGAAATCTTTTCATAGAGAAGATCTATAAGCCATAGTAGCAGCTGTTGCCCACATTTAGCAATTATAGGCTTATTATTTACTATTTATTAAATACCAGTAGTAGCAGGGTTCTATAAAATGAATGTTTTTACCTAGTACTTTTTCTTTGAAGTTGCTGTTAAATGGGCAAGAAAAAGTAGGCAGACAGAGAGAAAACAGAAATACTTTTGGGAGAATGCTAAAATAGTTTTGCAAGGTTCAATAATACATGATTCACTACAGTTGATTCTGGTCATGTTGGAAGTGTCTTGAGGATAACATATCTTGATGGATGGGAAGGGAACATTTACAGGAAATAATGAGTCTTAAGTCTGTATGATGAAGTAAAAACAGACCTCAAAGTCAGACACATCATGGATTTGAATGTATTGACTCATAATTTGCAGGGCTCCATAGGTGCAGAGTAACTTAAATTCTTGATATGATAGAAGTTTTGAGAAACTTTTCTTCACCACTTAGTTTGACACAGCATGTAGGGGGATGTTTCTCAGATCCTGCTTCAATGCACAGGGTGATGCAAACTTTACTCCACTCATAAATACTTTATGCCTAGGCACAGCACAATATAGTAAGAGGAATTGATTTTGTACTATCAGAACCTCTAAACATATCTCAGATTCGTCTCCTGTTCCCAACTCAGAATCACACATTTCTAATCTTGGGGGTTGGGGGCTGGGGACTGAAGAGGGGGTTGGTTAGCTAGCTAGCCTTTTCTCTTCTAAGACTTCGTGGAAATGTATCTAGTCCTGATTTGCCATCTTCTCTACCTCCTTCTATTCTTCCAACTCCCAAAGATTCTCCTTGGCTAATAATTCCTCTGTAGAATTCTGGCTTCTCTACTTCCTAGATGTGTAATCTCAATCAAGTTCTCTAAAACTCTGCTGTCTCATTGGGGAAATTGCTAGAGTAACACCTGCCTCATCAGAAAACTGTGAGTATGAATGAACATTGTATCTGGAAGAGAGGAGATTTTCAATAAATGTTAATCTTTCCTTTTTTCTCCCCATCCTCTGTGCTTAAATAATGTCATCTGGGGACCAGAGGGTTTGTAAGAGAAAAGGACCTGCAGTAGCTCCTCCTGCTGGTCAGTTCCTGGAATGTCTCTTCTCAGGATAGTGCCACAACTCAGCATTGCAGATATTCTTTTAAAATAAATACTAACTTATACATTAAAGTTATTCATATCATTTATACACAAAACAGTAGGGTAGGTGCTATAAAGAAAGATGACTTGTACCCTCAAGTAACTTAAAACCTGGAAGAGAAAGGAAGACACAGTAACAAAACTATAAGAGAGAATAAATTATAAGTACAGTATTACCCTAAAGATTCCAGAGAAAACTTAATGAATTCAGCAAAGTTTCAGGATTTAAAATCAACACACAAAAATCAGTTGCATTTCTATGTACTAACAATGAACAGTCTGAAAAGGAAATTAATAAAATTTCATTACAATAGTTTTTAAAATATTTAGGAATAAATTTAGCCAAGGAGGGAAAGGGCTTATACACCAAAAACAAATAAACACTGCTGAAAGAATTTAAAGAAGACACAAATGCATTGAAAGGCATTCTGTGTTTATAGATTAGAAAACTTTATATTGTTAAGATATCAATTCTTCACCTCCAAAGAGATATGTAGATTCATCCCTATCAAAATTACAATGACATATTTTTACAGAAATAGAAAAATCTATCCTAAAATTCATATGGAATCTCAAGAAACTCCTGAATAGTCAGAACAATCTTGGGAAAAAAAATAACAAATTTGGAGGATTCATTCTTCCTGACTTCCAAACTTAGTACAAAGCTACAGTAATAAAAGTAGTGTGGAATTGGTGCAAAGAGAGACATATAGACCAACTGAATAGAATAAAGAACCCAGAAATAAACCCTCACATATGTGGTCAAATGATTTTCAACAGGATGCTAAGATCATTCAATGGGGGGAAAGGTCAGTCTTTTCAACAAATGGCACTAAAAAACTGGTTATCCACATGCAAAAGAATGAATTTGTACCCTTATCTTATGCTATATACAAAAATAAACTCAAAATGAATCAAATACCTAAATATAAATGCTAAAGCTATAAAACTCTTGGAGAAAAAATATGGAAACCTAATGTGCTACAACATGGATGAACCTTAACAACATTATGCTAAGTGAAATAAGCCAGACACAAAGGACAAATATTGTATGATTCAATTATATGAGGTACCTATTGTGGTCAAATTCATAGAGACAGAAGGAATGGTAGGCAGCAAGGGCTGGGAGAGGGATAAATGGGAAGTTATTGTTTAATGGGTATAGAGTTTCAGTTTGATATGGTGAAAAAGTCCTGGAAAGGGATGGTGGTAATGATTGTACAATATGAACTGAACTGTACACTTAAATGCCACTGAACTGTACACTTAAAATGGTTAAAATGAGAAATTTTATGTTTTATATATTTTACCATAATAAAAAGTACAGTATTAAAAAGATAAGCAAAGTTATGTGCAAACAAATGAGACAGTAATATTGACTAGGGGTGTCAGCAATACTTCTCAGAGGAAGCATTGCTTGAGCAGAATTTTTAAAGATTACAGGAGAAATGGATTTGAGCAGGTGACATTCCAAAAACATTTTTAAATAAATGATGAAAACCTTTAATGTAATGGAGGCCATATTTATTCTGCTGCTGAAATTGATTGCTGGGATGTGGTTTATGATATTAAAATATTTATGAATATATATTTAATTTCCATCCATCTCTTCCAAGAACCATAATGCAAACTTTAATCAGCATTTTCCCTAACATTTGAAAGGCAATTATAAGACTATATTAACATTCATCTTACACGGGTTCTTTAGAAGGCTCGATTGTTTAGCATGGCTCTTAAATCATTAAGCAAATTCACTGTGTGATATCACAAACAGAGCTGGTCTTAATTCACTACTTTTTTTTTTTATCAGTATAGCTGATACTGATCAGTATAATTGGAGTCCAGAGCTTTCAAAGCAGAGTGTAATTGTGCAGTAGCTTCTTTAAGGGGAGAGGAGGCCACATTCAACAAATATTTACTGAATATTTAAGTACTGAGATATTGTGTTGGGCATTGGAGATTTTGTAGGAAACAAACAGCACCAAATATCACCATATAATTTGCACTCTATTTAAATAGAGGATTTAGTGGGAAGAAAGCTTGGTGGAAGTGGGCAAATGAGAGACGGCACTGAATGCAAGCCTAAAAATTTGGACTTCAGAGAAGCATTGGGACCTTATTTGTGGCTTTAATATCACACATGAATTTTCAGGTAAGACAAGCTTAGAGGAAGACAATTTACGACATGGTTAAGTTATACTAAATGAGAAGTGATGAAGACCTGGACTAAGGAAATGGTAGTGGAGCACAGAAAGGAAGAGATTTGACAAATGAAATCAATCATGAATGTCAAAGGGACAGAGGGGGTAGATTAAATATAAAAATGACTCCAGTGATTTTAGCCTGGATGCCTGGGAAGAATCAGGAATCTAGTCTTTAGGTATAGCTTCCTTTTTGGAAGGCCAACGAGATCCTGAAAGAAACCTCGATCATTTATAATAATGGGCAAAGAGAAAGCAACATGAAATCCTTTCTTAAATTTCGGCAGAGGCTGCAGTGAAGATGCCTTCTAGCATTTTATTTATAGATTTCTATAATTTAACTACTATTTATTGTAGTGAAAGGTCATTTCTTTGACTCTTTCCACATATGTTGTTACTTCTGTCATTATACTGCTGAAAATGTTTGAAGGGTTTAAATAAAAATTATATTTGATAAAGATAATTTGGTTTCATTCAAGGTATTTGATGACTGACTTGACCAGTGTAGTGAGATCATATTCTTAGCAAGATGACAGATCAATCAGAGAATTGTGTCTGGCTCTTGTATGCTAATTAGGTAATTTCTTTAATCCAACTCTGGGAAAATGTTTTAGATAAGCAAATAGTGAATTCAGACCAGCTCTGTTTATATCACATAGTGTGCTTGCTTAATGATTTAACAGTCATGCTAAACAATTGAGCCTTTTAAAGAAGTTGTGTAAGATGAATGTTAATATGATTTTATAATTGCCTTTCAAATGTTAGGAAAAATGCTGATTAAAGTTTGCATTATGGTTCTTGGTAGAGATGGGTGAAATTAAATATATATTTATAGATTCCTACAATCAGCTTGAGCAGCAGAATAAATATGGCCTCCATTACTTTAAAGGTTTTCATCGTTTATTTAAAAATGTCCTTGGATTGTCACCTGCTTAAATCCATTTCTCCTGTTCTTTTACAGTAAGTCTCCATGGTTAGTGGCTAATAATGATGCTACCAGCTCTGTGGGTAGTGGGTAAATGTGAATTACTGGGACTTGTTACTTAAGCTCCTCTGACTTAGTAAGAACAAGTTAGTTCTTAGTAAGAGCTTATTATTTAAGCTTTTCTGACCGTCACTATTCAGTATTTAGTGACTTAGTAAAAATGAGCACCAGAGTGGGAGTCAAGGGACTTAATTCTGATGTTGGTTTTGGCTTTGTTTGCTCTTCAGGAAGTTATAAAATCCACGTGGGTCTCAGTGTTCCTGCTTACAAAATGAAAGAATAGATGACCTCTCTGACAGGGCACAAACTGTGAATACAATGACTACAAACAGATGTGGCATGGCTAACAGTGAGATCTGTGATAGCGATTTAAAAAAAAACCTGTCAGGTAACTTCACATTGAACATACTTGGCCTCAGAGTTCTGCTTTTAAACTGTTAGACTGCGCCCTTCCTGATTTCAGAGACTGTATTTATTTTTTGTCTTTGTATTCCCAGTGTCTGTCTCATAATATATACTCATCCTATTTTCATTCAACAATAATTTATTGAGCATTCTTTTTTCCCTCGATGGTAGAGCCAGTGTTTAAGAGCCCAGGCTCTGGAATGACTATCTGATTACTTGATATGGATGCTAGCTTGTTACCTACTAGATGTGTGATATTGTACTGGTTAACTTCTCTATGCCTCAGTATCCTCATCTGTGACATGAAGGTAATAAAGCTCTTATTATGAGGTTATTGTGATGATTAAATGGCATTATTTCTGTAAAGCTTTTGATACAGTATCGGGCACAGAGTAATTGCTTAATCCTTTTTTTTTTTTCTTTATTTGGCCATGATGGTGATGATAAGGAGGAAGAGGTGGAGGGAAGAAGAGGGGGAGACTTATTGGGAGTGAAGTAAATATTTATTGAATAAAACTCTTAACTATTTATCTCCATGTGTACTAGTGTTGTCTTGACTAGAGATCCTCCTGAGAGTTGTGTTGACTTTGTCACTTGACACTCATCTAGGTTCATGCTTTCTTGATTTGGTACATTGGTAGGCAAATGTAATCAGAGAGTCTCATTCCAGAGCCTGGGCTCTTAAACACTGGCTCTACCATCGAGGGAAAAAAGAATGCTCAATAAATTATTGTTGAATGAAAATCGGATGAGTATACATTATGAGACAGAAACTGGGAATACAAAGACAAACCTTCGTGGTTCAACTCTGATCTCTTTTGTCTCCCTTGGCTTTTATGTTTGTTTGCATTTTTATAAAAGTCAGAATTGTACATGCCCATGGCTTAAAGAGGCAAATAGTTTTACTATTCTTGTTATTAAAAACAATAATCCTTTAAGCCCTCATTTCATTTCCTATTCCCCAGAGGCAACCAATTTCAACTATTTTAGCTGATTCTTTTAGCACTTTCATATCTTTAAATAACTTGTTTTATTGCAATTTCTTGATATTCTACTTTTAGATATAGTCTATGGGTTTAACTCTCTTTGACCATTGCCACATCACAGGTACATGCACATCTCTTATCTCTGCATCCTCCTCAATATGTACTATCAAAATTGTGCTCTTCAGTGTTTATATTGAACCATCACTATTCAGTATTTACAGTTGATATGGTTTGGCTGTGTCCCCACTCAAATCTCACCTTAAGTTGTAATAACCCCACATGTCAAGGGTGGGGCCAGGTAGAGATAATTGAATCACGGGAGCAGTTTCCCCCATACTGTTCTCATGGTAGTGAATAAGTCTCATGAGATCTGATGGTTATATAAATGGGAATTCCCCTGCACAAGCTGTCTTGGCTGCTGCCACGTAAGATGTGACTTTGCTCCTCATTCACCGTCCATCATGATTGTGAGGCCTCCCCAGCCATGTGGAACTTTGAGTCAATTAAACCTCTATTTTTTTAAAATAAATTACGCCATCTCAGGTATGTCTTTATTAGCAGTGTGAGAACACATTAATACAACAATGCTATGAATATGTAAATTAAATTTACAGTTGAGAGATATACATGATTTATTTGCCTTTGCTACTTAACATTTTTTTTCCTTGAACTTAGTAATTGTCTTTTTTGGTTACCTTGTTGAATCCAGTCATTTTCTATGACTATGTAGTTAACTCATCCCATACACTTCTCCCATTGAGAGAATCTCCTCTGAATATCTTCAAATACATGGAGAATTAGTTTTAGTCCTATTTCTGGAAAGATTTTTTCCCAAACCTTCAGACCAATCTGCTCCCCAGCTGTCACACTGGGATCTGCCCTCTTTTATTAATTCCACATATTCCTTTTGCTGGTTTACTTTCTCGGTTTGGCGAAGTGTGGCCTCCAGTAATTTCCTGAAGAATGGAGCACAGAAAGCACATTTTTGACAATGTGCATGTCAAGAAATATCCTCATAATATCCACACTTAGTTGATAATATGGCTAGATATGTAGTTCTAAGTTGGAAATTATTTTTTCTTAAGTTTGAAGAATTACTTCATTCTTTCTTTTAGCTCCCAATGTTTCTGTTGGGAAGTCCAATGTTATTCTAATTATTGACTCTTCATAGGAAAGCTTTCTCTGGAAGATGTCAGGATGTTTTCTTTATTCCCAGCATTCTGAAACTTGATGATACTATGTCTTAGAATGGGTATATTTTCATTTACTATGTTGGTCACATAATAGGCCATTTATTCTGTAAATTTAGTGTCCCCAGTTCTGGGAAATTTTATTTGATAATCCATATCTTTCTCTTTTTGCTTCTTTCTGGAACATCTATTATTCTGCAATTGAACTTACTGAATGGGTTCTCTAGTTTTTAACATATTTTTCTCCTATTTTCCATTTCCTTGTCTTCTTGCTTCCTTTTTATTTTCCAATTATTCCATTGAGTTGTTTGCAATTCAGCTATATTATTTTTATTTCAAAAGACTTCATTTTTAAATGTTCTTGCATTTTATACCACCCATTTCTTGATTTATCAATGCGATAACTGCTCTTATAGACTCATGATTTAAACGCTAGGGTTTTGTTTAGTAGTTTGTCTGGTCCCCACTTCCCTCATTACTTAGTCTTCTTTAAAGTGCTTTTTCTTTTCCTCCTGTCTGTTTCGATTGGTTATTTTAGGGTCATTCCATTAAGTCAGTGATCATCCACTGTCTGCTCATATTGAAGAGTAGGACATAGCAGGGCACGGTGGCTCACAGGTGGAGTCCCAGTACTTTGGGAAGCTGAGGTGGGAGGATCATTTGAGCCCAGAAGTTTGAGGTTATAGTGAACTATGATGGAATCACTGCACTTCCACCTGAGCAACAAAGAGAGACCCTGTCTCTGAAACAATTTTTTTAAGTAGGACATTGAGAAATTGATTAGACAGCTCTATATGTATAAGTAAGGTTTGTCAAATCTGGATTTCAATATAGGGCTATTTGAAATATTTTTTGGAGTAACTTCCTATTTCCATATTTCTAGTTCTTTTCTTTTGGGCTGGACACATTCCTCAGCAAATGATATTCTAGTCTTCTGTTTAGTGGGGATATGGCTGGCTTCCAGAATTATAGAAGAGGCAGATGCAGAAAAAAAGCTGGGGTCACGAAATTCAGTATGAATGCTTTTACTCTTTCATACTCCCATTTCACTGTGGTAGTCCTGACTTTACCACACCTAAGGACTCTGAGCCCAGACACCAGACAATTTAATATTTTCAGAGAATAAACCTTAATTTTGTGTTGAGATAAGAGAGGAGATCTTTGGATATAATTGATGTTTAAACATATTTTCAACCAAATCTTCCTTTTGTTAACTCCATTTTAATCCCCATGTCCAAGGATCCTAGTGCTGCTAATTTCTGAGCCTTTGTGGAGGATTCTGAGGTACAAAATACCTTTCTTGTTTTCCTACTGTGGGCTAAATCCCCACTATGGGCTAAATCAGTTTTCTATCACCCATTGGCTTTTCAGCTTCTGCATTATGAAATTGTATTACTGTTGTCTCTTCTTTCATTTTATGTGTTCTTGTAGGTTTATGTCTCTTAAATATCTTTTTATTGTTGTTTTAATGAGATTTCAGGAGTGAGCAGAGATTATTGCTTGAGTTCAGTTGGTTGTTTTACCTGGAAAACCTAGTATATATTCTTTGCTTACTGTTGGATTCAATCTATGAGTCTCTTCATGGTAGCCTTAACTTGCATAATTCTCTTCTGAGACATCAGACCCTTATAAACTTTTGCTAACCTGTCCTTTTCAGCTCTGTACATTGTAGCATTAGGATTTTCTTAACATCTGTATGCCTCAGACCAAACACATACATAGAATCTGTCTTCATTTATCGTACGCATTTACTCCAGAGTTTCCTCCAGCAGGTGAGTGGCAGAGACACAGTCTGTATGTCAAAACTGGCTAAAGAAAAATCATCATTGGATCATGTTTTCTTTTCATAAATTTTGCACAATTGAAAAGTCACTGTTCATCTGACTGAATTCAGCTCTATTAATCTGGGCTCTTCCTGGGTTTAGAGAATATACAATTTAAACCACTTTCAGTATTTATTGGTTTACAACATTGAAAAGTTTAGGGTAGCTTTGCTGTCAGTCTTGGTTTGGTTCAGAGCTCAGATGACATCAGATTGTATTTTATTTTCATCTTTCTTCTGTTGTGTTTATTGTTAGAATCCTCATGGTCATTTCAAGAAGCCTTGGGATTATGCCCTTTTAGGTTTCAGTCCTGCCTAAGGAGGTTTTTTGGAAAGCATGCCTTGGAGGCTCCATCCAGAGCATAGAAGTTAGTGCTGAGTGGCCTCAGATTGGATTAAGTGCCTCCCGTAACCTTTCTTTAATGGTCTGAGCCCTGTCACCCTTGTTGCCCTCTGGTAAGAGACACTGACCTTTTGCTGCCCTGGAATGTAGCCCAGGGTCCCATGTGATATCATCCTTCTTGTCAGAGTTGATTGAACCAGATGTGCATGCCTGCTCAAAGATGAGCCAATAAGACAATCTTCCTCTCTTTGAATGTGGAATTAGAGCACACAGCAACTGAGTAAGTAGCTGTGGGAGTTGAACCAGTATGCCTATAGAGACCCTTGGACTGAGATAACGTTTTGTGTTGATCTGTGCCAGTGATGTGGCTAAGAATAATGAGTCTGCAAAGACAGAGATAAACGAAGTAGACACACACCAAGGAGGAGAAACCAGAAGGCTATAGAGGGGTGGAGGAGAGAAAAGAGAAAGAAACTTTGGTATCTGACAGCTTTTCAGATAGTGTTTTTTTTGTGTGTCTTAGATATACTTCCTTCCCTTCTATAAGATGCCTCTGTACCCCTACAGTAAATTTCTCTTAAGTTTGGGTTTTGAAATGATTGATTTCTAAGACAGAAATCCATAAGAGTAAACAATGATAATGCTAAAAATAATTAAAAGTATTTACCATATATTTATAGTATATATATATATATATATATGCACACAAATTATACCTAAAAGTAAGCCTAATGTCTTAAAAATAGTATGCCCTCAACACGTTATTATAATTATTATTTAGTGATAGTAATTGTATTACTGCATTTAATCATCCCGACAACCCTATGTGGTATTGCTGCTATTATGCCTATTTTATAGTTCAGAAACCAAGGGATGGGGAGGTTAATAAAGTTGTTCCCTTTCAGAGAGTAACAAATCTGAGTGTTGAACTGAAGTAAGCTATTTTTAGGTCTGAATGCTAGTGTCAATGAACTACCAGCTTTAAGAATGATGGTCTTATTCATTGGTATTCACTATACCTTAGACACAGGCTCACTTGATCTTATTTGACTATCCTAATGTACACAGGCTAGCAATACTGTCCCTCTATTGAGATAAAAAGACTGAGTTTTAAAGTATTAAGGTAATTTTCCCAAGATGTCCAGCATACATGTCAGAGCTAAGAGTTCAACCCAAGTTTCATTTTTTCCTATCCTGTTCTGTGCTACATTTATGCTGCATTGATATTTTTTATTTTCTGAATGAGCATCTAAGTGGTATAGCATTTACAACATTTTAAATCCTTATTAATAGAAAATCCTGGGTGGTTCTCTGCTTGACAAAACTAAGAAAGTAGAAAATTAATGAGAGAACATAGAACATGAATTGACTTTCCAGGCTTTTGAGAAGCTGTTGTACCTGTTTCTGACAGAAGATCGGAGGCAAAAAGAGGCAGAGTTACCTGATTTCAGGGGGATTGGTGTCAGGAACAGAGACACTAACATTCTGCAGGTCATCTTTGTTACCCAAATTGGATTCCAGAGAGAACCAGGGTGGAGGAGTTGTGTGAGTGAGCACGGACGTTAGACAGGCCTGAGTTTGAATACTGATTTTGCTACTAATTAGCTGCATGACCTCGAGCTTATTTCTTAACTAGCCTGAGCTTACTTTTTCTTCAGAAAATGGAGGTAACAAAATGTGCTGAGCTCATATGGTTGCTGTGATAATAGAATTAGGCTCTCAAGACTGTGCTTAGCACTTAGCAAGGGGTCAATAATTGTTAACTATTATTAATAATATTATTCAGATACAAACAATAGGGATTTTGCTGAGTCTTAGAATCTCATGCATCTACATCTTTTCTAGAAATCAGATCCCAGTCTCCAAATGAAGAAGGGCTTATTCTTTTCCTCTACTCATACATTTCACGTTTCTCTCTCCCCCCAGCCTCTACCCTCAGCCATACTACATGCATATCTTAGCTCCAAGTTCTCTGCTTTGACCTTTTCTTTTCTTTTTTTGGGGGGCGGGGGGCAGGCGTGGGGGATGGAGTCTTGCTCTGTCGTGCAGGCTGGAGTGCAGTGGCACGATCTCTGCTTACTATAAGCTCTGCCTCCTGGGTTCATGTCATTCTCCTGCCTCAGCCTCCTGAGTAGCTGGAACTACAAGCACCTGCCACTAGGCCTGGCTAATTTTTTTTTTTTTTTTTTTTTTTGTATTTTTAGTAGAGATGGGTTGTCACCGTATTAGCCAGGATGGTCTTGATCTCCTGACCTCGTGATCTGCCCACCTTGGCCTCCCATAGTGGACGTTTTCTTAATAAGGTAATTTTACTCTTTGAGCTTAGCTTTGGCTGCATGTTGGAATCTTCATCTGAAATGAAAGTTCGATTGCAACCATTATCAATATCTTGGACCCTAAATCACCTTTGAGCAATTACACACCCACAGGAATCCAACTGATGATATTGCAGCTTTGCTGAATTTATCATAAGGCTGATACTGGACAGGTATTTGTCTTATAGGCCAAAGAAGTCAGGTGGGAGTGAGTGAGCAGAGTATCAGGTTGAAGAATACCTTTATATTCCCATGCTCCGAGTCAAAGTATATTTTTCCTGCATAAGGTAAGGGGATTTTTTTCTAGGCACCAGGTTAGCATTCTGTCTTGTAGTGGATGTCACAGAAACATGGAATGTGAGAACCAAGAAGGGGGACCTATAAGATCATTGTCCCTGGAATCCTAGTGTTCTTTGGATGTGCCCTAAGAGCAAGACATGGCTTAGGGAGTGAGTTCTCAGTCTTTTTATTCCTTGCAGCCTCCACTTTTTTAATCTATTGGGATTCAGTAGAAAGGCTTTAAAAAAATATGGCTAATTACTAAATAAAATGTTACAAAACCCCTAGCTGCTCAACATTTTTCAGAGAATTGAGGTCAGAAAGATAAAATTAGCTATTTTTTAATTTATACAACAAATACTAATGGAGAATCTTTTGAATTCTAGATATTGAGCTAGATTCTAGAGTGACACACTCCAAGTAGAACAGATTTGTATTAAGGCACTGGCTTACAGAGTTACTGGTGACCTTGTCTATCCACTCTGGACAGCAGGAGTTTGCTTGTCAATATAAATTGGGTTTATTTGGTCACCTTTCTTTCTTTTTCTTTTCTTTTTTTTTTTTTTCTGAGAGGGAGTCTTGCTCTTGTCGCCTAGGCTGGAGCGCAGTGGCGCAATCTTGTCTCACTGCAAACTCCGACTCCTGGGTTCAAGCCATTCTCCTGCCTCAGCCTCCTGAGTAGCTGGGATTACAGGTACATGCCACCACACCTGGCTAATTTTTGTATTTTTTTAGGAGAGATGGGGTTTCACCGTGTTGAACAGGTTGGTCTCAAACTCCTGACCTCAGGTGATCCCCCCACCTTGGCCTCCCAAAGTGTTGGAATTACAGGTGTGAGCCACCACACCCGGCCTCTTGTCACTTTTCTTAAGAATATTCATTGGGGTTTTATTTGATCCAAGTCTAATCAGAATTCCTTGTTTTTGTTTACTTCCATCTTATTCTCTGGTTTCTTAGGAAAAGGATTGGCAATTAGAGGTAGAGATAATAGTTGTAAGGGTTTTAGTGGGTGTGGGGAATTTGTATTTACAATTTAGCAGGAGGATGTGACTCAGTGAAACTCAGAAGTAGCTATATCCTTGTGGAGAAGATACTAGGGTTAAGGTTGACCTCACCCCAGGGGAGGATTCTCATGCTTGCCCAAACTCTTCTTAACGTTACTGTATTATAGAATTTACTGTTTAAAGTTAGCTTAAGAACAAATAGAAACACCTGTATAATTACTCCGTGACCACAAATGTGATTTTGCATTGAACTGCTGTGTTCTGATGAAGTCCTCTGACAGCTGTAGCTGAGGAGAAACTCCTTGTCCTACTTCCAATTTAAATCCTTTTCTTTTATCAGGCTGATTCTAGGAGTCCTTTTCTTTGTCCCCGTTTTGCATCTTACTGTTGGTTAGTGACAATTCTCACTGGACTTGATCATTTTCTTTCTAATAGGGTAGTTAATCTGGTTGCAGATGGTTCTTTGTGTAATTATTCGAAGTTTGAATTTTAAAAGTATGACTTCTTTATTAACTAGCCCTACTTGCTTCTTTTCCCATCCTATGTGATATTGGACCTCAAAGGGTACAACCATCCTGTAATTCATTGAGCCTTCTTGCTACAGCTGCTTTGGAAGGTCTGGGACTGTAAGGGCAAAAGGTGAGTAGAGAGAAGAAGGTAAAGAAAGAGGATTATATCATAACAGACTGTCTTGGCTTTTGGCCAGTGAAAAGAAACCTAGGGACTAACACAGTTTTTCTTATTATTACTAAACACATACCATCACTCCCTGATTACTTCTTGAGCCCACTCTGGCATGCCACTTCTGTGACAGCAGCTTGGTAACTTGCTTGACTATTACACACACACTAATGTGTGGGCTACAGAAGATATCTTAGTTTTTTTTAATAGAAATAAAGTCTAAATAGGTGTTGCTTCATTCATAGTGTGAAAACTCTCCATTCCTTGCCCACTTAAAAATCAAAGCTTTACTTCTCATCACACAATACATATAGTTTGAAGCTACACACTATCATCGTCTTGTCTATTTCAGATACATTTGACCTTCATTTATACAAAGGAGATAAGTTGGTTTCAAAAGTCACAGTGACAGCTGAACATTAAAACAATTTCAAGGCTTTGTGATGTGAAGAGTCAAAAGGAGAGATATTGGAGGCAGAATCTGTGGGTGACTGAGAATAGCGCTGAGGTCACAGGGAGTGATTTTGCAAAGTAATTCTAGAGTTATAGGAATTGCTTTGCTTAGAATCAGTCAGGTAAAAGTCCATGAAACATTAATTGCCTGGGTTCAGAGGGACAGGAGATTACTGCCCATACTTCACTTCTTTGTAAAAAAAGAAGCTGTGTGTTTTCCTCATAATTCTTTTACAAGATATTGACAAATATGTCATTTCTGCTTTTATCCATTATATCAAAGATAAGTTACTAAAGACTGCTTAAAAGGAAAAAAAAGAGCTGAAATTTGATATTCTCTAATACATTGTATGGCTCTATCTGTATATCCGTATCTATATCTGAATCCATATATTTATTTATCTGTATTTATCTCAAAGACAAGGCACTAGCACAGACAGAATGAGATAACCCAGATTGATTGATTTAGCTGGGGCTTTCATTCTTGCTGGTTTAGTACCAAAAGTTACCTTTTGCCACAAAACATCTTGATCATGGAGTTGAACATCTTCCATCACTTGAAGAAATATTAGATTTTTCATTTTAATTTGGGAGACAGTTTGGTAGAGTAAAACAGACCTGCATCTTTAGGGTGTGGTCTAGTAAAACAGACCTGCATCTTTAGGGTCATCTATCCTGGGCTGAAACCCTAGATCATTCCCCTCACTGACTGTATGACCTTGGGAAAGCTGCTTTCCTGAGCCTGATTTCTCATGTGTAAGATGGGGACACTACTGACATTGTAAGTTGGTTGTAAACCTCAGAAGAAAGTCAGGATGTTTCAGAAAAGAACAAGGGAACTGACAGAACAGAGTAAACAGCCCCTAGGGAGCTGTTGCAGTGAGTCTGATGATTAGGTAAAGGACTCAGGTGTTGCTTTCTCTTACTTTTGTCCAAATTGGTTTTCCTATTCTTTGTCATTGCTGGCTTTCCCAGCCACCTGCCTAGCATCAGTACTGCAGTACTCTTTACTGTGGCTTTGCATTTTAAGAACATGCTATATTTTCTCAGATGGTTGGGGGTTAATTTAAGACAAAGTAGGTTTAAGAGCTCAGCAAATAACAGGATGCTGAAGAAGACAATGTAGTTAGAAAAGCAAACATTAAATTACAAGAAAACAGAACACTAGAAATCTTCAGCCTGAATCAAAGCTTAGGCAGGGCAACTGTGAAAATATACCAGCTGATAGCAGAATGCAAAGATGCTGGATTTGCTGGTCAGAATATTTTAAGTATCTGTTTAAAAGTTTAATTAAATGGAAGACAAGACTGTCCTTTGTGTCAACATTTGGAAACTGAAATTTGCTTTCTCCTTTCCTTTTGGAACAATACCTGCCCATTCTATGTAAAATTAATTCAATCATTATTAAAATGCTGTCTCATCTAGGATAAAACAATTGCTCTAATAAGCCTAGGATGAGGAAGTTACCAGGAATATGGTCTTTATTTGAAAGAGTGATGTGTTCTTTTTTTTTGAGACGGAGCCTTGCTCTGTGTCCCAGCTGGAGTGTAGTGGCACGATCTCGGTTCACTGCAACCTCTCCCTTCTGGGTTCAAATCATTCTCTGCCTCAGCCTCCCAAGTAGCTGGGATTGCAGGGGCCCACCACCACACTCAGCTAATTTTTTTGTATTTTTAGTAAAGATGGCATTTCATCATCTTGGCCAGGCTGGTCTTGAACTCCTAACCTTGTGATGCACCTGCCTTGGCCTCCGAAAGTGTTGGGATTACAGGCGTGAGCCACTGTGCCCAGGAGATGTGTTCTTATTCTTAGAAGATAAGACTTGGTTTATGTAAACCTGTGACAGCAAATGAACATTCAGAATAACTCTCTTAAGAGGCAGGTCAAATAAGAGTCCAACTTCTTTCATTCGCTGTGTAAATGTATCCAAACTTTTGTTGTATATTTGTCATCTTTCACATTGGACTCTGTTGATGGTTCCACCTTTATCCCCAGGATTTATTGGATAAGGGAAGGAGATTGTGTCACTGTAAGAGTAGACCTCTCTTTTCCAAAACACCTGTGTTTGCTGTAGTCTCCCTCTTACCTGCGGTTTCACTTTCTGAGGTTTCAGTTACCTGCCATCAATTGCAGTCAGAAAGTATTAAATAGAAAATTCCAAAAATAAACAATTCATGAGTTTTAAATTGCAAGCCATTTTGAGTAGTGAGATGAAATCTCTCCCCATCCTACTCTGTCCCACTGAGGACTTGAGTCATCCCCTTGTCTAGCATCTCCATGCTATAGATGCTATCCATTCATTAGTCATCGACACTGCTCCTGACATCCAGTCGTCGACATTGTCATGACTCCAGGATCCAAGATCACCTGAAGGAGATGCTCCTCCTCCTGATGTGCCATCAGAAGGTCAGTTGTAGCCCAATGCTATGTCACGATGTTTGCATCGTTCACATCATTTCATCTCATCACGTAGGCATTTTATCATCTCATATTATCTCAAGAAGAAGCATGGGTACTGTGCAGTACAATAAGATATTTTGAGAGAGAGAAAGACCATATTCACATAACTTTTATTACAGTATATTGTTATAATGTTCATTTTATTATTGTTGTTAATCTCTTCCTATACCTAATTTATTAATTAAACTGTATCATAGGTATGTATGTGCAAGCATACCTTGCAGATATTGCCGGTTCTGTTCCTAACCACTGCAATAAAATGAGTATTGCAATAAAACCACTCACAGATTTTTCTTTGGTTTCCCAATGCATGTAAAAGTTATGTTTGCAATATACTTTAATATATTAAGTGTGCAGTAGCATTACGTTTTAAAAGGGGGTACT
Source organism: Homo sapiens (assembly GCF_000001405.40). NCBI lineage: Eukaryota > Metazoa > Chordata > Mammalia > Primates > Hominidae > Homo > Homo sapiens. The sequence goes on along the minus strand of NC_000011.10, from coordinate 42,755,080 downwards.
TTAATTAGAAGACATTTTTGCTAAAAATACTAACCATCATCTGAGCCTTCAACAAGTCCTATCTTTTGGCTGCTGGAGGGCCTTTCCTCCATCTTGATGGCTGCTGCCTGACCAGGGTGGTGTTTGCTGAAGGATGATATGGCTGTGGCAATTTCTGAAAATAAGACAACAATGAATTTTGCCACCGAAAACTTCCTTTCACAAAAGATTTATCTGTAGCATGTAGTGCTGTTAATAGCATTTTATCCACAGAAAAACTTGTTTCAAAATTGGAGTCAATCCTTTCAAACTCTGCCACTGCTTTAGCAACTAGGTTATGTAAAGTTTTAAATATTTTGTTGTCATTTCAACACTGTTCACAGCATCTTCACCAGGAGTAATTCCCTCTCAAGGAAGAACTTTCTTTGCTCACCCATAAGAAGCAAGTCCTCTTTCATTCAAATTTTATCATGAGATTGCAGCAATTCAGTCATATCTTCAGGGTCCACTTCTAATTCTAGTTCTCTTGCTATTTCTACCACATCTGCAGTGACTTCCTCCACTGTAGTCTTGATCATCTCAAAATAACCCATGAGGGTTAGAGTTAACATCTTCTAAGCTACTGTTAATATTACTATTTGGACCTTTTCCCATGAGTCACAAATGTTCTTAATGGCATCTAAAATGGTGAATCTTTTCCAGAAGGCTTCCAATTTACTTTGCCCAGATTATCAGAGGAATCACTATTTATGGCAGGTGTAGCCTTAGGAAATGTGTTTATTAAATAATAAAACATACAAGTTGAAATACTCTTTGATCCATGGGTTGCAGAATAGATGCTGTGTTAACAGGCATGAGAACAACATTAATCTCCTTGTACACCTTCATCAGAGCCCTTAGGTGACTAGGTGCATTGCCAATGAGCAGTAATGATTCAATATTGGACTTAAAATATTCAATAATGTGTGCTGTAAGCAATGTGCTGTCACTCAGGCTTTGTTGCCCTATTTATAGATCACAGAGTGGATTTAGCATAATTCTTAAGGGTCTTAGGATTTTCAGAATGGTAGATGAGCACTGGCTTCAACTTAGAATCACAAGCTGCATTGACATCTAATGAGAGAGTTTAGCCTATCCTCTGAGTCTTTGAAGACAGGGATTGACTTCTCCTCTCTAGCTATGAAAGTCCTAGATGACATCTTCTTCCAATAGAAGTGCTTCATTTCCATTAAAAGTCTTTTGTTAAAGCAAAAAAAGAAAACTTCATGCCAATATCCCTGATTAATATTGATGTGAAAATCAATAAGATAATGGCAAATCGAATCCAGCAGTGCATCAAAAAGCTTATCCACAACAATTACATCAGCTGCATCCCTGGGATGCAAGGCTGGTTCAACATACACAAATCAATAAACATAATCCATCACATAAACAGAACTAATGACAAAGACCACATAATTATCTCAATAGATGCAGAAAAGACCTTTGATAAAATTTAACATCCCTTCATGTTAAAAGCTCTCAATAAACTAGGTATTGAGAGAACATATCTCAAAATAATAAGAGCCAGTTATGACAAACGGACAACCAATATCATACTGAATGGGCAGAAACTAGAAGTATTCCCTTTGAAAAACCGGTGCAAGACAAGGGTGCCCTCTCTCACCACTCCTCTTCAACATAGCATTGAAAGTTCTGGCCACGGCAGTCAGGTAAGGGACAGAAATAAAGGGTACTCAAATGGGAAGAGAGGAAGTCACATTGTCTCTGTTTGCAGACAACATAATCCTGTATCTGGAAAACCCCATTGTCTCAGCCCAAAAGCTCCTTAAGATACAAAATCGATGAGTAAAAATCACAAGCATTCCCATACACCAATAATAGACAAGGAGAGAGCCAAATCATGAATGAACTTCCGTTCACAATTGCTACAAAGAGAATAAAATACCTAGGCACACAGCTAACAGGGGATGTGAAAGACGTCTTCAAGGAGAACTACAAACCACTGCTCAAGGAAATCAGAAAGGACACAAACAAATGGAAAAACATTTCATCCTCATGGATAGGAAGAATCAATGTTGTGAAAATGGCCATATTGCTCAAAGTAATTTTTAGGTTTAATGCTATTCTCACTAAACTACCATTGGCATTCTTCACAAAATTAGAAAAAAAAACTACTTTAAAATTCATATGGAACCAAAGCAGAGCCCATGTAGCCAAGAAAATCCTAAGCAAAAAGAACAAAGCTGGAGGCATCACACTACCTGACTTCAAACTATACTACAAAGCTACAGTAACCAAAACAGCATGGTACTGGTATCAGAACAGACAAGCAGACCAAAGGAACAGAATAGAGATCTCAGAAATAAGGCCACACATCTACAACCATCTGATCTTTGACAAACCTGACAAAAACAAGGAAGGGGAAAGGATTTCTTGTTTAATAAATAGTGCTGGGAAAACCTGGCTAGCCATATGCAGAAAACAGAAACTGGACACCTTCCTTACACCTTATACAAAAATTAACTCAAGCTAGATTAAAAACTTAAATGTAAAACCCAAAACCATAAAATCCTAGAAGAAACTCTAGGCAATACCATTCAGGACATAGGCATGGGCAAAGATTTTATGATGAAATTGACAAAAGCAACTGCAACAAAAGCAAAAATTGACAAATGGGATCTAATTAAATGAAAAAGCTTCTGCACAGGAAAAGAAACTATCATCAATGTGAACAGGAAACCTACAGAATGGGAGAAAATTTTTACAATCTGCCCATCTGACAAAGGTCTACTATCCAGAATTTATAAGAAACGTAAACAAATTTACAAGATAAAAAGAAAACAACCCCATCAAAAACTGGGCAAAGGACATGAACAGATACTTCTCAAAAGAAGACATTTATGAAGCCAACAAACATGAAAAAAAGTTCAACGTCACTGATCATTAGAGAAATGCAAATCAGAACCACAATGAGATACCATCTCATGCCAGTCAGAATGGTGATTTTTAAAAAGTCAAGAAACAACAGATGCTGGCAAGGCTGTGGAGAAATAGAAACACTTTTACACTGTTGGTGGGAATGTAAATTAGTTCTAACCATTGTGGAAGACAGTGTGGTGATTCCTCAAGGATCTAGAATGAGAAATACCATTTGACCCAACAACCCCATTACTGGGTATATACCCAAGGGAATATAAATCATTCTGTTATGAAGATACATGCACACGTGTGTTTACTGCAGCACTATTCACAATAGCAAAGACATGGAATCAACCCAAATGCCCATCAAAGATAGACTGGAGAAAGCAAATGTGGTACATATACACCATAGAATACTATGCAGCCATAAAAAGGAACGAGATCATGTCCTTTTCAGGGATATGGATGAAGCTGGAAACCATCGTCCTCAGAAAACTAACACAGGAACGGGAAACCAAACACCACATGTTCTCACTCATAAGTGGGAGCTGAACAATGAGAACACATGGACACAGGGAGGGGAACAACACACACCAGGGCCTGTCGGGGGGTGGGGGAAGGGAGAGCATCAGGAAAAATAGCTAATGCATGCAGGACTTAATACCTAGGTGTTGAGTTGATAGGTGCAGCAAACCACCATGGCATACGTTTACTTATGTAACAAACCCGCACTTTCTGACATATACTCTGGAACTTAAAATAAGAAAACAAACAAAATCTGTTGTTTAGTGTATCCACCTTCATTAATGATCTTAGCTAGATCTTCTGCACAATTTGCTGCAGCTTCTACATCAACACTTGCTGTTTCATCTGACACTTTTATGTTACAAAGATGACTTCTTTCCTTTGACTTCATGAAACAACTTCTGCTAGCATCACACTTTTCTTCTACAGCTTCCTCACCTCTTTCAGCTCTCATAGAACTGAAGAGAGTTAGGGCCTTGCTCTGGACTAGGATTTTGCTGAAGGGAATGTTGTGGCTTTTTTGATCTTCTATCCAGATTACTAGAACTTTCTCCATCTGAGCAATAAGGCTGTTTCACTGTCTTATCATTCATGTATTCACTGGAGTAGCACTTTTAATTTCTTTCAAGAACATTTTCTTTGCATTCACAACTTGGTTACCATTTGGCACAGGAGGCCTAGCCTTCAGCTTATCTCAGCTTTCAACATGCCTTCCTCACTAAGCTTCATTAGTTTTAGCTTTTGATTTAAAGTGAGAGATGTATAACTTTTCCTTTCATTTGAACACTTAGAGGCCGTTGTGGGTTAATAATTGGCCTAATTTCAATATTTTGTGTTTCAGGAATTAAGGGAGGCCTGAAGAGAGGGAGAGAGACTGGGAAAGAGCTGATTGATGGAACAGTCAGAACACACACAGTATTTATCAATAAATGTCATAATCTTATATGTGAGTGGCTTATGGTGCCCCCCAAAATTGCAACATCAAAGATCACTGATCACAGAGTACCATGACAGATACAATAATGATGAAAAATTAGAAATATTACAAGTATTTACAAAATGTGAGACAGAGATATGAAGTGAATACATGCTGTTGGAAAAATGGTGCCAATAGACTTGCTGGATGCAGAGTTACCACAAAACTTCAATTTTTAAAAATTGCATTATCTGTGAAGTGCAATAGCATAAACAACAGTGAAACAAGGTAGGACTTATTGAAAAATACATAGCATTCATAGGGTTTAGAACAATTGGCAGTTTCAGGCAACCACTGGGGGTTTTGGAACATATGCCCCATGAATGGGGGATGACTGTAGTTTCTTCAGTGAGAACCAAATAGCTCTGCATCCAGCTTTGTTGCTGTCATTGTGTCTGTTACAGGAACAAATTAATTTTGTGCCATTGTCTATTTCCATTATAATCTTTGTCATTTGAACAGATTCATTATGGACCATTTTTGGTTCCTGTCAAAAACTGAAGATTGCACAATGAGGATAAGAGTGGAACTTTAATCAGGATTCAGTGAAAACTTATCAACTTTCATGACAACCATGATAATGACACATTGTGAGAGGGGAACAAGTCTCAGCCCTGGTGCACTGGGTTTATGTGAATGGACATGTGGGTGGGAGCCTGGGGGCTAGGGGCAACATCATGGGAGAGAAGGATAGACACATAGAGTACAGAGGGCATTTGCAAGTTTTCTTATAGGTAGAACTTATCAATTATGTTCTAGTTTCTAGAATTAGGAACTTTTATTCATGATGATTAGCATTAATTTGTTTTCTTTTAGTGTAAGTATCATATGGGAAAAGGGATGCAGGCATATCTTGTTTGGAATACCAGCTTTGACTTAAGAACTTTGTGCCTCAGTTTCCTTATATAAACAATGAGAATAATAATAAAACCTCCTTCACAGGCTCATTGTGAGCAAGAAATGAGTTGTGAAAGTAAAGCATTGGAAAAAGTACCAGGCATAGGATATACATTTATACTGCATTAGTTACTTTGAATCTTTGGTCCCCCGATTGCCCTCATCTGTAAATTAGGGATAATAACTGCTTTTTAGGGTTGTTGTAAAGAAGAGTGGTAATGAATATAGAAGACCAGGTACTGGCTCACAATGAGTTTAATAAGTGTATGTATTAGCTTCTCTCCAGATAGAATGTGGGTCTAGGAATCATTAAAGGAGGGTGATGTTTACACATAGCTCCCATGCTTAATTCATTGATACTCTTCCACTCTCTACTAGCACAGATATCACCAAGGCCCTCCACTACTAAGCTTCCTTGGCCATTTCTCAGTTCTGGGATGGCTTCTATGCTTTTCCTTTTTAAATCTTTGTCACAAACCCTCAACAATCATCTTTGCTCCCCTCCCCTCCTGTCTTCCTTGGGCTTCTCTTCTGCAAGCCTGACTGCAGACAGACTTAGTCATCATAGGGCCTCTTTCTTGCTTCTCCAAAGATACTATTTTCTTTTAAATGAGTTACTAATGATCCTTGCAAGGAGGCAAGAAAAACACACAAAAGTAACATGGATTTAGGAATATGACATGATACACAGTCCTGACTTCTGGTCAGTAGTTTCGAATTCCCTGTTTTATTACTTGAAGGCCCATGTTGGCCTTCTGTTCTTTAAGTTTTATTTCTGCTACTGGAGTTTAGACAACTAGGCCTCTGGATACTCAGGCTTGGAGCTGTAATCTAGTCACCCAGATCACTGAATTCATGTCCTGTCAAGGGCTACTTGTTCCCAGATCATTTGCATTTTTGAGACTTGGGTGATACTCAATGGTGGCTGGTCCTTAAGTTCCTTTCTCTATGAACCACATAAATGATGCCCTCTTTAGCACTTGCTGTCTTACCACTTGGGGAACTTCTTTTTCTTCTATTCTCTATCTACCTGGAGGCAAAGTATCTTCCAGTGTTCAACTAGAGTCACCTAAATCATAATGCCGTCGCTCAATATTTCAGTCTTATCAATATATGTGGTACTCGGTACCCATTTTTGTGCCTGTCCTGATCATTCCTTTTACCAAATTCCAGCTAAATACTAGCTGTGAAATCCTCTAGAATTGAGCACTTGTTCATAATAATTCATTACATAATGTTAGCAAATAATTACACTGTGTAGTACTTTTATTTTTTTCCTAAACAATGTTGTAATTTTGAGTTTATTTTATCTTTTAGTAACCTTATCAAACACGTAGAGTGGTTTTTTTTCCTTTGACAAAAAAAGAAACCAACCCTCATGGAACATGTGTGTGTATGTATTTGGGGTGTGGGTATGTAAATGACCTAGGTAAGATGCTATAGCTAATCTGTGGTCAAACTGGGACTAAAATGTAAAGATGTCTCCCCTCAAATCTGCACTTTGTTAGCAATATCATCTTACCTTTTTGTACCCTGTTGTGTTCTTCCTATTGTAATCTACAAATATAATCAGTTCCAAATACGCTCCTCTTCACATGTACATACACTTGCAGGTGGAAAGTTCTGATTAGTGATCTTTAGATTACCATTATAATGAATGTAAGTACTGTTGCGTTTTATTAATGAAAAGTATGTTCAATATTAAACTGGTGTTATCCATAATATGCATGCTTAATTATATATGGTAGGTAAATGTTAGATTTGTCATTATGCTCACAAGATATAAACTTCTCTGAAGTAGATGAAGCTTTTCAAAGCTGTAATAGCAGTTCTTGTTATCTTGCTAGTTGATTAGAAACTGCAAATTAGAACAAACTGGCCAGAGCATTCTTAGAGTATAGGAGCTGCATCTGCAGAATTTTTTAAAAACAGAATAAACTGAAATAAAACACTGAATTCTTTGCTGAGACACAGTATTTCGAGAGCATGAAGAATTCAGAGTACCCACACCACAGACAGACACCAAGAACACTGGCCTAATGGAAAACTTGGCATTGCCTTCCTTTGTGAGAGCTCATCTGGGCTCTCCCTGAGGTTGTCACAGCAGCAGTACTGGATATATACCTGTGGGCAAATACAAATTAAAAATTTCCCCTGTTGAAAAAAGGGGAAGAGACTCACTCACTGGCCTTTTTTTTTTTTTTTTTTCTGAGACGGAGTCTAGCTCTGTTGCCCAGGCTGGAAAGCATTGATGCGATCTCGGCTCACTGCAAGCTCCCTCTCCTGGGTTCATGCCATTCTCCTGCCTCAGCCTCCCGAGTAGCTGGGACTGCAGGCGCCTGCCACCACGCCTGGCTAATTTTTTTTGTATTTTTAGTAGAGATGGGGTTTCACTGTGTTAGCCAGGATGGTCTCAACCTCCTGACCTCGTGATCTGCCCACCTCATCCTCCCAAAGTGCTGGGATTACAGGTGTGAGCCACCGCACCCGGCCACTCACTGGCCTTTTATAGAGTAATTACTTTAGAAAATTTGTAACCTTAAATTCTTTTTCCTTCTTTTTGAAATGTATGGAAATCTTTTAAAAAGTTAAATAAGCCTCTCCTCCAAGATTACAACCCAGGAATGTCTTTCTCAAGGCCCCAGGATCCATCTCTTCGAAATCAATCATCAAGGAAGATAGTACCCCTATCTCCCAGTTTCTGTGGAAAGGTAGGAGCCTAACTTTAGCTGATGCCTCATTTCAAGTTGCAAAACTTCCTCCTGTTACAAACCTATGAGACATTCATATTTCCTTTTGATAAAGCCGACTAGCTAATGCAGATGGTCACTCTAACCACCAAGTGAATGTAAGATAACTGTGTGTGACAGGTGGTATTGTCAAATCTTACTTGAGGACTAGTGATTACTTATCTCAAGAACAGGTATTTAATGGGTTATACCTACTTGACTATATAAAGGGGTGAGATTTCCTTCTGTTTTTGCAATCCTTCAGCCGATTTCCTGTGATGTGTACCACATTTTAGTTTAAGCTTATTCAGTAAGAAATTGTTTTCCTTTCCCTATTTGGTATAGAGTTTTACTGGGTTGGAGAAAATTTCACTTTTAATTACATTTCCCAACAATGTGTACAACTTGAATGAGAAAAAATTTGTAAAGAGATCACTTGTATGATGATGACAGAGAGTATAATTTTGTATTGCATGGCTCCAGCTAAGTATTAGTTCCTTAAGGGCTGTTTTGGTGTCTGCTGCCCATGTTTTTGTATGCCAAAAAGCACTGAAAATGTTATGATGTGGGACCCTTGGTTAAATTTTTGTGTGTGTGATCACCACAAAGCCCTGGATAAATATTTAAATTGTTTTATCTACTATGGTCAACTTGCTACAAGTCTTACAGAATGAAATCTTGCTGTAAAGATTTTGATTAATAGCAGAACATAGAGCATTGAGCTAGTTGCTGTCACTGAAAGTGGATATTGGGAATTTACCAGACTTTATGGCCTCTTCCTCAGGCTCATGAAGCCTGGAAAGTTGCAGCATTATGTTCAGACCTCAACACTTGAATCTGTCTTGATACAAAATTTGAAGACTCATCTGTGTTCAATAATGTAGTCGTACGATGATTTCTCTAAGGAAGAAGGGAAAACCAACCAACAAACTTTAGTTTTCTTTTTCCAAGATTGCCATTTTATCTTTTCCCATGCACAAACATCATTTCCTCTTCTGTGGATTTTTTTCTGAGCAGAGAGGTACCTCTGGTCTTGCCCCTTAGTGGACCCATTGACCCATCTTCCATCACTTAATGCCAAAAGGGGTAGTAGGGAAAGCTGAGACTGTGCACTTTTCTTTCTTTCTTTTTTTTTTTGGAGATGGAGTCTCACTCTGTAGCCAGACTGGAGTGCAGTGGCATGATGTCGGCTCACTGCAACCTCCACCTCCTGGGTTCAAGCTATTCTCGTGCCTCAGCCTCCTGAGTAGCTGGGATTACAGGCATGCGCCACCACACCCAGCTAATTTTTGTATTTTTAGTAGAGACGGGGTTTCACCACGTTGGCCAGGCTGGTTTCGATCTCCTGACCTCGTAATCTGCCCGCCTCGGCCTCCCAAAGTACTGGGATTACAGGCGTGAGCCACCATGCCTGGCCGACTGTGCACCTTTTTGAATTGCTGACTAATTATCTAGTTGACACCAGAAGAGCATATCCAGGGAAAATCTACAACCACATCCAGATCTGAGAGTCAGGGCTAATGTCCCCAAGCCCTGGTATTGAGGATATAGGACTTGCATAGACTGAACTAGGGAAGTGAGTTCCCCGCAGGATGATGCAGTGGGTCTGATGAAGTGGACTAAAAATGGTTGTTGGCAGTGGTTGCTCTGACTGACATAGAGGAAATAGTAAACTAGGGGCTTTGAAAATGTTTTATACTTCTACTCTCTAGCATTTTTTTCATGCCGTGAAATGTAGCTTTAATTGGATTTCACACAACCAAGGAAAAAATGAAATCAAACATAATAGAACACATGCAGGTCAACACATTGCATTCAGGACAACGGGGCTAATAGGGGACCAAACTCATATGGAGAATTTGCAATGAGATGGCACTGGTGAAATCTGGGCACAATAATACCCTGATTAGTGAGCACAGCTGCTCAGCGTCTAGAATAGTCTGTGTCAGTCTCCATTTCAAACTTATTGTTGCCTTCCTTAAAGTCTGGGTGTGTCTCATCATTGAGTTCCTCAGTCTCGTTTAAAAGAAGCAAAAGGGCAAATCTAATATCTATACATTTTCCAATGATCATCTCAGATTTGAGTTGTTTTTTGTTTTGAAAGGCTTATGTAGCATGTCATCAATTTTCTGGTTGTGCTGATTTTTCTCCTCCTTTCTGCCTATGCAGCTCTCTTGATGATATTGCAAACATTGAGGTAAGTTCATAACAGGACTTGCTCTACCCATATTTACTTTTGAGAATTAGACAGAAAGCAGAAATACCAGGGAGTCAGCTAGGATTAGCCTAGACAGATGTGGCTCCAAATGCTAGTCACAACCCTTAATATCTGCTTGAACTTGGGCAAGCTACTGAAGCTGCCTGCACCAGTTTCTCACAAGTGATACATGGTTAATGGAGATAATGCATTATGTCCTAGTCCTTAGGAGTCACTGCACAAATGTTAGGTGCATTGGATTCTGGAAAAGAAGGTGTAGGTATAAAAGTAAAAAAATAAATGTTGAGATGGGTTGGACTTTGTATGTTTTAAAACAGTGATCCCCCAGAGTGAAAATGCTTCCTGGGAATATATCAGAATATAAGGGAAAGGGGTATGTGTAGTTCTTTAAACATTTAAAAAATCCTGTTTAAAAAATGTGAAATGCTAGGAGAAAATTTCTACAGCATCTTATTTTTTTCAAGGAAAAAAAAGCTTTATTGAGGTGCAATTGATATACAAAAACTGCACATTCTTATTTTTTCAAGAAAAAAAGCTTTATTGAGGTGCAATTGATATACAAAAACTGCACATACTGTATATAATTTGATGAGTCTGGACATATATGTATATATACTTATGAAACATTACAACAATTAATAAACATATCCATCACCTTCAAAAGTTTCCTTGTACCCTCCCCTCTTTTGTGGTAAGAACATTTTATGTGAGATCTGCCCTTGTAGCAAACATTTTAATTGTATAATACAGTGTGGTTAGCTATAGGCACTACCTTGTATAGCAGATCTCTGGAACTTGTTCTTCTAGCATATCTGAAGCTTTATACCCATTGAACAATAACTTCCTATTTCACTATTTCCCAAGCCACAGCATCCTTTTAACTATTGGAGTATAACCAGATAATAAATAAAAATGACAAAATGGGAAAGAAAGTAAAACTAATCACAGAAAACAAAAGATAAATAGGAAATACAAAATCCAATGATAGAAATAAATCAAAATATAGAGAAAATAATCGTAAATGGTCCAAAGTTTCCAGTTAATGCAGAGTTTGCTATGTTGAATTAAAACAAAAATGGAACAATTGGTGGCTTATAAGAGACAGACCACATGAGTATTAAAATGGGAAAAATTTGGAAATGAAAGAATGGAAAAAAGACACACCAAATATTAACCAAAAGAATGTATATGTTCTTAACAATATGTATATATGTATATGTTATATATACATATGCATATTCTAAATATAGGTTTAAAAACTTAATTATTGTAAACAATTCATGGATCAGGGAATACAGCATAATGGATATCAGAAAATACACAAAATTTGACTATAAATGAAAATAACACAAATCAAACAACTATATCAATACAGTAAGTCTTCAGTGATTATATTGGAAAATAACAAAGACCGAAAATTACAAAGCTAAGTTTGCAACTCAAAGTTAGAAAAAGAAAAATAGGCTGGGTGCAGTGGCTCACACCTGTAATCTCAGCAGTTTGGGAGGCCAAGGTGGGCAGATCATGAAGTCAGGAGTTTGAGACCAGCCTGGCCAACATAGTGAAACCCCATCTCTACAAAAACTAGAAAAAATTAGCCATCTGGGAGTGGGCATGGTGGTGGGTGCCTGTAAAACCAGCTACTTGGGAGGCTGAGGCAGGAGAATCATGTGAACCCGGGAGGCGGAGGTTGCAGTGAGCCAAGATTGTGCTATTGCACTCCAGCCTGGGTGACAGAGTGAGACTCTGTCTCAAAAAAAAAAAAAAAAAAAAAAAAGAAAGAAAAATAGTAAACTCAAAAAGTGTGGAAGGGAGTAATGAATACAATAGCAGATACTAGTGACTAAGGAAACAGTGCACAATAGAGAAACTCAAGGCCAAAATTGGGTTATTGGAAAAGTATAATAAAATAGATATATTTTAGACAAGACCAAGGAGAACAAAAGAGAGAAAGCTCACATAAAAATATTAGAAACAGAAAACTGGACATACTACAGATGTAGCACTGATTGAAAAATAACACAGTCTGTTAAACAACTATAACAATACACTTGAATGTAAGCAGATGAGCAATTTCCTAGAAAGCTATACCTTACTAATACTCAAAAAGAAATAGAAAACTTGGAGATACACACACATACACACACACATACACATAATAAATTAAAAGGATGGTGAAAAGTCTGTCTAAAAAATAAAAAGGGCAAAATTATATTTCCCAGATGGCTTTTTACAGGTCGAGTTGTATAAAACATTTCAGAAAACATTTCAAAAACAGCTAATTCCAAGTTTATGCAAACTATTCTGGAGAACAGAAAAAGAAGATTTTCCAGTTCATTTTAACCATCAAGTATAATCTTGGTATTTAAATCAGATAGGAGAAAAAAAGTTAGAGATCAATCTCACTAATAAATCAGGATTGAACAGTCTTTTTTTAATTTTATTATTATTATACTTTAAGTTTTAGGGTACAAAAAAGCAAGCTGAACCTAGACATGTTTAAGAAAAGTATGCAGTATAAACCATTTGAGTTTATTTCAAGAATATATTAGAAAATTTGTTAATGCAATTTATCACATTAATAGATAACAGAGACAAAACATATCAGAGGTAGACAAACAAATCAAACAATGACAATGACTCCAAACCTCCTAGAAAACTAGCAATAGTAACAGGAACTTCCTAAACTGAAGATATGTAACAGAAACAGAGAGCAAATATGATGCTTAATGGGAAAATGTTAGATGTATTTCTTCTAAAGACTGGGATAAACCAATGTTGTATCTATCAACATTTCTTTTTTTGGTATGTTAGGCTCCAATCTGTATAATAAGACACAAAAATGCTATAAAAGATACAAGTATTGGTGAAAAGAAACAAAATTGTGATGATTTTTCAGATTCTATTGTTGTTCCGTATAAATTGCAAGAGAAGCTGGAGAAGAGGTAATAGGATTAATAGGAGTTCAATACAGTGACTGGATATAAGACCAATATGTAAAAATCTTTAATGCTTTTTATGTTAGCCACAAACAGCAAACATAATATAAAAGTTACAACAACATCTAAATAAAAATGTATTATATTTTATGGAGAAAATATAAATCTTTACTAAAAACTAAAAGAAGAGACTAATTGTAATAAAAAAAGGTAGGATTATAATGGAAATTTCAAATCATAAATATCCTCATTTTCTAAAAATCAGTCAACAAATTCATATCATTTTCATTCAAGTTCTCAATAAGATTTCTCATGGATCTTGACAAGCTGATTCTAAAGTTTATATGGAAGAACAAGTGACCAAGAATGGCCAGAGCAATTTTGAAAAAGAAAATCAAAATGGGAGACCCAACTTACGAGACACCAAGAATCATTATTTTTTAATTTAAAAATGTGTTATTAATACAAAGATAAAAATACAGAACACAATTTTACAGTAAGAAGCTTGTACAAAGACATACATATATGGAAACTGGACATATTAAATAGGTAATGGTGCAGATCAAAGGTGAAAGGAGGGATTACTGAAGAAGTGGTTTGGGAACAATCAGTCACCCTGATGAAAAAAAGTGAAATTGGAACCATTTCCTATGATGTGTTCTAAGATCAATTCTATTTGGATTAAAATAGTGAATGCATGCTGGGCTTAAGTTCTAAGTCATGGGTTGATAGGTGCAGCAAACCACCATGGCACACGTTTACCTCTATAAAAACCTGCACATCTTGCACATGTACCACAGAACTTAAAATTTAAAAAAATCTACACAAAAAACAAAACAAAACTGTTTTTAAAAGACAATATTGCATAATATCAGTATGACTTTGGTATATAGAAAGATTTCTTTAGAAAATGAAAACCAATACTATAAATGAAAATGTTAATAAACTACAGTAAATGTTTAAATCTCTTTGCATCAAAAGGTACCACTAAGAGAGTTAGAAAGTATGTGTCATAAAATGAGAGAAGATTTTTGAAACAAATTAAGATATTAGGTTATTGTGCAGCATACCCAGAGAACTCCTTAAAACAAGAGGATAAATACAAACAATACAGTTTACAGCAAAGAATCTGATCAGGCAAATCACTGAAGAGAAAAGAGACCAGCCAGAATGAAAAATGCTTAATATCAGTAATATTCAGAAAAATGCAAATTATAACTACAGTGAGGTATCATTTAGTACGAGTGAGACAGACAAAATGAAGTTTAACGGTTTCAAGTGTCGCAAGGAAGTGGAACCGTGGGCATTCTCATACATGGCTAGGAGAAGTGTGATTTGATACAATGACTTGGGAGTGTAATTGACAATAGCTGGTAAAGCCATGCCTACCCTATGACCTATGTATTAAAGTGTTCATTAAAGCATGGCTTGTAATGGTGAAAACATTGGAGACAACATAAATGTCCATTAAAAGGAGAAAGGATAAATCAATTTCAGTATATTCATACAACAGAATCCTTTATAGTAGCTAAAATTAATGAACTAGAGATAAATGTAGCCACATAAACAAATCACAAAAACATAAAGCTTAGTGAAGAAATCAAATTGCAAAAAGAAAAAAGAAATACTGTGTTAGTTCTGGTCCTCTATAATGCAGGCACCAAGACAAGAGTAGATGTGCAAGAGATTTATTGGGGGGGTGGGGGCAAGGAAATGCCTATGAGGGGAAGAGAACAGAAGGCGAGGAAATCTCGCAGAACATGATGCATGGCTAACCTCTGTGGGGAAGCCAGACTGATAGTTCCAGAACCAAATGTATTCATGAAAGGAATCCTGTATGTTGTAGGATGGGCCTTCATTAGTAACTTTTTGTCCTTAGTTATGGACTAGGAGCAGCCTGTGGGAATCATAGCACAAGGCAGGGGTGAAGCCAGAGAATAGCAACTATGGCAGTCAGGCAGCTATGCTCACTAAAGCCAGTGACCCCATAGCCACCACAAGGACCTATGGAACAATGCTGATTATACAAAGTTAAAACCCACAATAAAGTTTTAAGTATTGTTTGTGGATGCATACCTATACAGGAGAAACAACAGAACATTTCTTGGAATAAAGGTGAAATTCAGAATAATGGTTGACAACGGGGCCTGGGGAAGAGAAGAATGAAACCAGGCAAGGATGCACAAGAGCTTTATTTTATAAATTTTTATTTTTAAAATTCTAGATTTTTAAATCATAATCAGCATAATTGTGATTATGCTGATATTACTACATAAAAGTAATTTCTATTACCCTAATATATCCTAATAATAGTAATTTTATAATGACATCATTTTATAATAATTTTAATAAATAATTTTCATAATTAAAATTATTTTTTTTAAAAAAAACAATGTACTGGGTTACAAAAAATGGTTCGGGAATCTCGTTGTAATGGAAAAGTAGATGTCCAAGATATATGTATACAATTTTTTTAGAATGACAACAATAATCTGTATGTATACCATTTTTTTAGAATGACAATAATCTGTATGACAACTGGAAATGCCCCAAAGCACAGACAGGACTCTTCATGTATCATGGAGAAGGAAAAACGATGCCATGACTGTTATTTTTCTGTCATTGTTTCACTGGATAATTTGGTTGCTGCTGTTAGCATTTTACAGATAGCTAAGAGTTCAGTCTCATTAATAATAGAAAAAGAGAATTTAATTTGTAAATCCCATTGCTTAGGTATCTAAACTTCAGCCCATTACATCATAGGCGATATGGAGTATTATATATTGCAGTGGGAGTAATAGAGGAAATCCTTTAATATGTGCCAGGGACTGCCGTAAACACTTTACATTTCCTAACTCATTTATTCCTCCCAACCACCTTATGAATTAAATCATATTCTAATTCTACATTCTCATTTTATGTGTTTTCAGTTGTTAGATGGAGTGTTCTGTAAATGCCAATTCAGTCAATTTGTTTGGTAGTGTTATTACATGTCTTTGAAAATAAAGACACAAAGAGTTTAAGAAAGTTGCCCAAGTTTGTACAGCTAGCAGACCCCCTACAGTGGTTTCAAGGTCTTGTATGATCCTGTCCCCTCCCTACCTCAACTTAATATCATGTCACCTGCCTCCTGTATAAACGCTCCAGTGACACAAGCCTTTTTCAGTTCCAGAAACATATCAAGCTCTTTTTTTTTTTTTTTTCTGAGACAGAGTCTTGCTCTGTCGCCCAGGCTGGAGTGCAGTGGCGTGATCTCGGCTCACTGCAAGCTCTGCCTCCCAGGTTCACACCATTCTCCTGCCTCAGCTTCTCGAGTAGCTGGGACTACAGGTGCCCGCCACCACGCCCGGCTAATTTTTTGTATTTTTAGTAGAGACGGGGTTTCACCGTGTTAGCCAGGATGGTCTGGGTCTCCTGACCTCGTGATCTGCCCACCTCAGCCTCCCAAAGTGCTGGGATAACAGGCGTGAGCCACCGCACCGGGCCAAGCTCCTTTTTTTTAAATTATTATACTTTAAGTTCTGGGGTACATGTGCAGAACGTGCAGTTTTGTTACATAGGTATGAACGTGCCATGGTGATTTGCTGCACCCATCAACCAGTCACCTACATTAGCTATTTCTCCTAATGCTATCCCTCCCCTAGGCCCTCCCCCCACAACAGGACCCCGTGTGTGATGTTCCCCCCGCCCTGTGTCCATGTGTTCTCACTGTTCAACTCTCACTTATGAGTGAGAACATGCGGTGTTTGGTTTTCTGTTCTTGTGTTAGTTTGCTGAGAATGATGGTTTCCAGCTTCATCCATGCCCCTGCAAAGGATGTAGGGATAATGTCTCTACAAGGAGAACTACAAAACACTGCTCAAAGAAATCAGAGATGATACAAATGGAAAAACATTCTATGCTCATGAATAGGAAGAATCAATATTGTTAAAATGACCATACTGCCCAAAGCAATTTATAGAGTCAGTGCTATTCCTATCAAACTACCAATGACATTCTTCACAGAATTAGAAAAACCTATATTAAAATTCACATGGAACCAAAAAAAAAAGCCTGAATAGCCAAGACAATTTTAAGGAAAAAGAAACTATCCGGAACTATCCTTTTTTATGGCTGCATAGTATTCCATTGTATGGAAAAAAAAAGCTCATCCTCACTGGTCGTTGGAGAAATGCAAATCAAAACTACAGTGAGATACCATCTCCTGCCAGTTAGAATGGCAATCATTAAAAAGAAACAACAGATGCTGGAGAGGATGTGGAGAAATGGAAACACTTTTACACTGTTGGTGGGAGTGTAAATTAGTTCAACCATTGTGGAAGACAGTGTGGTGATCCTCAAGGATCTAGAACCAAAAATACCATGTGACCCAGCAATCCCATTACTGGGCATTCTACTCGAAAGACATGCACACATATGTTTACTGCAGCACTGTTCACAATAGCGAAGAGTCGGAACCAACCAAAATGCCCATCAATGATAGACTGGATAATGAAAATGTGGTACATATATCAAGATCTTTCTTATCTCATGGTGTTCACACATGATAATTCCCTGACCTGGAAAGGTATTTTTTCACTAATCACTTTGATAAAGTTTGTGTTCAATATCTTTTTCTTATTGAGTTGTAAGAATTTTTCATATTTTATGTACCAGTCCTTTTCATTTTTGGAACAATATATTTTGAAGAGCAAAGTTTTTAATATCTGTAAATGTATGTCTGTTGTAGGAGTTATATCTAGAATTCATCAAAGAAGATATACAGGTGGCAAACAAGAACATGAAAAGATGGTCAGCATCATTTGTCATTATAGAAATGCAATCAAAAAGCATATTTAGATGCTATCATACTCCCACTAGTATAGAATCCCTTTTGATGTATCCTTTGCTTTGTGGGTTATTTAGAAATCTGCTCTTTTGTTTATAAAAATTGGAGTTTTCTAAATGTATTTTTGTTTCAGATTTTTAATTTAATTGTACTATATAGTTCAAGAACATACTTTGTATGATTTGAATTATTTCAGATTGACTTATTTTAGAATTCAGAATATAGTTGATCATGGTAAATGTTACATGTGCATCAAAAATTATGTGTTTTTAGTTGTTAGAGTGTTCTGTAAATGCCAATTAAGTCAAGTTGTTTGATAGTATTATTCAAATCTTTTACATCTTTAATGATTTGCTGCCTACATATTCTATCAATAATTGAGAAGAGTATTGAAATATCCCACTATAATTATGGATTTGACTGTTTCTCCTTAGAGTTCTATCTGTTTTTGCATCATGAACATTGAAGCTCTGTTATTAGAGGTATAAACCTTTAGGATTTCTATGTCTTCTCAATTAATTGGCCTCTTTATCATTATGAAATGACACTCTTTATATTTGATTATATTCTTTTTATTAGTATTAGCATGGTTTATCTTCTTCCACCTTTTTTCTTCTAATGTGTTTGTTCCTTACAGAAAGCATAGTTTGCTCTTTCTTAAAAAAATCTAATCTGCCAATCTCTATTCTTTAATTAAGATGTTTAGACCACTTATATTTAATGTGATTATTGATATGGTTGAGCTTAAGTCACTGTATTACTTATTTGCTTCTATTTCCCCCATCTGTTCTTTGTTCTCTTTTTCCATTTTTTCCTGCTTTCTTTTGAATTAATTAAATTTTATATTACCCATTTTATCCTTTGTTAGTTTATTTAGGTGTTGCTTTAGAGTTTATAATATATATCTTTAACTTACTACAATGTACTTTCAAGTAATATAGCAATTTATGTATAGCATAACAACCTTATAAACTGTACTTTCATTTCTTCCTCCCAGTCTTTGTGTGACATTTGTCATGCATATTTCACATAACCCTTTATATGTCACAAACATATGTCACAAACCCTTTATACATTATTGTCACAAACCATTTATACATATGTCACAAACCCTTCATACATTATTATTTTCCTTTAGTTAATTTATAGAGCTTTTTAAATATGAAAAGCTTTGTTAATATTTACCCACATTTTTACTAATTTCAGTGCTCTTCATGCCTTCATGTTGACATAGGTTTTTGGTGACATTTTCTTTCTGCTTCAGGACTTTAAAAAATCATATTTTTGTACTACAGGTCTCCTGGTGATGGATTTTTTAGCTTTCATATCTATAAATTATCTTTATTTTTCCATCATTTGTGAAACATATTTTTGGGGGAATAATGTACAGGTTTTTTTTAAATTATAGTAATGTAAAGGTGTTGTTTTGCTCTCTAATTATGGGCTATATTTTCCTGCTCCTTTGTATGCCTGTTAATTTTTTGATTGGATGAAGGGCATAGTGAATTTTACCTTGTTAAGTGCTGGATATTTTTGTATTCCTACAAATATTCTTGAGTTTTGTTCTGAGGTGTAGTTAATTGACCATAAAATAGTTTGGTCCCTTGAAGACTTTCTGTTAAGTTTTGTGATGCAGGACCAGAGCAGAGCAGCCTTTGTTCTAGAACTAATTTTGTTTCATTACCAAGCTAATACCCTTTTGAATACTCTTCTCCGTGCCCGGTTGGTCACAATTTTTTTCTTTTACTTTATGGCTTATGAGAACTAAAAATATTTCTGAATCTGTGTGTCCTGTGGAGTTGGCAGCCTCTGCCTCTTTTAGGTGTTTCTCTTTTTTGAGGCAGAATTTTTACTGAAATATTTCTCCTGTTATATACATATTTTTAACTTTTATTTTAAGTTCAGGAGTACAAGTGTAGGTTTGTTACATAGGTAAACTTGTGTCATGGGAGTTTGTTGTACAAATTATTTCATCACCCAGGTATTAAGCCTACTATCCATTAGTAATTTTTCCTGATCCTCTCCCTCCTCCTTCTCTCCTCCCTCTGCAAAGCCCCAGAGTGTCTGTTCCCATTTTTGTGTTCATGTGTTCTCATCATTTATCTCCCATTTATGAGAATATGTGGTATTTGGTTTTCTGTTCCTGTGTTAGTTTGCTAAGGATAATGGCCTCCAGCTCCATCATGTCCCTGCATAGGACATGATCTAGTTCCTTTTTATGGCTGCATAGCATTCCGTGGTGTATATGTACCACATTTTCTTTATTCAGTCTATCATTGATGAGCATTTAGGTTGATTCCATGTCTTTGCTATTGTAAATAGTGCTGCAATGAACACATGCGTGCATGTGTCTTTGTAATAGAATGATTTATATTCCTTTAGGTATATACCCAGTAATGGGATTGCTGGGTTGAATTGTATTTCTGTCTTTAGGACTTTGATGAATGACCACAGTGTCTTCCACCAACAGTGTATAAATGGTCCTTTTTCCCTACAACCTCACCAGCATCTGTTATTTTTTTGACTTTTTAATAATAGCCATTTTGACTGGTATGAGATGGTAACTCATTGTGGTTTTGATTTGCATTTCTCTAATAATCACTGATATTGAGGATTTTATCATATGATTGTTGGACACATGTCTGTGTTCTTTTGAAAAGCGTTTGTTCATGTCCTTTGCCCACTTTTTAATGGGGTTGTTTGCTTTTCTCTTCCTGTAAATTTAAGTTTTTTTGTAGATGGTGGATATAGACCTTTGTCACATGTATAGTTTGCAAAAATTTTCTACCATTCTGTAGGTTGTCTGTTTCCTTTGTTGATAGTTTCTTTTGCTGTGAAGAAGCTCTTTAGTTTAATTAGATCTCATTTGTCAATTTTTGCTTTTGTTACAGTTGCTTTTGGTGTCTTTGTCATGAAATCTTTGTCCGTGCCTGTGTCCTGGATGGTATTGCCTAGGTAGCTTATCTTTCAGGGTTTTTATAGGTTTTGTGTTTTACATTTAAATCTTTAATCTGTCTTTTGTTAATGTTTGTATATGGTATAAGGATGGGGTCCAGTTTCAGTCTTCTGCATATGGCTAGCCAGTTATCCCAGCACCATTTATTGAGTACAGGATGTCTCCCCATTACTTGTTTTTGTCAGGTTTTTCGAAGATCAGATAGTTGTAGATGTCTGGTCTTATTTCTGGGTTCTCTATTCTTTTCCATTGGCCTTTGTGTCTGTTTTTGTACCAGTACCATGCTGTTTTGGTTACTGTAGCCAGTACAGTTTTGAGTCAGGTAGTGTGATGCCTCCAGGTTTTTTCTTTTTCCTTAAAATTGTCTTGGCTATTCAGGCTTTTCTTTTTTTGGTTCCATGTGAATTTTAATATAGGTTTTTCTAATGCTGTGAAGAATGTCATTGGTAGTTTGATAGGAATAGCATTGACTCTATAAATTGCTTTGGGCAGTATGGTCGTTTTAATAATATTGATTCTTCCTATTCATAAGCATGGAATGTTTTTCCATTTGTATCATCTCTGATTTCTTTGAACAGTGTTTTGTAGTTCTCCTGGTAGAGATCTTTTCCCTAGTTTGGTGTATTCCCATGTATTTTATTCTTTTTGTGACAACTGTGAATGGAAGTATATTTCTGATTTGCCTCTCAGCTCTCAGTTGTTAGTGTATAGGAACGCTACTGACTTTTGCACAATGATTTGGTATCCTGAGACTTTGCTAAGTTGTTTATCGCTTAAGAAGGTTTTGGACTGTGTTAATGGGTTTTCTAGATATAGGATTATGTTGTCAGCAAACAAGGATAGTTTGACTTCCTCTCTTGCTATTTGGATGCCCTTTCTTTCTTTCTTTTGCCTGTTGCCCTGGTCAGGACATCCAGTACTATGTTGAATAGAACTGATGAGAGAGGGGAATCTTGTCCTGTGCTGGATTTCAAGGGGAATGATTCCAGCTTTTGTCCATTCAGTACGATGTTGCCTGTGGGGGTTGTCATATATGTCTCTTATTATTTTGAGGTATGTTCCTTCAATACCTAGTTTATTGAGAATTTTTAACATGAATGGATGTTGAATTTTATCAAAAGCTTTTTTCTACATGTATTGAGATAATCATGTCTTTAGTTCTGTCTGGTTGTTTCTTTAGCTGGCCCTGAGTAACTTCCTCAAGTGTATGTGCTGGTTAGTGCTCAGATGAAGCCTTGAGGGGAGCCTTCTGCAAGTCTCTGAAGCTCTCTCCATGTGCAGCTCTCTCCTCTCTGGTGCTCTGCTCCATGAACTCTAGCTTTTTTGGCCTCTTCAATCTCCCAACTCTCTATCCTCATCTCAGTAGGATCACTGGGCCCTTACCTGGTTTTCCCCTTCCTGTATTGAGGCCTGAAAACTCTCTCAAGGCAGTAAGCTGGCAATAACCTTATTTATTTCCCTCTCTCAGGGATCACTTTCCTGTGCTACCTCAGGTTTAATATCTAAAAAATATTTTGATATTTTCCTTCAAAGTCCTCACATAATTTGAAAGTTTATGGTCATTATGGGCTTCTCTGTTCAGAGTCTATCTCTTCTACCAAACAGTAAGCCCAGAATAGGAAGTCATCTGTCGGATTCACTTTTGTAAACTTAGTACCTAATACAGTGCTTGGCACTTAGTATAATTCTGAGTATTTTTTGAACACCTAATTGCTTGTCATACAAGGATAACATATCTTTTGGTATTATGTCAGTATATTCTTCTGTATCAGTGTATTCTTCTTTGTATTTATTTTGAAATTATCTTGTTGGAATATTGCTGGAATAAAAGTAATATTAGAAGTACAGGTCAGTTAACTCAAAGTATTTTTATATACTTAGTTAACAAAGAGCAATATTTACTGAAGTAGAGATATGAAGTTTTCCAATATGATGTATTGAAACTTGTTTGCATTTCTACCTATCATCACAGTTGTGTGTGTGTGTGTGTGTGTGTGCGCGTGTGTGTGTAGAGTGTGGCTCATTTAGACTTACTTGATATAATCAAACCTAGTCCCCTGCTCTTTGTCACAGATATAACCACAATTATGAATAGTTTGTAGATATCCAGATTTTATCTATGATTTTATATGTAAAATTTCATTTTATACTTTTCAAAACTGTATTGCTACAATACATATTTATGCCTCATAACTTGTATAATTGTTCTTTTATTAATATGAAATATTTATCTGTGCATCTTTTAATACTTTTTTGCCTTAAGATTTGAATTAAGATTCAATGTTGACTCATATTTGTATTGCTAGAGAAATATTTTTGGGGGAGTTAATTACCTGTTTTTATATTTTTTTATTTTTGCAATCCCTTCATTTTAAAACTTCCTGCACCTTTAGTTTTTTTAATCCACTTAATAGGTGATTTTAATCCTTTTAATTTCATCATGATTCCTGATATTTTTGGATTTGTTCTTGTCAACTAATTTTTTATTTTTCAATTTTCTCTGCTTTATTAATAAACTGTTGCTGTATATCTAATTACTCCCAAACTTAGTGGTTTAGAACAACAATATTCCCTTGATTATCTCTCACATTTTCTACATATCAGGAGTTCAGATTGGGCAGAGAAAACTTTTCTTTGTTCTATGATGTTTTAGTTCTCAGCTGGAAGACCCAAAAGCTGAAAGCTGGAATCATTTGAAAGCTCATTCACTCATATGTCTGGTAGCTGATGCTAATGTTGGCTGAGGATCTAGCTGGGGCTCTTTGCTTCAATCATGGTCTCCACATGGTCTCTCTGTGTGGCTTGGGAATATGGTGACTGTGTTCAAAGGACCAGCATACTAAGAGGGAGAGCCAAGTAGAAACTATTTTTGTTTTATAACCTGGACTCAGAAGTCATGCACACGATATCAACCAAATGCTATTAGTTGAGGCATTTGTAAAGTTCTGTGCAGGTTCAGAGTCAGGGAATATAGACCTCATCCCTCAATTTAAATGTGTCAACAACACAGTTTAAGAAGAACATATAGGGTGTTTATATAAAAGTGTGATCACCTTTGGAAAATGCAATCTACCACATCTGGTTTATGATTTTACTTAAAAAAACTTTTTAAATTGATATAATTTGCTTTGTTCGATTTTCCTGTATTACTGGCTTCAAAGTTATTAATTTTTTTAGCCTACCAATGATTGCTTTTAAATTTTAATATACTTTAATGTATATTATATGTACAAGTAAACTTATATTTTGCTAACAAAGTTTAGAATTTATTTATATATAGTTCTAGCAAATAAGGCAAAAAGTAGCCTACTTTTACTTCTCTCCACCAGTCTCACTCAGCCAAAATTTATATTGCAAGTAGCTGAAATTTTAGCTGTGTTTGTTATTAAAATCAGGTTTTTTTTTTTTTTTAAGTAACCAGCATTTACCTTATTTTCTAATTTCCTTTTGCTTCCTGAGAGGCAATAGAGTGAAATACTTAATCTCACCAAGGGATCAGAAAGCCTAAGTTGGCTAGAATTTTTGCTCTACCATTTAACAGTTGTGTGAGTTTGGACAAATTACTTGTCTGAGCTCAAGCACTTTGTCTTTAAAATAGGAGAAGTTCTAAAATATTACTTTCTTCATAAGTAGAAAAAAAAATGAGATGGTATACACAAAGCACTTAGCGCAATGCCCGATACTTCGTGAACTTTCAGTGTTGTTTAAAATACTGTCAGTTGTTTCTAAATATTTAAATATAAAAACTTTTATTTTATTATGAATATCTTCTTCTAGAGAACCATCTGATTCTTCCAATTATTCTTTAATTACTCTTGTCTTTCTGGGTATTACATTAAAAATACATTAGGTACATGGTTTGGGTTTGTTGTGTAAGCACTAACATTTCTAAATATCAATTCATATTTTGATACTCCTATGCCAGTTAAACGAGGATATTCTCCATGCAAGTAGAAGGGATTTTTTTTAACAAAAAAACATGAGATTGAATCTGACATTGATAATCTGAACCCATAGCCATCATATATCCTTGCTACAAGACTAAGCTATCTTGACTGACCAATGTGTTCTTGTTTTAACCTAAATAGAACATTATATGTAGGAATCAGGGAATAGGCTGTGAATTGGTGATGTTTGATTCCTATCACTTGGCTGTGTCTCAGGGAAAGTAATTAGTACCAAGATGGCTTATCTGTAGAAGGTCTCTATCTTGGTTGGCTGATCCCATGGAGATATTCAAGCCATGTAGGGACTTGATTGCTTAAACCCACAGATTAGCCATGGGGTATAAATGTAGTCTCAATGGAGCATGTGGCTTGGGAAAGAGAGACAAAGTACATGTGCCTCTCTAATCTATAATCTTGTGTCTCTAGAAGAAGAAATTATGACTGCCAAACACATGCTAGGATTTTGAAAAATATCTGGGAACCACTATGGGTATATATAGTCATGTATCACATAGTGACATTGCTGTCAATAACAGACCACATTGACAACAGTGGTCCCATAAAGTTAGAATGGAGCTGAAAACTCTTATTCAGATTTGAAAAACTCTAGTGAAAAGCTGCGGGGGTGGAAAATAGCAATATTGATGATCCTGACCATGTGTAGATCTAGGCTAATATGTGTGTTTGCGTCTTAGTTTTCAATAAAAATTATAAAAAGTAAAAATAAATCAAGAATTTTAAAAATAGAAAAAAGTTGATAGAATAAGAATGTAAAGAACAAAAATATTTTGGTACAACCACATAATGTGTTCTTGTTTAAAGCTAAATGTTATTACAAAGCAGTCAAAAATTTTAAAAAATTAAAAAGTTTACAAAGTAAAAATGTTACCCATAAGCTAAGGTTAATTTATTATTGAAGAAAGAAAAATCTTTTTCAATAAGTTCAGTGTATCCTAAATAAACAGTGTTTATAAAGTCTCCAGTAGTGTACACTAATGCCCTAGGCCTTCACATTCACTCACTATTCACTCACTGACTCACCCAGAGCAACTTCCATCCTGCAAGCTTCATTCATTGTAAGTGCCCTATAAAGGTGCACATTTTTTTAATCTTGTATACCTTATTTTCTTTTAAAATATACATTTTTTTTTCCTTTTTGGATACAGGGTCTTCCTATGTTGCCCAGGCTGTTCTCTAACTCCAGGGCTCAAACAAGCCTCCTGCCTCAGACTCCCCAGTAGCAGGGACTACAGTCACTCACCACCATGCCAGACATTTAATATATTTTTACTGTACCTTTTTAATGTTTAGATATGTTTATATACAGAAATACTTACCATTGTGTTGTAATTGCCTGCAATATTCAGTACAGTAACATGCTATGCTGGTTTGTAATCTAGGAGCAATAGGCTATACCATCTAGGTTTGTGTAAGTACATTCTGTGATGTTCACGCAGCAACAAAATTGCCTAATGGCCGTTTATCAGAATGTATCCCCATCATTAAGCAATGCATGACTATTTTATAAATTATTATTCATGCTTGTATTTGTTCTCTGACAGTGTGATAAAAAATCATAATATCTTAATCAAAATAGAAAATAAAGGTGGGAAATCCTACAAGGGATCTGGCATAGCTCAAATAGCGATGACATTTATCTCAACAAAATCCCTGTTGGGGTTTTTGATCTCCCTCTGGAATGAATTTGTGTTCTTATGCTGACATTTGCTAAGGTTAGCATAGCATGGTACATCAGTTATGAATTTCATTCAACTGTGAGCAGTGGGCTTTAAAAATAATGATTTGAAATACTAGGAATTTTATTTTTCTAGCATAAAATAGGTTTGGTACTCATTAGTGGTATGGTAGTTCCTCTATGTCCTCAGAATAGTGTCTCTTATCTGTCCCTTCAGTCTCAAGATAGATGATTTGTGCTGGTTTTATATCTGAATTTCACCTAAGAAAAAGGTTTTGGGCACTGGAAATGGACATTCACTAAGGCAGTTGGACACGTTTTGAAGAGTTTAACTAAAAGTCTCCCCAACAACCTCTGCTTGTATGTTATTGGCCAGAATCCTGTCACATGGCCATTGCTATCTGCAAGACAGTCTGGGAAATGTAGTTTCATCTTCTTTCCCCCCAACCCCCTTTTAAATCTATCTAGACATCTATGACTCCTGACAAAATTTGGGTTCAATTAGGAAGAAGAGAGAATGGATTTGGGTAGGTAACTAGCAATTTCCACCATATTTAGTCAATTACAAAAACAAAATGAAACAAAACAAAACTTTAATCATTCTACAGTTTAGCGATCATTAGTTTTGATTTCTTTCTTAGTGATTGTGATTATCTGATATGAATAATATATAAATATAAATAATATTAAAATAGAACTTTTTTATCTCCCTGAATTCAACTATTAATTAGTGTCCAAGAACCTCAGCCCTTTTCTTTCTATTCTACTCTCATAATCTTTCCTCTTACTGGCATCTATACTGACCACTCAATCCCTCACCTAGTTGGGAACCTTTGGATAAGGTTGGGTAACAATTGCCAGATGTTCAAGTTTAGAAGAATCAGAAATGTTGTAAGGTATAGTGATGACTCAGTTATAGATAATAGCATATGTGCCTGATGGCAATGGGTAAAAACTAAGGATTTGGAGGGCATATCAGTATGCTGCCTTGGTAGTGGCAATCATAGTACAGATATACCACGGCAAAGTGGCATGATGATTCATCATTATATCTCTGGGAATAAATTTTTGGACTATTATATAGGTGACCTTTGTACCTGAGTAGCAAATCTTCAGACTTGTTTTCATTTTGCAAAATAACTTATGGGCCAAGTCAAATTGTCCCCTCTAGGTAGTGGCACCAGTCTGAATGGTCATGGGAGGGACAGATGTTTGCATTCGGGGAAATGAGAACTTCATTAGGAACTCTACTTGTGTGTGGATTTGGAAGGGTTTATATGCACCCTGAGAAGACTACCTGGATCATCTGGATGAAAGAGTCACAATACACACACACGATACACACACACACACACACGTATAATAAGTCTCTTAGGACAAAACCCATTGCTTGTGATACATCTACTCTGAAGAAGTTTCTGGTACAAAGAACAAGAATAGTATAGTGGTTAAACATGTGACTGCTTAATTAAGACTGTCTGATTATGAACCCTGACTCCAAAACCTACTTGCTATGTCTTTGGGGGAAAATTATTTAACTTTTCTGTATCTCACCTTTCTCATCATTAAAATGGAAATAATATTAGCTACCTCATAGGCCTCTCGTGGGGTAAGGAATGTAAACCAGTTATGCATGTCCTAGGTACTCAATAAATATTAGCAATGATTCTTAACACTTGAAAGTCTGAGTGGTGATGTGGAGAGTGAGTGCAGAGTGGTTGAGTCATGTTCTCATACTTGTGATTATTTTTTGCTTATTTATTTCTCAGTATGTCCTTAAAGAGAGCTGGTGGGTATACAAGTTATTAGAGGAGATGGTCTAATGCAATTGAAAGGCATAGCTTAAGGCTTTCAGAGATCTGGATATGGGCTTTAGGAAGTCACCTTATCTTTTACAGCCTGAGTTTCCTTTTTTCCTGACACAAATATTAATCCTCATTCTTCCTACCCCACAAGATTTTCATAAGATGGAATGCTTTATAAATTATAAAGTGCTATAGCTGTCTCACATTCTTTTTGGGTGCAGCTGTGTATAAGTTATAAATGAAAAGCAACTATGAAAATATAAGGAATTATTACTGTTGTATATTCTGGATGTGCCATTCTGATATATGTATCCACTTAATAATAGGGTGTGTATGTGTATGTGTGCTGGTGAAGGAAGGGAGGCACCTAGCTCCGAATGTATGTTTGCGAGAATGAAATGCATATACATTGAAAAATGTAATGCTTTATGACAAGTTGATTGTCTCCTGGAAGAAAAAGGAAAACTTTTAAGTTGTCCTGAATACCAAATTGTCTGACAGTCAGATTCCACTAGAACATCCAAGCACAAAACCATTTATCAGTCAGTCTTGGGAGACAGTGACCAATATGAGTGTGTAGATTGCTTGGAAAAGCAGTTCTATGAACACTGAATGGACTTGGGAAAATCGTTTTAGGTTTATGGGAATTATCATTTAAACTGAAATGCCCTTTCCAGGTAAACTGGAGGTAACCTTGTCATGGTGCTACAACCTTGACTGTTTTGGACTATATTAGAGTTGTCTTCCCTTGTGTTTTGGGTTTAAGAGGTAAAGAGGCATTGACCTATCTTACTTGGTTTGGTTTGATGACAGATGGGATTGTTTCATTATTTTCTTAGTGAAGCCATATTCTCAGACTCTGCAAAGCCTGCCTTGTCTGGTCCTTGCTTCCTTTTCCAGGCTTATCTCTTCCTGCTCTATGCTAGCAATTTGCACCCCAACCATTCTGAACAATTTGCAGTTCCCTGAACAATTATGTTCTCTTCCCTCTTTGAACATGCTGTTTCTGTGCCTGAAATATTCATGCCTTAAAGCCTATCTCTTTACTCCCCTCCAGCAAGTCTCCTCTAGCTCCCTAAGATAGGATCACCAGTCCCTCTATGTAGACTCCCAAGGTGGCCATTATGAGGTAGGTGTCACAATTTGGGTCATAATTTTTTGTTTACCTTTTTGTCTCTTTTAGTAAGCTAGGAGCAACTTGAAGGCAGGGAATTGGGTAAATTGAATTTCAGTTTTAATTGTGCTGTGGTCTATATGACCTTTTTCAATACTGCCTCTTTCAGGTGTATTTTCTTCATTTAGGGTAACCTTGCAGAATATAATAAAGATAAGGAAGAGATAAAAAGTTGAAAGTAAATTGAAAGCAAAATGAACATAAATGTAAAAGTACTTTTTAAACAAAAGTGCTATGGAAATAAGGCATTCACAATCTTTAATATATTTTTGATACAAAAATTGTACATTGGTATTCCACCCCAGGAAATACAAGAGGTTTGGAGGCCAGGAGTTCTGTTGAAATAGAAGAGATTTTAGATTCCTCAGAGATCAGGAATGAAAGCAACCACACGCTTCTGGATCTTGGATTTAGTTAGCTAAACTCAGCATAGCTTCCATGGTAAGTACCCTAAAAAATGTGGCAGGCACCGAGTTACTCTGTTCAAAAATTGTGGTGCCTGTTTTGGGAGAATCACTCTAACTACGAACTCAGAAATAGCTTTGATGCAGTAAGTATTGTGATAATGAAGTCTTGTTTGTGAAAACATTTTGCTGAAGTTTGAGAGTGTTCTCAAAATAACATCCCTTTTTCTAGTCTGTATCAGTCGAGAATTAAAACAAAAGAGGAAGGCAGATGAGAAACTGCCTTAAATTATCACCTGTATTATTCATAACACTGATAATAGAGAGTGTGGTTCATAACTACAGTCATGTGCTGCTTAACGACAGGGAAATACTCTGAGAAATGCATCATTAGGTGGTTGCATCATTGTGTGAACATCATAGAGTGTACTTATACAAACCTACATGGTACAGTCTACTACACACCTAGGCCATATGGTACAGCCTAGTGCTCCTAAGCTATAAACCTGTACAGCATGTTATTGCACTGAATACCGTAGGCAATTTTAACACAATGGTAAATATTTGTATATTTAAACATACAAAAGGTACAGTATAAATATAGTATAATCTTATGGGGACACTGTTATATATGTGGTCTGCCATTGACTGAAATGTTGTTATTCAGTGTGTGGGTGAGAGACAAGTGAGCTTCTTAATACTGAACTACAGAATCACTCAGATGTCTGACCTAGTCATAGGTAGAGATGGACCCTGTGAAACTAGCAAAAACATTGACATTCTGCTTGGGATGGATGACACTTTATGTCACAGAGAAGAGGAACATGAAAGTTTATATATGTCCAGATACTTTTCCCCAACTCATTAATCAGATTAAGTGGCTTTACTTCTAGGGAAGACTGATTCAGACATAGGTTTATGCCAGGAGTTTTTTTGACGGTCAAATTTCCTCTTTATGTGGGAACAAACAAACAAACTAAACAGGAGTAGGAAAGAAGCATTACATACTTAACATGAATCTATCAGCCAGTTTGTGACACCTGGAGTAGGTGTCCGATTTTTGCCATTTCTATAGAATCATTCATTCTGAGTGATTAGTTTCCCATGAGCTGCCTTGTGATTCCATCGCCTATCTCGGATCTCAAGAGTCTGTGAAAGGAAAGGGAAATCTTATGCAATAGGAATAAAGAGGCTCTTGCTGCTGCCCCTGGACTCAGTTTTCCAAAATAGAAGACTAAGCTCATAATTGCTAAAGCTATCTGATGATTGGTAATACTACGCATTGACTTTGACCCATAAACTTTGCATACCGCACAGCAATCCAGAGATCATTGGCGTTATTCTCATTTTTTTTCTAAGCAGGAACCAAGGATCAGAGAAGTAAAGCAACTTGCTCAAAATCATAAAGACAGTAAGTGGGATTCAAAGTCAGGCTGGTCTAAGTCTAAAGCTCATTCTGTTTCCTCTTTACTGTAAAAATGAAACAAAATAAAATCAGAAAAAGGAGAACTTTGGTTCTTCTTACATCTGTTCTCTGACCCTGGATGGTTACAAATAGTGTGATTCCATTTAAAGCCAAGTAGACTTACAGTTTTATTCTTGGGTCCCATTTTAATTGCCTGGAAGTGTGTTGGTTTCTGCATCCTTCTACTCTTGTATACGTTTGTTTATAGGTAGTGTAGATGGCTTATAGAAGTTTAAACCTCTATATACCTCAGTAATGACAGCTCTACCCATTATCCACTGACTTAGAAAAAAATCTTCTCCAAGGAGTAAGATGTATATTACTTGTGACAGGAGAAAATTAAGGTGGCACATGGACAACATTTTAATCAAAGTGGTTACTTTAATGTGTTAGAAGAGAATTAACTTCAACATCTATTCACAGATTTCACTTAACACAAGACTAAAGTACATATAAAAAGAAATCTATTAAAATATTACATAAATATTAGAAGTGTTATGCAGATATGTAAAAAATTGGAAGAATGGATGTATCTGAAATTTGGGAAACACTGCCCTAGAGTGATGAAGACAGTTTATTTTGTCTATTATAATTTTGGGAAAGAGAGTCCTATTTCCTTCCCTTTTGTCCTATGTAGAAAGAACAGTACTTAGAAAAAGGTATCTACTTAGTAATGGTCAACACACAAAAGAATGCCAATTATTTAATTCTCCTTAGAACGTATTTGATTCCAGGCATGAATAAAGGCAGTGAACATGGGTTTTAGGAAATTAGGAGAGGGGTATGAGAAGCATGGCAGAAATAAAGTTGACATGATTTCTCTGCTGTTTTATTCTTAGAATTTCTCATGGAAAGAGCATTGCCTTTGTTGGCAAGAATACTTTGAAAAGTGATCTAGATGGCAAGACATCTCTTCACATCTGCTCTTCAGCTTCCATCCCATCTTCAATGCTCTAAATGCCTGCTGGAATCAAAGCTGAGATAGGGATAGGACAGTCATTTCTCTGCATGAGATGCAGGGGAAAATTCTATTATTTCTCTCTTAAATGTTGGAGTGGGTTGCAAGAAGTCGGAAAATGAGTTAAGTCTGGGGTAGTCAGGATTAGTAAAAAAAATTTTTGAGGTTCCTTCAAGTACCTGTTAAAGTGGCATGCATTGTTCTACAAACACCTCCTAACCTCTCATTTATCTTTTGAAAGAAATATTGGGCATATTTTACCATGCATGTGTGTGTGTGTGTGGTGGGGGGGCAACCAGAGTAGTAGAGTTTGTCAGAATCAAAATGTTTCAAGACACAGGTAGCCTCTTATGCTGCTGAAGCTCAGAGGCAGATGTGAAGAAGGAAGGTCCTATAAATTTATGGAAAGGATATTTGGGTTCTTTCTGGAAGTGAGATTGTGGATTAGAGGTAACTCAATATAGCTTTCAAGGGCTAGTGTGAACCCAGGTAATAGCTGGATTATATTAAGAAACATAGATCAAGTACCTCAAAATTGTGAGACCCTTTGAAAGGTCTGTGGAGTGATATAGAAATGAGAATGCCATAGTGGCAATCAATTTTCGTTTGATTTGGGTATGTCTGATACCTCTCCTACTGGTCCTTAGGGAACATGTTTGCGCCAGGTCTGAGCTCAACAATTTCATCTTTTTGGTCATAGTAGTTGACTCAAAGAGGTGATCCAGATCAGTTCAATGAGACTCAACCTTGGAACTTTGGCTGAAAAAGAGATACTATCTTCTGTGTTTTTTTTTTTTTTAACTTCAAGCATATTTTTTGTATTAGAGCAACTTGAATCCCACATGGGAAGAGACCTCCCAAGAAGGACACCAACAGAGGAAAGCAGAGCCTGAGAAAGAAGACAACACAGAGAGGAGAGAAAGACTTAAGTTTAATGAAAAGATTCAACTCCTGAATCCAATCATGGCTGGAGACATAATTTCCATGGAGTTTTCAGTTTATGAGCTAGTAAATCCATTTTATTGCTAAGCCATTAAAGCAATAGCTAGGTCTTACAGGAATAAGCATAAGCAGAGGTAGTTCTCCATTAGATGGATGCAACAGATATGTGTAACACCTAAAGAGAAAGGGAAAAATTGTGTAAGTGGGCAAATAATGTATCTAGGTTTCGCATATGAGGAGCCACCTTAGATAGATTACACAAATGCAGGGAAATAATTATACATACATTTGTACATCTTAAAACAACAAACCATTCATTTGATTTATGTAGTCAGGGTAGGCTAAAACCTCACTAGTATAATAGCTGAGTCATTTGTCTTAGCAAGTATCTTGGTATTGGCAATCAATAATGCAGCCGAGATGATTGATGGCCTTGTTTTCTTGTGGTGCCTCAGCTGGTCTAAATTATTTATTTGACATATTGCCTCCTGGCAGATGTAAGGAAACTGATGACAATATGTTTGCATTGCTTGGATATATATCTGAGAGGGGGAATTGGGTGTTCTTTTCCTGTCTGTGATCTTTGGGCACTTTATATAGGTAAGAATATGTTTTGCAGAATTGTCATATCATCAGCTACATATATGGAGATGAATGAGGCTGTGAGGTTTTAAAAGTTTCACTCCTGATTGTCCTAAAATGAAATAAACTTTATTACTGTCGGGATCATGATTCATTGGCTGACATATGACTTCTTTCCCAGCCACAATGAATATATGTGGACCTGGGGCCCAGGGCTCTTTATATCACTCTGTATTGTGATTTTTCTGTTAGGATGTCTGTCTTTTTCAATAGACAGGGAGGTCCTTGAGGACAGAAACTGTCTTATTTATCTTTGTAATCCCAGTGCCTGGCATGGATTCTCAAACACTAGTCACTTAATAAGTATTTGCTGATGAATAAAAGACAGGAATAAATGATTCAGGCAAATAATTTATACTTTTTGCCTTAGATTTAGAATTTATTAACCTTATTAAATAAGATACTGCTTTGGAAAAAGGCATGGACTAGAAGTCACATCTTTTTAAAGAATCTCAGTTACTATAGTCCAGGTTTACACTTTAAGCTTAGTTTTCATTACGTAAAATGGTAAAAACAATGCTTTCTTCATAATGTTATTAGGAATTCAAATGTAATAATGAACTTGAAAGACTTCATTATTACATTTGAATTCCTAATAACATTATGAAACCTAAATGATTAAGTAAGCTCTAAATGACTACATAAATAAGAATTTATGTGGTGGCAGTGTTTTTACTGATAAACTGGTTTTATCCTCTCCAGCCCCCCAAAAGACTTTGATTTGTGGCATTTACCAACTTCAATGGTATAAATACTCCTACAGTGGCTGATTTCAAGTTAACAATTGTTTGAAAACAAGTTTGCAAAATTTCTGAATATTTAACAACTGACTTTTATTAACTGGGTTGTAGGCACCACTGGGTGAGAAGTGATTTGGCTTCATTGAGCAAGATATGTGGTGCCCTTTAGTATTTGGTTGGCGCATGGAGGATATTTTGAGAGTGAAAAGACAACAGAACACTTCTAGTAGGGATAAATGGAGACTTTAGATTTGTGCTAAGTTGAAGAATATGACACTGCTATAGTGATTATCTTAGTGATGGAGAGGTATCCAGAAATTGTTTCACTGAGAATTTTGGGGCACCAAAATTAAATGATTCATTCAATGAATAAATATTCATCTTAGGTAGACAGAGGGTTACAGGTAAAAAAGTACTAAAAATGGAGAACGTGTTCATTTGGTAATTTGTGATCTGGACTCAAGGAATAGATTTACAGCTATGGTTTGAGTGATGGTGTCCCCTCCAAAGTTCAGGTTGAAACTTAATCCCCATTATTGTGGTGTTCAGAGGTGGGCTTTTGTGAGAGTTGACTAAATTATGAGGGTTCTACCCTCATGAACACATTAAGGCCTTTATAAAAAGAACTTATGGGACTGGTTTGCTCTCTTACGCTCTTCTGCCATGTGAGGACACAGAGTTCATCTCTTAAACATATTCTTAAATTTTGTGGGTATATATTTATGGGGTACATGACTAGCTACAGGCATACAATGCATAATAGCCATATCAGGGTAAATGAAGTATTCATTACCTCAAGCATTTGTGTTTTGTGTTATAAACAATCCAAATATACTTTTAGTTATATTAAAATGTACAATTAAATTATTTTTTTTTTTTTACTATAGTCACCCTTTCAGGCTTTCAAATACTGATATTATTCATTTTTTTCTATTTTGTTTTTTACCCATTAACCATCTCCACTTCCTGCCTATCTCCCCACTGCCCTTTCGAGCCTCTGGTAACCATCATTTTATTCTCTATTTCCATGAGTTCAATTGTTTTAATTTTTAGCTACCACAAATAAGTGAGAACATGCAAAGTTTGTCTTTCTGTGCCTGGCTGATTTCACTCAACAGAATAACCTCCAGTTCCATCAATGTTATTGCAAATGACAGGATCTCATTCTCTTTTTTATGGCTGAGTAGTACTCCATTGTGTATGTGACCACATTTTCTGTGTCTATTCATCTGTTGATGGACATTTAAGTTGCTTCCAAATCTTGGCTGTTGTGAATGGTCCTGCAATAAATGTGGGAGTGCAGATATCTCTTTGACATACTGATTTCCTTTCTTTTGGGTATATCCAAAAGAAAGCCTTTGCTGTGCAGAAGGCTTTTAACTTGATATGATCCCATTCATCCATTTTTGCTTTGGTTGCTTGTGTTTATGGGGTACTACTCAAGAAACCTTTGTACACTCCAATGTCCTGAAGATTTTGCCCAATGTTTTCTTGTAGTAGTCTCATAGGTTGAGGTCTTAGATTTAAGTTTTTAATCCATTTTGATTTGTTTTTTTTATATGGCAAGAGATAGGGGATCTAGCTTTATTCTTCTGTGGATATCTAGTTTCCCCAGGACCATTTATTGAAGAGGCTGTCCTTTCTCCAATGTATGTTTCTGGCACCTTTGTCAAAAATGAGTTCACTATAGATGTATGGGTTTGTTTCTGGCTTCTCTCTCCTGTTCTGCAGGTCTGTATGTCTGTTTTTATGCCAAAACCATGCTGATTTGGTTACTATAGCTCTGTAGCATAATTTGAAGTTAGATAATGTGATTCCTCCAGTTTTGTTCTTTTTGCTCAGGATAGCTTTGGCTATACTAGTTCTTTTTTTGTTCCACATAAATGTTATGATTCTTTTTCTATTTCTGTAAAGAAAGTCATTGGTATTTTGATAGACATTGCATTGAGTCTGTAGATTGCTTTGGGTAGTATGGACATTTTAACAATGTGATTCTTCCAATCCATGAACATGGAATATCTTTCCATTGTTTTGTGTGCTTTTCAATTTATTTCAACAATGCTTTACAGTTTTCATTGTAGAGAGCTTTCACCTCTTTGGTGAAGTTAATTCTTAGGTATTGTGTTTATAGCTATTATAAATGGTATTACTTTCTTGATTTCTTTTTCAGATTGTTCCCTGTTGGCATATAGAAATACTACTGATTTTTGTGGTTTTTTAAAACTTTTATTTTAGGTACAGGGGTACATGTGCAGGTTTGTTTTATAGGTAAACTCATGACACTGGGGTTTGTTGTACCCCAATGATTATTTTGTCACCCAGGTACTAAGTCCAGTACCTCCACCTTCAGCCATGTGAGATGCCACAGGAAGATGACATCAATGAAGTAGCCCTCACTAGACACTGAACCTGCTAGCAATTTGATCTAGGACTTCTCAGCGTCCAGGACTGTCAGAAATAAATTTGTGTTCTATAGACATTACCCAATCTTAGGTATTTTGTTGTTGCAACATTAACATAGACACATTGGCTATTTTAACAAAAGGGAGGGTTCATGGAGGGACATCCTGTATTTGAGACACCAGAATCTGGAATGACTCTGCTGATCTCTTTTATCTTGATCTTCATGATCTCTCATGGTATCTCTCTACTAGTTTGCTTCATTTTTCCCACAATCTTGATGGGTCACACTTCTTTCTGATGAGTTTATCTAACCATAATTTATATTCATCAGGACATATCAAAAGTGATATTTCTTTGCAACCAAGTTAATGTGCAAGTCAGAAAGTGATTGTCAACTTTCAGGGTGCTGTAGAATCACCCTGGAGAGTTAGTTAAAATCAGATTTTTTGAATGTACTTAGAGACAGTATAATCCAATATCCTGGGGTGAAGCTCAGGAAAATAAGCAACATTGATTACTCTGATACAAATGGTTAGAAGACATTTGGAAAACAAACCCTACCAATTTATGAATTACCTTACCTTTCATGGTTGGACACAAGGATGTGTCTCATCCTTGACTGCCTATTGGAATCACTTAGAAGCTTTAAAAAATACTGGTGCTTGACACTCAAAAAAAATTCTCATTAATTGATCTGGGATGTGGCCTGGCACCAGAATTTTTTGAAAGCTCCTCAAGTTACTCTAATGCATAGCCAAGTTTTAGAGCCACTGTGCTATAGAGAGCCTCTGAAGGCTTTCAGGCAAGTGTATTAGGCTATTTTCATGCTGCTGATAAAGACATACCTGAGACTGGGTAATTTATAAAGAAAAATAAACTTAATGGTCTCACAGTTCCACACAGCTTGGGAGGCCTCACAATCATGGCGGAAGGCAAAAGGCATATCTTACATGGCAGCAGACAAGAGATAATGAGAACCAAGTGAAAGAGGAAACCCCTTATAAAATCATCAGATCTCAGGAGACTTACTCACTACCTTGAGAACAGTATGGGGGAAGACTCACCCTCATGATTCAATTACCTTCCACCTGGTCCCTCCTAGGACACATTGGAATTTGGGGAGCTTCAATTTGAGATTTAGGTTGGGACACAGCCAAACCATATCAGCAAGTAAGCTATTGAAGAGAGAGATAGTCAATTTTGCATTCGAATTACTCTGACAACTGAATGGAAAAGGAAGTGAGAGTGACAATACCGGTGGTCTCAATCAGGAATGAAAGAACAGGAGGTTCATGCCAGAAAGTAGAAGCTTAAGATTTCAAAGGTAAAGAGCACAGTTTTCAGGTAAATATAAGGACTAGAGTGCGGCCATTGGGTTGAATTAGAAAATAAATGAAGGTCACTAGAGTTAAGAAAGTCAGTGAACAGAGAAGCTGGGAATGAAGACCAGTGACAAAGAGAAATAGAAGGAATATCATAACATTTAAGAACCTCAAATTAATACTTTTTTTTAAACACAAGAATGGAAGAGTAATGGTCTGTAGGTAAGATATCATGGAACAAAAAATATTCTGACTCTACCTGCTGACCCTGAGAAGAGAAGAAAGTGAGTGTGTGTGTTAAAAAGAAAGGAGGGGCCAGGCGTGGTGGCTGAAGCCTGGAATCCCAGCACTTTGGGAGGCCAAGGCAGGCAGATCACTTGAGTCCAGGATTTCAAGA
Source organism: Homo sapiens (assembly GCF_000001405.40). Lineage (NCBI taxonomy): Eukaryota > Metazoa > Chordata > Mammalia > Primates > Hominidae > Homo > Homo sapiens. The sequence goes on along the minus strand of NC_000011.10, from coordinate 42,716,216 downwards.
CCAGCCTGGCCAACATAGTGAAATCCTGTTTCTACTAAAATACAAAAATTAGCTGAGTGTGGTGGTGGGCACCGGTAGTCCCAGCTACTTGGGAGGCTGAGGCACGAGAATCACATGAAGCTGGGAGGCAATGGCTGCAGTGAACTGAGATCGTGCCATTGCACTCCAGCCTGGGTGACAGAGTGCAACTCCATCTCAAAAAAAAAGGGGGTGGGGGGGAAGGAAAAAAGGAATGGAAAGGGAAAGTTTGCAGAGGTACATTATCTAGGAGAGAGAAAGAGCTATTAGTTAAGTCAGGAGGTGGAGAGTGGAGAGGATATTCTGGGGTAAGATATGTTTCTTAGAAATTGAAAAAGAGTTTTAGAGGGTGCATTAGGAATGTCAGAATGGAAATTGAGCTTGGGGTGGAATGGAGCTGGTAGTCATTAGGACTGCCCACAAACATTCCAGCTCCCTCTCCTCCAGGACACATGACATGACTGTACCTTCATGTTTCTGGGATTTAAGGGGGCCATGTGGCTTTCTCTGACCAATATGAAAGTAAGCAGAAGTGATGATATGTGTCAGTTCTAGATGGGTGCTTTATACATTAATTCAGTGGCCAGGTGCAATGGTGCAATGGCTGATGCCTGTAGCTGGGAGGCCAGGTGCCGTGACTCATGCCTGTAGCCACTGTACTAGCATTTTGGGAGGCAGATAAATCGCTTGAGTCCAGGAGTTAAAGAACAATCTGAGAAACATGGGGAAACCCCATCTCTACTAATAACACAAAACAATAGCCAGGCATGGTTGTGTGCACCTGTAGCTCCAGCTACTTAGCAGGCTGAGGTGGTAGGATCCTGTGAGCCCATGTGGTGGAGTGTGCAGTGAGCCAAGATCATGCTACTGCACTCTAGCCTGGATGACAGAGTGAAACTCTGTCTCAAAAAAAAAATTAGTTAATACAGAATTTGCCCTACTTATTTTTCTTTTATTTTGGTAACTGGTAACATTTTAAATAATGAACATCAACCTGAGGTCCTAGACCAGGGCCCCCTGCTGACCTATGATAGGCATGAAATGGGAGCAGACACGAAACCTTTATTTTTCTTTAGGCCACAGAAGTTTTGGGCTTACTTGTTACCTCAGCATAACTTAGCTTGTCCTGAATGATATAGAAATTAGTGCTTTGAAATGGTACTGCCATAAAAAAGATATAAAATATGTGGCATTTGCTTAGAGACTGTGTGGCAAGTAGTAAGAAACTGCCTCAAAGGCTGGAAAAGTAACAATCCATGTTATTCTGTGCCAAAGTATTCAATAGAATTGTCACGTGAGGTGGCTTGGGAGGCAGACCATGTACTGAGGAGTATGTAGGTCTAAGGTAAAAAATCAGAAAACCAAGTATTGGTATTTTGTGTTGGATGCAGATGGTTATATTTAAGAGAAAAAGGCAGGCCTGAAAGGAATGAAAGGAAATAAAATTACAAAATAAAAAGTACTTCAAGGTTGGAATAGTATACTACTTCCCATCTACAAATAGATAAACACATGATTGAGAAAATGGGAACAGAAATGAACAATTAAAACTGTATTGGGGCAAGAATCAAATAAGACTATGGGAATCATACCCATGTAGATTGGGTTAACTTAAAGTAAAGGTCCAACTAAACATATGCTGCCCAGTGATGTGGTACAGTGTGGGACTCAGCGCTCTGATGGATAACATGAACAACTGACCTAGGTTGCTGAGACTTACCATGCAAAAACTGGGAAAGTTCAAGGCAAAGTTACTCATCCTATATGTAGACCCCATGATGGACATTTTGCCTGAATGAAAAAGAAATCTTTGTGATTCTAAGTTACTGAACATTTGTCATGGTTCATCACTGCAGCATAATCTAGCCTATTTTGACTGACACAAGAGGAGAGGAATCACAGTACGAAGAGGAGAGTAGATGTGGGGAACTGACCAGCACACTCTATTCTGACTCCTTATGAAATATGAGGTGGGGAAGCTGATAGGATTAGGTTAGCTTTTGTTCTGAACAGTACTCTGAGTCAAATTGGTGCCAATTGATGTTAAGGCAGGTAAAGGCAGAGAGTATATTTAGTTTGACATTCTTTGGTTTGTCTTCCAACCCTTAAAATAGGGTAAGGACCTTACAATAGTTCAATTCCCCCTTCAAATTCATACTCAGACTTTTGGATGCACATCTATTGCATGGTGTGTGGTATACTTTCCCTGTGATTTTTTTTTTTTTTTTTTTTGATCTAGGCATAGTAATAGTCTGGTAGAGATTTCTGGACAGTTTGAACTAATGGGTAACGCATTCATTGCTGCCTTGGTTTCCTCCCTTGGGAGGATAACCTTAGGCTTAGAATTACAGTGATTGAATGTGAATGAGACCTGGGACTTTTTATTTACTTTTCCTGTTCAAATGAAATGAATATGCATTGTACTAGGAAGGTAGACAGGGCTATTACCACTGCATCTGAGAACAATTAGTTCTTATTTACTTAACACCGTTTCTTAATGTGCAATTGTAAAACTTTTCACAGGATGTTTTAAATATAATCAATTTTTCATTGCTGTTCCTAATAATTCAAAGAGCCTGACATTTGCAATCAAGCCAACTGTGGTCGATACCCATTTCCTCTTAGTTAAATAGGAATTTAACTCAGTGACACAAGTGGTAGCTTCTGGAACTGATTCTGTGTATTTATTCTTTTGTGAGGGCTGTACCCAGATTTATGGGTTTGCAGGAGAAACTGTCAAGTATCACAGGGCCAGCTGAACTTATTGCATATCTGGGGTCAGTCCCATCAGAACCCACAACCTGGCCCTACTGCCTCCAAGAAGTATGCACTTTGTCAACTTGCTTCTCTGCACACTAAAATGAAAAAGAATTTCTCTCATAGAGTTGTCTTAGGATTAAATAAAAAATGCATTATTAATGAGATATATCATTCATCATTGGCTACAAGTGACAAAAATTTAAACAAAACTAAGGAAAACTGAGAGGGAATGTAGGGGCTTTAGAAAGCACATCTATAATTTTATTGATTGTAGAGATAGCTGAATTCAGGCACTTAAACGATGTTAGGATCCTTTTTCTGCTGTTTGTATGGAGGTGCATTGGTCTCATTCTCTCTTTTTCAGATGCAAATTCTAAATTAGGGGCAACAGGTTTAGGGTTTGGGAAAGAAAAGGGCATTTTAAGGTTCGTTTTGAGGAGAATAAACAGGAAAAAATGGCAGCTTTAACTAGTTTTTCTACAGCTCTCAAGGGATTGCCTTTGTACTACTTCTTTGAGCATCTTTTCATCATCTTCTAAACCAGGGATCTGCAAATTGTGGCCAGCCAGCAGTCATATCTGGCCTGCTTCCTGTTTTTTGTATGTAAAGTTTTATTGGAACACAATCAGACTTGCTCATTTATATACTGTCTATGCTTTCATGTTACAATGGGAGAGTTGATTAAATATGATAAAGACTATATAACCCGCAAATCTAAAATGCTTATGATCTGGCCATTTATAGAAAAAGTTTCTTGCTTTTTACAAAAGAAGATTTAAACTAATAGTCCTCAAAGTGTGTTGTTCAGCAAGTGGTATGCAAGAAAAGCAATTGGGAAAACAAAAAAATATATTTTGGCTTGTATTATATCTAATTTTCTTTCTAAAGTATTTTGAGAATAAACTTGTATAATATTTACTGTGTATGGTGAGGGTATTTAGTGAATGCATGTAACGTGTGTGTGTGTATAAAATACACACAAACACACACACACAGACACACAGAAGAGAGAGAGAAGCTCAAAATTTTGTACTCTTGTTAGTCCATGTTAAAAAATTAGAGACTACCAGATTGAAAATTGTCACACTATGTATCATGTTAAAACTTTGTGAAGGCATCACTGTAGGAGAACTATATCACTTGACTCCACTCTTTTTCCCAACTCAATTCTATATAGGCTTGTGTCTCTCACCTCTGCATGATGAGGATGGTGTGCTAAATCCAAATGTTCACTTAGAGATAGATGTAAAATAATAAAAATGTAGCAGAAGGAAGAATAAAGGAGGAAGCCTGGGTCTGTGATTATTGAAGCAAGGCACATTGTAGAAACATCAAAAGAAAAAACAATCAGATCTGCCTTAGTTCTGAATTTTAAAAGAGAAAGGTATTTCTTTTCATCATTTATCTTGCCTGGGATTTGAACAAATACAGGATTTCTGGCAGCAATTATTGATTATTCAATATTTATAGAAAATGACACATGTTCTGCCAAATATGATATTTAGGAAGTGAGATGAGTTCTATAAATCCAGAGGATTGGCAATTGTGCTACCAGGACAATTTGTAAAATATGTTAAAGCTGATTAATAAGAAATAGAAATGTCAATGAGTCACTAAAATGAAACAATAAATGGGCTATGAGAACTCAGAGAGAACACCTTTGGCTCAATACTGTTAAGGCTGGCTAGACTCAGAGGATGGAAGCCTGGATCAACTCTTATTCTCCTGGAGAGATTTGGTTATGGTGTCTTAGTCCATTTTCTGTTGCTTATGACAGAATATCTGAAACTAGGTAATTTATTTTAAGAAGGGAATTTATTTCGTACAGTTTTTGAGTCTGAGAAGTCTCTGGTTTAGGGGCTGCATTTGGTGAGAGCCTGCTTGCTGGTGAGGACTCTCTGCAGAGTCCTAAAGTGGCACTGGGTATCTTATGGTGACGGAGGTTGACCCTGCTAATGTGCTAGCTCAGGTCTCTTCCTCTTCCCATATGGCCACCAGTTCTCCTCTCACGATTATGCATAAATCCATCAATCCATGAATGGATTAATAAATTCCTGAGGGCAAAGTCCTCATGATCCAATTACCTCTTAAAGGTTCCACCTGTCAATCCTGCCACATTGGGGATTAAGTTGCAGTATGAGTGTTGTAAGGAACATTCAAACCATAGAATGGGGCAAAGAAGCCTTTCTTGGATGTGCAGTGGGTACGTGAGTGGCTGGAGAGGTTTTTATTGGTGTTCTTTCTGTCCATCTGACTCCCTTTTTCTGTAGGGTTCACTGCTTGGATCTGTTGGATTTTTCCCTTTCTTAAAAAAAATATATTTGTGTGTGAGGCAGAAAAACTATTGCTATGTGGTGAAGGTTATTTAAGATACATGAACCCATCTGCATAAGGATTTAAGAGAAAGAATGGAGATCTTAAATCTTTAAGAAGAGAAGTTACTGGAATCTCTTGGGGTGGACCAAGATAATACTGACCAAATATCTGGGACAGGAATTGGCCCCAAGTCTTCTACTATAAAATCATGACACAAGATGAATGAATGTGGGCAAGTAAAGTGGCTCCTGCACTGAATCTATTCAAAGAGAAGTGGGAAGAGTAAGTCCATGTCTTTGACAAAATCATACTCCTGGTCTTCCCTATCTTGGCTTGCCTTTTTTGTTTTTTAAAGCAGAGTCTTACTCACTCTGTCACCCAGGCTGGAGTGCAGTGGTGCAATCTCCACTCACTGCAACCTCCGCCTCCCAGGATCTAACAATCTTCCCACCTCAGCCTCCCAAGTAGCTAGGATTACAAGCATGTGCCAACACACCCAGCTGATTTGTTCTGTATTTTTAGTAGAGATGAGGTTTCACCATGTTGGGCAGGCTGGTCTTGAACTCCTGACCTCAAGTGATCCACACACTTCAGCCTCCCAAAGTGCTGGGATTACAGGCATGAGCACCATTCCTGGCCAAGGGAATAGATCTTAAATGTTCTTACCATACACACACTTTTATGATTCTATGTTCCAGGTCTCCCAAATCTAGCATAGCATTAATACTTGAGTCAGGCATTTGAAGTTGACTAATGGAAGACAACTGTGTTAAGCTGTTCAGCTTCTGAGGAGTGATCCGTGTAAAGCTGTCTATTTTGTTGTTGTTGTTCGTGTTTTTTTTTTTTTTTTTTTTTTTAGACAGATGTCTTCCTCTGTCACCCAGCCTGGAGTGCAGTGGCGCGATTGGCTCACGGCAACATCCGCCTTTCAGATTCAAGCAATTCTCCTGCCTGAGCCTCCCAAGTAGCTGGGATTACAGGCGAACAACACCACACTCAGCTAATTTTTTGTTTTTTTAGTAGAGGCAGGTTTCACCATGTTGGCCAGGCTGGTCTCTAACTCCTGACCTCAAGTGGTCTGCCTGCCTTAGTCTCCCAAAATGCTGGGATTACAGGCATGAGCCACTGTACCGGGCCTCTTTCTTCACTTTTTAATGGCAAATTTGTGCTCTTAGACATGGATAGAGAAGACTGTTCAAGAGTCGGGATACTAGAAACTGGGCCAGTTTTGGTGTGGATCAGACTTGCCTGAGTATCACAAGGGAAGAAATTTTTTTTTCATACTTTGAAGAACATCTGCATTCTCGGCAGAGAGGCGAATAAGTAGCAGGGTCTAAGGTGGGAGATATGGCCTCAATTTCATTGCTTCAGATGAGACAGGCCGCTCAGAGCGATAGGCTGATGGCTCTTTCCCAAACAATTTTCTATAGTTTTGGGATGTGCTAGTCACAAGGAGGTACCGCTGAGCTGTGGCTCTGTAAGGCAGGCAAAAGAAAACTTAACTGGTCTTTTTAAGATGGGATAATCTGGGACACTAAAGGGAGAGGAATGCTGCCTTGGGAGAGATGAGATTTTTTGCTTCTCTGGGTATGCAGGGGCATGAGTTGAAGCCACAGTTAGCAGCCATTGTTTCCACACCATTTGTGAAGTGGGATCCTCCACCTACACTTGTACTAAGCCCTTGCTATGTGCCACACAATGCTGTGCTAGCTTTTGAGAACATGGAGGTGAATTAGTCATGCGATGTGTGGGTGATAGACTCACTCAATATGCAAGGAGAACAAATAAGCTGAACCTGAGGCCTTGGGGCATGGTCAAGTAAGTCTTCCTGGAATAGAAATATTGGGACTGATTCTGGGCAGGAGCTGAGAGGACTAGGGTTGTGTCTAGGCATAAAGTACACTTGTGAGAAAGAGTAGAGGTATAGAAAGTAGTTTGACCTGGGGAACTACAAGCAGTTTGGTAACTGCTGGAGAGGCAGACTCAGTAGCAGAGTAGCACCAAATTGAAGTCCTCGTAAAGTAGAAAAGGTGCAGATCATTAGACAAACGACTTTGCATGAAAAGCTAATAAGTATGGATTTGGCCGGGCGCAGTGGCTGATGCCTCTAATTCCAGCACTTTGGGAGGCTGAGGTGGGCGGATCACGAGATCAGGAGATCAAGACCATGCTGGCTAACACAGTGAAACCCCGTCTCTACTAAAAATACAACAAGAAATTAGCCAAGCATGGTGGTGGGTGCCTGTAGTCCCAGCTGCTCAGGAGGCTGAGGCAGGAGAATGGAGTGAACCTGGGAGGTGGAGGGTTGCAGTGAGCCGAGATCACGCCACTGTACTCCAGCCTGGACAACAGAGCGAGACTCCATCTCAAAAAAAAAAAAAAAAAAAAAAAAAGAAGTATGGATTTTTAGACAAAATGCAGTGAGGAACCATTCAAGGATTTTATAAAAGGAAAATATCATGACATTTTCATTTCAGAAAACTAAGTTTGTGATGAGTTATGATGTACTGAAGGAGGGTTGATCTAGAGGGAGGGTAATCATTTGACAAGTGTAGAAATCAGGATTTTTCATTTAAAAAAACCCCTTCTTTAATACTTATCAAATAATCTAAACTTTGGTGAAATAACTTGCTTGCCTCTGCAGAGTAATATATGGTTTAAAAGGAAAAACTCTGAACCCAGAGTGCCCAGGGCCACCACTTATTAGTTATTTAACTGACTGGACCAGTTGATTAACTTTGGTGTGTCCCAATTTTCTTATCCACAAAATGGGGCAAATTTTAGTGCCTACATTATAGCATCATTGAGAGAACTGAATGATTTAATCCATGTGATTTTCTTGAAATAGTTACTGGAATATTGTAAGTCATCTATAATCTGATATAATTTTGTGTTTGGCACTGTCGGACTTGGGAGGGATGCAAAAATGAGTAAAACATCATCCCTGCTCTCAGAGTAACATGAATAAATAAAAATAATTCAGAGTGAAGAATAACACTATAAGAGTATATAGGAGAGAGGGTAGTCTAATTCTTGTTAAGAGAGCAATTTCCAAGGTCAAAGAGTTGTGGGTTCAAATCCTGGCTCTGTTACTAGCAGTAGGTTAGAAAAGTGACAAATTTGGCAGCGAGGGGGTCTTATTTAATTATGTTGAAGGTTGGATAATGCTGTGGTGAAGGATACAAATGCTAGCTGTTATCATTTTTATCATCATCATCATCACAGGTATCACAGAGGACAGGAGAGGTGAGGTAGAGCTTTCTAGAGAAGATACCATCTGGTTTGGCCCACTTGCCTACTTGGGGACTTTTTCCCAGCAGGATCTGCACCTCTGCCTGCATCTCTCTTCACATAGGGAAGACGGTGAGGTGGGTGGCATGGAGTTTGTGCCAGAAGGGCCTCCCCAAGTTTCTTTCAACACCCTCCGCTGAGCCAGGAGAGCACAAGATGCTTCCCTGGCCTGCAACACCATTTTTCTCCAAGTTCTGCATGATTTAGACACTCACAGCAGAATTCAGTCCAGGAATTCCCCTGTGAATGACCTAATAGCTCTCTCTCCATACTCTGCAACCCTCTTGTTGTCACATTAAGGGAAGAGGTAGGTTATAAGCTCAGGATGGCAATTTTGAGTGAACTGTTGGTGACTAATGCTCCTGGCCTTCACATGGATCTCACTGTGGCAGGTACTTTGCGTCGGGACTCCCTGGCTTTGAGTTGTGAAATCTTTCAAGATGAGTGCCATCTGATGTAGCTGTCACGAAGGCACATCTGGAAGGGTAGCCCCAGCCTCTGGCTTCCAAAGAGGCCTAGAAGTAGTAAGCAGTTTTTTGGCCTTCCCAGTATGGTGCTGGAATAAACAGACATCACAGCACGAGAAGGACTCCATGTTGCTTTCGGTCCTACAGATTGAGCTCTGCCTTGGTGGAGGATACTTTCAAAACCCAAACACCATCCCAGGCTGCCAAAGGGACCAGGAGGTGCTCAGAGAGGCATCATTTGAGAGGTAGAGAAGACCAGAGTGGACACAGCACTCTCCGTGGGTTTCTCTCCTTTCACTCCTCCTTCCTACCCTGCACCTGGGCACCTGAGCCTCTTTTGCCCCTGACAGAGGAAGGAGAGATTAAAGGCAGAAACTGTAAATTCAGGGAGGAAAAAAAAGTGAAACCATTTTTTTTTGTTAGATAGTTTTTTACTTGCTCCTTTGTGTTTATTTATTTTTGTCACAGATTCCCTTTGGAGGAATGGAGCTCTCATCTAGCCAGGAAACCCTTAGTTTTAGGGGTATAATTAGGTCTGAGTGAGAGAAGTCCCAGTTGCTACCTCTGCTATTGCACACCTGAGTCATTTACTCCTTGGTGCCACCTCTCTCCTGTGGAGCTATAGCCACCCGGATAGATAGCTGATGGAAGTGAGAGCTGGTGCTAATAGGTTTTCAGGGTAGAAGTTTAGCAGTATTTGGTGCAATTATGTATACCTTGTGCCTTATGATCCAGCAAGTCATCTTCTGGGTATACATTCAAACACATTCTTATATGGACTGGTAAGGGAAAATGCATGGGGATTATTTATTGTAGCATTGTTTGCAAGGATTTGGAAGCAATCTGAGTGAGTTGGATATTTATCACTGGAGAAATAAATAGGTGCAATAGAGTAGGTTCCATCAAGAAGCACTACGCATCATTCAGAAGCAACAGAACAGGCTTGCATAGCAACACAGGTATATCTTAAAAATGCTGTGCTGTACTGTACTTTAAAAGTAAGACACAAACTAAGATTTATAGCATAATACTATGTAAAAAATGCATGCAGAGAAAACATTAATAAATGTTTTTACAAGAACCCTACAAATAAATAGGTAAACATCAACTATATTAGAATAGAGATTTGGGATAAATGAAAAAGAATAATACAAGAAAGAAATCTTATGCAAACTATCAATGATGGTACAGCAAGAAATAAAGAGGGATTAACCTGAGCCTCTGAAATGAAGTTAAAAAACTCTCACCTAAACCGATAAATACTTAAGTCACTTCAAGTTTAATGAGTAAGAGATAAGATGTTGTTCCTGCTTTTTGTTCACTTATCCCCAAACCTGGTTCTCTGGAGCACAAATTCACAGTTGAACTATTTCTTTCTTTTTTTTTTTTTGGGAGATGGAATCTCGCTCTGTCACACTGGTTGAAGTGCAGGGGTGCAATCTTGACCCACTGCAACCTCCTCCTCCCGGGATCAAGCGATTCTCTTGCCTCAGCCTCCTAAGTAGCTGGGGCTACAGGCACACGCTGCCACATCTGGATAGTTTTTTTAAGTCAAAACTCTCCTTCTGAAAACTCTAGGAGCAACTAGAAGACTTAGCTTGTAGTTTTTCTCAATTCATTTTTTAAATTTTTTTCTGGACACATTCTAGATTTTTGTGGCAGCCTGTTTCCAGTCATTGGCAACTCTTCCTTCTTTTTATGTTTCACAAGAAAAAAGGTCATTCTCCCTGCACCAGTTCATCCTGGGTTTTATCATAGGATCCTTCAGGATCCCTTACAATTTCCCACACCTGCATCACTCTCGTAAAGGCTTTCAGTCTCTAAGTTGCAGGAAAGCATGTTTTCATTAATCTAATAATTTTAAAATGTGAATATAATTTTGTATGAGTCTTTGGGTTAGGTGTCAGCAGCGGCGGGATGGGGCGGTGGGGGGAAGCATAAAATAGAATCTGTATTTGTCTTCTACTGCTGCAATAACAAATTACCATAAACTTGATGGGTTAAAGCAATAAAAAATTATTGTTTGATAGTTCTGGAGGTCAGAAGTCCAAAATAAGTTTCCCTGAGCTAAAATCAAGGTGTTGCCAGAGCTGTGTTCCTTCTGGAGGCCCTAGGGGAGAGTCTGTTTGCCTTTTCCAGCTTCTAGAGGTTGCCTGCATTCTTTGACTCATGGCCTTTTCCTCCATTTACAAAACTAGGAGCTTAGCATCTTCTCTCCTCTATGACCTCTGCTTTCATCATTACATCTTTTCTCTTTAACTCTGATCATCTTGGCCCCCTCTTATAATCACTCTTTTAGTTATGTTGGGCTTACAAGATTCCAGGATCATCTTCCAATCTGAAGATCCTTAACGTAATCTCACCTTCAAGTTCCTTTTAATATGTAAGCTAACATATTCATAGGTTCCAAGGATGAGGACACAGATGGGTAAAGGTAATTATTCAGCCTACTACAGAGTCCTTGCTCTTAAACCATCCATAACCTAGTGGAGAACACCAAGAAGTTGATGAGCAATTAGAATAGAGTATAGGGTGTTTCATGACTGGGGAACGACAGGACAAAAGAGACAAACTTAATCTAGTTTAGAGTTAGGGCTGGTTCCCCAGAGTTGTGTTCAAGAGGGGGGTAAACTAATAGAATATTGCTTTGCAAAGGGGATAAGTATCATATGCAAAGACCTAGAAGTAAGAGTGAGAAATAGCAGAGGGTTGAGGAAGAGTTTGCAGTGAGCCAAGATCACGCCACTACACTCCAACCTGGGTGACAGAGCGAGACTCCATCTCTTTAAAAAAAAAAGAAAGAAAAGAAAGGAAGAAAATAGTCCAACTGTTAATGTGTGCTCCAAATAACCAGGTTTGGGGGTAAGTGAACAAAAGGCAGGAACAACAACTTCTCTCTTACTGATTAAACTTGAAGTGACTTAAGTATTTGTTGGATTAGGTGAGAGTTTTTTAACTTCATTTCAGAGGGCTTTCTCTACACATCGTCTTTGTTCTACCTCACTGCCTTTCCTTGTCTTCTTACATTGTTTGTGGTGCCTCTGTTACTGCCTACTTACTCTTCAATGTCCCTTCAGGAAGCCTATATCCACACTCCACAACTAGCATGATTTAACCCTCTAATGAACTCCTATAGTTTTTTGTCTCTACAGTAAGACCTATTGACACTTAACATTGTCAATAAGTTCTTGGAAACTGTGATTTTAAGTCAAACATTGAATAATGTAATTTCCTTATAAGGCTGATGAGAAAAACAAAAATGATTTCCTTACATATGTGCATCCTTTCACTTAAGGTGGCCATTTCCGAGAACTTGATGTTTCAAGGGAGAGCTTAAATTACTGTATTCCTCTTAAACTCATTTTTACTTTAGCATGTAAGTTAGAGGCTCTGAAACACTTGTTAAAAATATATCCTGTTTGTCTTCTTTTTCCTTTTGAACTTGTGATTAGAATAAATAGGAAACTCTGTATTCCCCTCCCCATCTTCCCTTTCTTCTCCAAATTTCTTATTCCACACCAGGAACATAATAGACTATCAGCAAAAACAGAGTGAATGAATAAATAAACAATAGCACATCTAAATTCAGTCTCGTGTCATTCCCTCTGGCTCCAGTCAGATTGGGAATACTCTGAGAAACAAACATATGATATATTAAAGTTTTTAATTCAATTTTTAAAGATACAGTGAAGATGCATTGAGTCAAAATATTTATTCATTTTAAGTGTCCATTATAATAAGTGTATGGACAGAGCCAAATAATACCCTTTACTGATAATGACCAATTGAACTAAAGCTTGACTCAGTATCATCCTCAGAGAGTGGTGGTGGCATGTGTGTATTTACTGTTTTGTCATGGAGGTAAAGAGGGGATTAGATGGTGGAAAAATGGATGGAGAATTTTCCATGGAAGATGGAGAATTCATTGTTATCACTGCTCTTCATTGACCCTCCTTTAAAGTTTAAATATCAAGTAAGTCCCATTGTAAAGGTCTTGTATGAAAAGAATTCAGAATTTCGACTACATGTCCCATGACATAATTCCTACCTAGATGAGATCATACTTTCATATTCTGGAGAACAAATACATGTCTGTTTCAGTCCTTCAAAAATATCTTTCTTAAGCAACATATACCAGTGTAGATAAATAAAATTCACATCTCATCCAAAAATAAATGAATATTTACAGAAGCTTTTAAAATCAACTAATTTTTTGAGACAACTTTTCACTACTTTCTTTCCAAGTTTTCTTTATTTTCAGTGAGTATAGTCAACATGCCCTGGCAGTTTCTTATATATTAGTCTCTTCTAGCCTTTGAGACAAGCAATCCTAGAAACTGAGACTAGGAATAAGAGTCTAGGAATAAGAGTCTCATCTCACCTCCTCCCCTGATGAAGTTCTCATCCTGTCCTACCCCACCCTCAGGATCTGACTCCAAGGAGGTCTTCTTATTTCCTCATCTGGGAACCAGGTGAAATCCCATGATCCCATGCTGCTAGAGATTTGCTAACCACATAATTTACTGTCTCCTGAGGTGACTCTTGCCTATTATTTATTCATTTTGACATCTTTGAGGTTTAAGATTTTGCTGGTAGTCCCATTCTTTTCAGAAAAAGTATTCGGGATTATAATTGCTTTTTGCATGAGACCATCAGGTTGAATCCCATCATAAGTGACTTCCCCTTTTACCTTACATATCATCAGATGATCAAGACATCCAAATAATCTGTCATCTGGCCAAATGGAATTGAGACTAAGCACTTGATGAGACATTTTAGAAAATGGAATACAAATTGGGTACCTCTGATTTACAGAGTGTGCATTTCTTCAGCCCCATTACACAGATATCCACTTGTCAATTTGACTTTTCTTGGATATCTCAAAGGTACTTCAAACTTGAAATATCCGCAATGAATCTATGATTGCCCTTCAAACCTGGTTCTCTACTGCTATGCCTTATTTAGTGAATGGCACCACTATCTATCCAGTTGTACAATCCAGAAATCTGGGATGAATCTTTAGCTCCTCTCTCTCCCTTACTCAAGACAGTATCATATCATGCGTATTTCACCTCCTGCATGCCTGTTGATTTCATCATCTTTGCTTCATTTGAACTTCACGAGCAGCTATCACTCTAGCTATTCATTATTTCTGAGTCTTCCCGCTGTAAAAGGAATGATTATTTCCGTATCCTTTGCTATTGCGATAGTTTTCTAAAGTTCCCTCTGCCTTAATGCTGCCCTTCTCCAATCCAGTCATTATTATTTGTCAAAGGGGTCTTTAAAATACGCAAATATCCTCTCTACAAATGGTCAGTGGCTTTTCAATGCTTTTAGGAAGAAAAAAAGAAAGCGAACATGGCTTACACTGACCTGCGTAGTCTGGTTGCATCCTACCTCATAGCATTGGGCGTGCTCATTCTAGCCACATGCTTTTTCAGTTCTTCCCAGTTAACATTCTTTCCCTCTTGACCCTCCTTCCAAGTATATTGCTCTTACTGTACTCTCCTCAAGAAATACCCTTTCCTCCTCTATTGTCTAGCTAACGACTTCTTACCCTTCCATTTTCATCACACACTTAGGAAAATCCCTGGAGTCCCTAAGTGAGTGAAAACTTCCTTTATAGACTGACAGAGCACAGCGAATTTCTTCCTAGCATTTGTCAGATTGGAAGTTTTACATTTTCTTGCCTAAATATTTAATTCATATCAATTTTTTTTCTGCTAAACTTTAAGTTCCATGGGAGTAGGGCCATATTTCATTGTAGTTTTTCCCACTCCTTGGTAAAGAGTAGCAGCTTAGTAGATATTTATTAAATGAATGAATTAAAGTCTCTTACTTATAGCTGACTCTGAATAATGATGTATGAAGTAATATATAATTTACTTATGAAAGGAACAGAAGTCCCTTCATACTTGGAAAGAACAGAGTGACATATCACTATAGGAATGATGAGGAGAGAAAGAGAAGCTAAAGTGGCTTAATTAAAAATGCACTCCTAAAGGATAGCCTGAAGCAGTCTGGTTTGGTCAGGAAAACAGAGCCACTGCAAATGTCGTATAAATCAAACTTTAATATTGGCATAAACACATATGCAAATGTGGGAGAAGCTGGGCATGAAGGCTATAACTAGAAAAGTGAAGAAATTGTCACTAACCACTTCACCCCAAAGTATTGGCATAGGTGGCATCAGGGGAACTTTCAAGTAAGCTTGAGAAACAACTTGGGTCTACTCCAAAGAGGGAGCCCATGGCAAGTCCTGCTAGGCTGCTGTGACTGCAAAATGGGGGAGCTTCTGGGGAGGTCCAGACCACGGCCAAGTCTAGGGAAGGCAATCAGACTGACCCTCATGACCTCCTAAGATTAATGCCTTCTGCTCCATTTCTGCTTTCCAAACCTCCTGTTAGTTCCTCTCACTGGCAAACTTTGACATAAAACCATACAGGAAAGGGATTCTGGGAAATGCCCTGGAGTAACGGTGGTGCTGATAAATTGGCAACACAACGTGGAGCACAGTAAGGCTATTTCTTGCTTCCATTCCAGAGCTTTCTCTGGGCACATCATTTTTAAACGAGAAATGCTAAAGAAGAATCCAGTCCCGGAGTCCACTCTAGAACTTGACTTTTTTTTTCCTGAGGTCTCATGGTTGTAGATAATTTTTAAAAAGTTTTAACAGGTATTGATGAATCTTCAGGTAGAATCAGGTTTGCTAGTCTTTGGGGATCGTTTCCAAACAACTAAATAATATATATGATCTGATTCTAAAAGGGCCACTAGACAGGATATGAGCCTAACTGGTCTTGTCCCTACATACAAATGTTTAACCTCTTTGGGCTGTAGCTTTCCCATCTCTAAAAGTAATGAATCACTTTTCTCCATGGTGCCATAATAGTAATAATAATCACAGTGTTTGTTAATAGAATGCTTATCATGTATTGTGTTCAGTGATTTATGTACATTAGCTCTGATCCATACAATTACCCAGGAAGAATGAGGCTAAAGAAGCAATAATGCATATTTGAATTGTTATGAGATTTAAATGAAATATTTATAACACACCTGGCATGTTGCCTAAGACAAAAGTGTCCTTCAAGTGACCTGCTATAATGTCATATGACTAGTAAATGATAATGCAGAGATTCAACATTTTGTTCATCATACAGCTATAGTCCTCATAAATAAGAGATTTATAAACAGATCGGTAAGAAAGAAAATTACAAATGCCTTATTTAGTCTTTAGGTTCTTATCTATTCATCTACCATTAACATCTCTGTGCAAGGGTCAATAATGAGTAATAAAGACAGCATAGTACTATGCTTGATTTTTGTGATTAATTTTGACTTTGTGAAATGTTCCCACATATGCAATCTTAGTTGGCCAATAATTATTATCTTCATTTTATAGATGTGGAAACTAAAACTCTTGTCTAGTTAATGAAGAAAGAAGAAATTATATTTATTGCATGCCACAATGTAAACTTAAGTGTTTAGTCTCTATTACATTCATGTGAATTTCCCCTTTTATAGGTACAAAAAGAAGTCATAATTTAAATAAATATTAACAGTTATACAACTGGTGGAGACATTCTAGTCTGGCAATTCAAACTCAAGTCTATCTGGACTCAAAGTTATTATTATTTCCATTTTATCCAGTGCCTGAAGTCTTACAAGTAATTAAAAACACAGCTTAAACTGGGTGCTTAGACGCTAGACTTTTCCAAGCTGGTAATCTAATTAATAAGATATTTCCTACCAAATAACTCTAGTGATAGTAAGTATTATGTAATTGATCATTAAAAAAGAGTTAGAACTGCATTATACTGATATTTTATTCAACACAGTTTTATAGAAAGGATGTCATTCAAATGAGCAGGCATCTTTCCTTCAATAAAATATTAGATAATATCATTTTAGTCATTTCAGGTTTACTTTTGTTTAATTTTTTGTTTCTTCTCAACAGGGTCCTGTTGTGTTTTTCCTTTACTGTACATGCATATTCACAGACATATGTACACCCAGTTGGGCTGTATCTGAACAAAGAATTTTTATTTTGTATGCTGAGAGCTCTAGCTGTAGTAGATTACAGTGCCTTTTGATGGTGATTATCTCTGCCTTCTGTCATGGGAACTGAGACTATTTTAAAAATCTCAGGCTCTGGAATGGACTTAGCAATTTATTGTTATCTAAAAGGTGATTCACTCCCACTTTAAACTTGCTGAACAATTTACCTCAATAATATCTCTTGTTTCAGAGTTCCATAGATTAATTTTACATTATGTAAAGATCATTTTCCTTTGATCTAAATGCTGTCATAGTCTTGTATTACAGGACAAGGTTAATCGGATCACACTATTAGTTTTTTTATATCATTTTCATTATTTCATATATCTTTATCTCATCGCTTCTTATTATTCCCCTTTTGAGAGTCTTTTAAATCACATGCCACATGCAGAATGTATTTTAAAATCTCTTTCAAAAGCTAAATTGCTCTGAGTTTAAAAATTGACACAAACACTATTAATAATAGCTTCTCCATGCTATAAAGAATCTACCTTAAATATGAGCATATATACAATGGAAAGAGCTAAAAATCATAGCAGTTTTGTTAGAAATGATCTTGGAAGGGTGTTTTATCATTTTGTAAAATGGGATTGGGTTCAAACAATGCTTTTGCATTCGGAAATTAGAGTGTTATATGGTGTTCAATGAGAGAGCAATTTTTGTAGAGGAATGAAGCTCATGGCAGAGTCCCATATACTAAAGAGTACCAGTGGAAGGGTAAGTAGAAGTGGGTGGTAGACTATGATTTGAACATATTTGATAGAGAAGACATGGTAGCTTACAGGAGAATTGGATTAACAAAAGGACCTTGAAGAAAATGGATGACATAAATGCTAACTTTTGAACAGGATGGTGTTACTTCCTGAATGAAGGGTTTTAAGTATGACTGCATGGTCATTTATTGATTCACCTGAAGAGACTACCAAATACCTAAAAAAAAAATCCACATATCCCATGCCTACCTGCCTGCCTGCCTCCTTCCTTCATTTCTTTTTTCATTCCTTCCTTCTTTCCTTCCTTGCTTCCTCCCTGCCTTTTTCCTTTACTTCCTTGCTTCCTTCTTTCCTTCCTTCCCTTTCTCCTTTTTTCTTTCTTCTCACCCTCTCTCTTCCTTCCTTCTTTTGTTACTTGCCTACTTCCTTTTTTCTTCCTTCCTTCCTGGCCTCCTTTCTTCTTTCCTTCAATCCTTCCTTCCTTTTATCCTTCCTTGCTGCCTCCCTCCCTCCCTTCTTTTTTAACTTCCTCCCTTCCTTCTTTCTTTCTCTGCCTCCTTCGTTCTGTCCTCCCTTACTTCCTTTTTCTCTGTCTCCTCCCCTTAATAATTTTTGTGGAGCACCCCCATATCTCTGAAGAGTATTAATCTCTGATAGTACATGATAAGACATAATTCATGTCCTTAATGAATATAAAAACTGTAACAGTACCATGATCTGTCAACCTAAAACCACCTGTCTAGAGAAGAAGAGAGGAAAGGGAAGCATGAATTATATTTGGTTAGTTCAAGTGGCACCATAGTCATTTCTAAATGCCTCAGGCAGGATCCTTAAAAACCTGTTCCAAAACATTGCTTTGAGATAAGTATCAACCTTATAGGTTTGTAGTTGTCAAATTTGTACAGGGGGTGTAATGAGGGGAAGGAGACTTCCCCACCTATAATTTTCCAGCATCTCTCCAATTCTCTGTAAATTTTCAGAGATTTCAGAGAGTGACTGCAAATATATGTTTTTATCAGCATTCGGTTGTCTAATTTATTCTGGCACAGTGAATTTTACTACCATTTCATCTATTTTGCTTCTATTTCTCAATTCAGTTTAAAGACAGACTGATGTCTTTACCAGAAAACAAATACACGATTTAAAAACCTAACAAAATGGAAATCATAATAAAATTACAATAATTCAGCTGCTTTTAAAAAATGCTTTCAAACCTTCATAAAGGTTTCAAGAATAGTTCAAAGAAATTTTTTTCCTGAACCATTTGAAAGGAAGTTGCTCCCATGATGCCTCAACACCCTTGAACACTTTAATGTGTAATCCTTACTAACAAAGACATTATGTTATATAACACCAATGAAATTATCAAAATCAGGAAACTAACATGGATAATTAGTAGCACCAAATCCACAGACCTCATTAAAGTTTTTCCAATTATCCAAATAATATTTTTATTCCCCTCCAGGATTATTAAGGTATGATTGATAAGAAAAACTGTATATATCTAAGATGTACAAAGTAATGATTTGAAATATGTATACATTGTGAAATGATTACCCCAATCAAGCTAATTAACATACCCATCACCTCACATAGTTACCCTTATTTCCCCTGTGGTGAGAACACTTACAATCTACTCTCAGCAAATTTTAAGTATAAATACATTTTTATCAACTATAGTCACCATGCTGTACATTAGATATCCAGAACTTACTCATTTTATAACTGAAAGTTTTTACCCTTTGACCAACATCTCACCAACTTTCCTATCCCCAAGATCCTGGTAGACAATATTTTACTCTCTGTTTTGATTAGTTCAACTTTTTTATATTCCGTGTATGAATGAGATCATATGGTATTTCTCTTTCTCTGTATGTCTTATTTGTTTAACTTAATTTCCTCTAGGTTCACTCATGTTGTTGCAAATGACAGGATCTCCTTTTCTAAGACTCACTAATGTTTCATTCCACATACATATTCTACAGTTCCTTTTTGTGTTCTTGATTTTTATTTCACTGATTACTCATGTGTTTGAGCATCACAGTGTGTGTGTATGTGTGTGTGTGTGTGTGATCCATTATGGCTATATTTATCAGCCATATGAATGTCTTGTTTTATGAATAATTCCTCATGCATTTTGCCTACTTTCTTAATCTTTTATTTCAGTAACTTTTGGGGTACAAGTGGTTTTTGATTACATGGATGAATTATGTAGTGGTAAAGTCTAAGATTTTAGTGCACCCATCACCTGAGTAATATATATTGTATCTAATATATACTTTTTTAGCCTTTATCTCCCACCCTCCCCTCTTCTGAGTCTCCAGCATCTATTACACCATTCTGTATGTCTTTGCATACCCATACCTTAGCACCCACTTATAAGTGAGTTTATATGGTATTTAGTTTTCCATTCCTGAATTACTTAGAATAGCCTCCAGCTCCATCCAAATCACTGCAGGAGATATTATTTCATTCTTTTTTATAGCTGGGTATTTCATAGTGTACATGTGCCACATTTTCTTTATCCACTCACTTTATAATTTGTAATTGTGAACTGTGCTGTGATAAACATGTTTGTAGGTATCTTTTTAATGCCATAACTTCTTTTCTTTGGGGTAGACACCCAGTAGTGGGCCTTGGTGGATTGAATGGTAGATCTACTTTTAGTTATTCAAGACATCTAATATACTGGTTTCCATAGATGTTGTACTAATTTACATTCTGACCACCAGTGTATAAGCATTCCCTTTTTACCAAATCCATGCCAACAGCTATTATTTTTTGACTTTTTAATAATGGCCATTCTGGCTGCGGTAAGGTGGTATCTCATTGTGGCTTTAATGTGAATTTCTGTGATGCTTAGTGATGTTGAGCATTTTTTCATATGTTTATTGGCCATTTGTATGTCTTCTTTTGAGAAACATCCATTCTTGCCCACTTTTTGATCGGATTATTTTTTTTCTTGCTCTTTTTTTTTAAAGTTCCTTGTAAATTCTAGATATTTGTCCTTTGTCAGATGCATAATTTGCAAATATTTTCTCGCAATCTGTGGGTTGTCTGTTTATACTGATGATTATTTGTTTTGCTGTGTGGAAGGTTTATTAGTTGAATTAGGTCTTATTATTTATTTATTTTTGTCTTTGTTACATTTGCTTTTGGGGTCCTAGCCATAAATTCTTTGCCTAAGCCAATGTCCAGAAGTGATTTTCCTAGGTTTTCTTCTAGAATTTTTATGGTTTTGAGTCTTAGATTTAAGTCTCATCCATCTTGAGTTGATTTTTGTAGATGATGAGAGATAGGGATCAAGTTTCATTCCTTTACGTGTGGCTATCCAGTTTTTCCAACACCATTTATTGCACGAGGTGCCCTTTCTCCAATGGATGTTTTCTTTATGCCTTGATCTGTAGATGGGCACTTAGTTTGTTTCCATATCTTTGCTATTTGAATAAGCAGTGAACATGAGACGATAGGTATCTCTTTGAGATATTAATTTCATTTCCTTTGAATATATACCTAGAAGTCGGATTACTGGATCATATGGTAGTTCTGTTTTTAATTTTTTGAGTATCCTCCATGCTGTTCTCCGTAATGGCTATAGCAGTCCTTTCATACACTGCTGATAAAGACATACCCAGGACTAGGAAGAAAAAGAGGTTTAATGGACTTAACAGTTCCACATGTCTGAGTAGGCCTCACAATCATGGTAGAAGGCAAGGAGGAGCAAGTCACGTCTTACATGGATGGCAGCAGGCAAAAAGAGAGCCTGTGCAGGGAAACTCCTCTTTTTAAGACCATTGGATCTCATGAGACGTATTCACTATTCTGAGAACAGCATGAGAAAGACCCGCCGCCATGATTCAATTACCTCCCACCGGGTTCCTTTCATGACACATGGGAATTGTAGGAGTTACAATTCAAGATGAGATTTGGGTGGGGAAACAGCCAAACAAAATCAATGGCTATGCCAGTTTACATTCTCACCAACAGGGTTACATTTTCTCCCCATCCTCACCAACACTTCTTATCTTTTTGTCTTTTTGGTAATAGCCATTCTAACAGGTGTGAGGTAATATATAATGTGGTTTTGATTTTTCATGTCCCTGATGACTAGTGATGTTGAGCACATTCTTATACCTGTTGGCCATTTGTATGCCTTCTTTTGAGAAATGATTATTTAGTTTCTTAGATCATTTTCTAGTTTATGTATGTATTTATATGGAGTATGTGTTCCTTATATGTTTTGAATATTAATCCCTATTGGGGTTAACACATTTCATAGGTTGCCTTTTCATTTTGTTGAATTTGTTCCTTTGATGCCCAGAAGTTTTCAACTTGATGTAGTCCTACTTGTGTATTTTTGCTTTTCTTGCCTGTGCTTTTGAGATCATACCCCAAAAAATCATTGCAAACACCAATGTCAAGGGCTTTTTTTTTATTATACTTTAAGTTTTAGGGTACATGTGCACAACGTGCAGGTTTGTTACATATGTATACATGTGCCATGTTGCTGTCCTGCACCCATTAACTTGTCATTTAACATTAGGTATATCTCTTAATGCTATCCCTCCCCCCTCCCCCCTCCCCCCACCCCACAACAGGCCCGGGTGTGTGATGTTCCCCTTCCTGTGACCATGTGTTCTCATTGTTCAATTCCCACCTATGAGTGAGAACATGCAGTGTTTGGTTTTTTGTCCTTGTGATAGTTTGCTGAGAATGATGGTTTCCAGCTTCATCCATGTCCCTACAAAGGACATGAAGTCATCATTTTTTATGGCTGCATAGTATTCCATGGTGTATATGTGCCACATTCTCTTAATCCAGTCTATCATTGTTGGACATTTGGGTTGGTTCCAAGTCTTTGCTATTGTGAATAGTGCCGCAATAAACATATCTGTGCATGCATCTAAAGCCACATGATTTATAATCCTTTGGGTATATACCCAGTAATGGGATGGCTGGGTCAAATGGTATTTCTAGTTCTAGATCCCTGAGGATCTAGAACACTGACTTCCACAATGGTTGAACTAGTTTACAGTCCCACCAACAGTGTAAAAGTGTTCCTATTTCTCCACATCCTCTCCAGCACCTGTTGTTTCCTGACTTTTTAATGATTGCCATTCTAACTGGTGTGAGTTGGTATCTCATTATGGTTTTGATTTGCATTTCTCTGATGGCCAGTGATGATGAGCATTTTTTCATGTGTCTTTTGGCTGCATAAATGTCTTCTTTTGAGAAGGGTCTGTTCATATCCTTCACCCAGTTTTTGATGGGGTTGTTTGATTTTTTCTTGTAAATTTGTTTGAGTTCATTGTAGATTCTGGATATTCACCCTTTTTCAAATGAGTAGATTGCAAAAATTATCTCCCATTCTGTAGGTTGCCTGTTCACTCTGATGATAGTTTCTTTTGCTGTGCAGAAGCTCTTTAGTTTAATTAGATCCCATTTGTCAATTTTGGCTTTTGTTGCCATTGCCTTTGGTGTTTTAGACATGAAGTCCTTGCCCATGCCTATGTTCTGAATGGCATTGCCTAGGTTTTCTTCTAGGGTTTTTATGGTTTTAGGTCTAACATTTAATTCTTTAAGCCATCTTGAATTAATTTTTGTATAAGGTGTAAGGAAGGTATGCAGTTTCAGCTTTCTACATATGGCTAGCCAGTTTTCCCAGCACCATTTATTAAATAGGGAATCCTTTCCCCATTGCTTGTTTTTGTCAGGTTTGTCAAAGATCAGATAGTTGTAGATATGTGGCATTATTTCTGAGGGCTCTGTTCTGTTCCATTGATCTATATCTCTGTTTTGGTACCAGTATCATGTTGTTTTGGTTACTATAGCCTTGTAGTATAGTTTGAAGTCAGGTAGCATGATGCCTCCAGCTTTGTTCTTTTGGCTTAGGATTGACTTGGCAATATGAGCTCTTTTTTGTTTCCATATGAATTTTAAAGTAGTTTTTTCCAATTCTGTGAAGAAAGTCATTGGTAGCTTGATGGGGATGGCATTGAATCTATAAATTACCTTGGGTAGTATGGCCATTTTCATGATATTGATTCTTCCTACCCATGAGCATGGAATGTTCTTCCATTTGTTTGTATCCTCTTTTATTTCACTGAGTAGTGGTTCATAGTTCTCCCTGAAGAGGTCCTTCACATCCCTTGTTAGTTGGATTCCTAGGTATTTTATTCTCTTTGAAGCAATTGTGAATGGGAGTTCACTCATGATTTGGCTCTCTGTTTGTCTGTTATTGGTGTATAAGGATGCTTGTGATTTTTGCACATTGATTTTGTATCCTGAGACTTTGCTGAAGTTGCTTATCAGCTTAAGGAGATTTTGGACTGAGACGATGGGGCTTTCTAGATATACAATCATGTCATCTGCAAACAGGGACAATTTGACTTCCTCTTTTCCTAATTGAATACCCTTTATTTCCTTCTGCTGCCTGTTTGCCCTGGCCAGAACTTCCAACACTATGTTGAATACGAGTGGTGACAGAGGGCATCCCTGTCTTGTGCCAGTTTTCAAAGGGAATGCTTCCAGTTTTTGCCCATTCAGTATGATATTGGCTGTGGGTTTGTCATAGATAGCTCCTATTATTTTGAGATACATCCCATCAATATCTAATTTATTGAGAGTTTTTAACATGAAGGTTTGTTGAATTTTGTCAAAGGCCTTTCCTGCATCTATTGAGATAATCATGTGGTTTTTGTCATTGGTTCTGTTTATATGCTGGATTATGTTTATTGATTTGTATATGTTGAATCAGCCTTGCATCCCAGGGATGAAGCCAACTTGATCATGGTGGATAGGGTTCTTGATGTGCTGCTGGATTCACTTTGCCAGTATTTTATTGAGGATTTTTGCATCGATGTTCATCAGGGATATTGGTCTAAAATTCTCTTTTTTTTTGTTGTGTCTCTGCCAGGCTTTGGTATCAGGATGATGCTGGACTCATAAAATGAGTTAGGGAGGACTCCCTCTTTTTTTATTGATTGGAATAGTTTCAGAAGGAAGGCTACCAACTCCTCCTTGTGCCTCTGGTAGAATTCGGCTGTGAATCCATTTGTTCCTCCACTTTTTTTGGTTTGTAAGCTATTAATTATTGCCTCAATTTCAGAGCCTGTTATTGGTTTATTCAGAGATTCAACTTCTTCCTGGTTTCGTCTTGGGAGGGTGTATGTGTCCAGGAATTTATCCATTTCTTCTAGATTTTCTAGTTTATTTGCGTAGAGGTGTTTATACTTTTCTCTGATGGTAGTTTGTATTTCTGTGGGATCAGTGGTAATATCCCCTTTATCATTTTTTATTGCGTCTATTTGATTCTTCTTTATTAGTCTTGCTAGTGGTCTATCAATTTTGTTGATCTTTTCAAAAAACCAGCTCCTGGATTCACTGATTTTTTGAAGGGTTAAAAAACCCTGTGTCTCTATTTCCTTCATTTCTGCTCTGATCTTAGTTATTTCTTGCCTTCTGCTAGCTTTTGAATGTGTTTGCTCTTGCTTCTCTAGTTCTTTTAATTGTGATGTTGGGGTGTCAATTTTAGATCTTTCCTGCTTTCTTTTGTGGGCATTTCGTGCTATAAATTTCCCTCTACACACTGCTTTGAATGTGTCCCAGAGATTCTGGTATGTTGTGTCTTTGTTCTCGTTGGTTTCAAAGAACATCTTTATTTCTGCCTTCATTTCATTATGTACCCAGTAGTCATTCAGGAGCAGGTTGTTCAGTTTCCATGTGGTTGAGCAGTTTAGAGTGAGTTTCTTAATCCCGAGTTCTAGTTTGATTGCACTGTGGTCTGAGAGACAGTCTGTTATAATTTCTGTTCTTTAACATTTGCTGAGGAGTGCTTTACTTCCAACTATGTGGTTAATTTTGGAATAGCTGTGGTGCAGTGCTGAGAAGAATGTATATTCTGTTGATTTTGGGTGGAGAGTTCTGTAGATGTCTATTAGGTCTGCTTGGTGCAGAGCTGAGTTCAATTCCTGGATATCCTTACTGACTTTCTGTCTCGTTGATTTCTCTAATGTTGACAGTGGGGTGTTAAAGTCTCCCATTATTATTGTGTGGGAGTCTAAGTCTCTTTCTAGGTCTCTAATGACTTGCTTTATGAATCTGGGTGCTCCTGTATTGGGTGCATATATGTTTAGGATAGTTAGCTCTTCTTGTTGAATTGATCCCTTTACCATTATTTAATGGCCTTGGCTCTTTTGATCTTTGTTGGTTTAAAGTCTGTTTTATCAGAGATTAGGATTGCAACCCCTGCCTTTTTTTGTTTTCCATTTGCTTGGTAGAGCCTCCTCCATCCCTTTATTTTGAGCCTATGTGTGTCTCTGCACGTGAGATGGGTTTCCTGAATATAGAACACTGATGGGTCTTGATTCTTTATCAAATTTGCCAGTCTGTGTCTTTTAATTGGATCATTTAGCCCATTGACATTTAAGGTTAATATTGTTATGTGTGAATTTGATCCTGCCATTATGATGTTAGCTGCTTATTTTGCTCATTAGTTGATGCAGTTTCTTCCTAGCCTTGATTGTCTTTACAATTTGGCATGGTTTTGCAGTGGCTGGTACCAGTTGTTCCTTTCCATGTTTAGTGCTGCCTTCAGGAGCTCTTGTAGGGCAGGCCTGGTGGTGACAAAATCTCTCAGCATTTGCTCGTCTGTAAAGTATTTTATTTTTCCTTCACTTATGAAGCTTAGTTTGACTGGATATGAAATCCTGGGTTGAAAATTATTTTCTTTAAGAATGTTGAATATTGGCCTCCACTCTCTTCTGGCTTGTAGAGTTTCTGCTGAGAGATCAGCTGTTAGTCTGATGGGCTTCCCTTTGTGGGTAACCTGACCTTTCTCTCTGGCTGCCCTTAACATTTTTTCCTTCATTTCAACTTTGGTGAATCTGACAATTATGTGTCTTGGAGTTGCTCTTCTCGAGTAGTATCTTTGTGGCAGTCTCTGTATTTCCTGAATTTGAATGTTGGCCTGCCTTTCTAGGTTGGGGAAGTTCTCCTGGATAATATCCTGCAGAGTGTTTTCCAACTTGGTTCCATTCTCCCCATCAATTTCAGGTACACCAATCAAACATAGATTTGGTCTTTACACATAGTCCATATTTCTTGGAGGCTTTGTTCATTTCTTTTTATTCTTTTTTCTCTAAACTTCTCTTCTCGCTTCATTTCATTCATTTCATCTTCCATCACTGATACCCTTTCTTCCAGTTGATCGAATCGGCTACTGAGGCTTGTGTATTCGTCACGTAGTTCTTGTGCCATGGTTTTCAGCTCCATCAAGTCCTTTAAGGACTTCTCTGCATTGGTTATTCTAGTTAGCCATTCGTCTAATCTTTTTTCAAGGTTTTTAACTTCTTTGCCATGGGTTCGAACTTCCTCCTTTAGCTCGGAGAAGTTTGATCATCTGAAGCCTTCTTCTCTCAACTCATCAACGTCATTCTCCATCCAGCTTTGTTCCTTTGCTGGTGAGGAGCTGTGTTACTTTGGAGGGGGAGAGGTGCTCTGATTTTTAGAATTTTCAGTTTTTCTGCTCTGTTTTTTCCCCATCTTTGTGGTTTTATCTACCTTTGGTCTTTGATGATGGTGACGTACAGATGGGGTTTTGGTGTGGATGTCCTTTCTGTTTGTTAGTTTTCCTTCTAACAGTCAGGATCCTCAGCTGCAGGTCTGTTGGAGTTTGCCAGAGGTCCATTCCAGATGCTGTTTGCCTGGGTATCAGCAGCGGAGGCTGCAGAACAGCGAATATTGGTGAACAGCAAATGTTGCTGCCTGATCGTTCCTCTGGAAGTTTTGTCTCAGAGGAGTACCCGGCCATGTGAGGTGTCAGTGTGCCCCTACTCGGGGGTGCCTCCCAGTTAGGCTACTCAGGGGTCAGGGACCCACTTGAGGAGGCAGTCTGTCTGTTCTCAGATCTCCAGCTGCGTGCTGGGAGAACCACTACTCTCTTCAAAGCTGTCAGACAGGGACATTTAAGTCTGCAGAGTTTTCTGCTGCCTTTTGTTTGGCTATGCCCTGCCCCCAGAGGTAGAGTCTACAGAGTCAGGCAGGCCTCCTTGAGCTGTAGTGGACTCCACCCAGTTCGAGCTTCCTTGCTGCTTTGTTTACCTACTCAAGCCTCGGCAATGGCAGGCAATCCTCCCCCAGCCTCGCTGCTGCCTTGCAGTTTGATCTCCAACTGCTGTGCTAGCAATGAGCAAGGCTTCGTGGGCATTGGACCCTCCAAGCCAGGCACTGGATATACTCTCCTGGTGTGCCATTTGCTAAGACTGTGGGAAAAGTGCAGTATTAGGGTGGGAGTGACCCGATTTTCCAGGTGCCATCTGTCACCCCTTTCCTTGGCTAGGAAAGGGAATTCCGTGACCCCTTGTGCTTCCCGGGTGAGGCGATGCCTTGCCCTGCTTCGGCTCATGCTTGGTGCACTGCACCCACTGTCCTGCACCCACTTTCCAACACTCCCCAGTGAGATGAACCCGGTACCTCAGCTGGAAATGCAGAACTCATTTGTCTTCTGTGTTGCTCATGCTGGGAGCTGTAGACTGGAGCTGTTCCTATTTGGCCATCTTGGCTAGAGTCAAGGACTTTTCCTATATGTTTTGTTCTAAATATTTTACAGTTTAAAGCCTCATGTTTAAGGCTTTAATCTATTTTAAGTTGATTTATATGTATACTGTGAGATAAGGACTCAATTTTTTTATTGTTTCATGTAGATATCAAGTTTTTCCAGCATCATTTATTAAAGAGCCTATCCTTTCTCCATTGTGTATTCTTGGTAACTTTATAGAACATTAGTAGACCATATATATGTGGATTCATTTATGGGGTCTCTATTCTATTCCAGTGGTTTATATATCTGTTTTTATTTCAGTACCATGCTGTTTTGATTACAGTAGCTTTTTATAAAGTGAAATTTAAAAGTGTGATGCTTCCATCTTTGTTCTTTTTGCTCAAAATTGTGCTGATCATTTGGGGTCTTCTATGGTTCCATGTAAATTTTAGAATTGTGTTTTCTATTTCTGTAAAAAGTGTTTTTGGAATTTTGATAATGACTGCATTGAATCTTTAGCCATTGTGTAATATGGACATTTTAACTATATTCTTCCCATCCATTCCATTTCATTTATTTTTGTCTGCTTCCATTTCTTTCATCAATATTTTATATTTTTCAGCATATCAATCTTTTCCCTCCTTGGTTAAATTTATTCCTGAATATTTTACTCTTTTTCATGCTATTGTAAATGGTATTGTTTTCTTAATTTCTTTTTTGAATAATTTGTTGTTAGTGTATGGAAATGCCACTGATTTTGTATGTTGATTTTGTGTTCTGCAACTTTACTGAATTTTTTAATTCTAACAGTTTTTTGGTAGAATCTTTAGGGTTTTCAATATATAAGGTTGTCATCTGTGGAAAAAATTTAGCATCATCATTTCTGACTCGGATGCCTTGTATTTCTTCCTCTTGTCTAATTGCTGTGGCTTGGGTTAATAGAAGTTGAATAGAAGTGGCAAGAGTGGACATCCTTGTCTATATTCTGATCTTAGAGGTAATGCTTTCAGCTTTTCACTATTGAGTGTGATATTGGCTGTGGGCTTGTCATATATGGCCTTTATTACATTGAGGTACCTCAATGTATTCTATACCGAATTTGCTGAGAGTTTTTATCATAAAAAGATGTTGAGTTTTACCAAATATATTTTTTTCTGCATCTATTGAGATGATCATATGATTTGTACCCTTCATTCTGTATATGTGGTGTATTTTATAGACTTTTGTTTATTGAACTCCCCTTGTATTCCAGGTATAAATACTACTTGATTATAGTATATAATTCTTTTCATGTGCTTTGAATTTGGTTTGATAGTATTTTGCTGAGGAAATTCCATGTTCATCTGTGTTCATCAGGGCTATTGTTCTGTAATTTTCTTTTTCTGCAGTGCCCTTATTTGACTTCAGTATTAGGGTAATGCTAGCTTCATAAAATGAGTTTGGAAGTATTTCATTATCTTCAATCTTTGAAAAAGTTTAATAAAGATTGGTATAAGTATATTTTCTGAAAACAGCAGTACAAAACTAGAAATCAATAGCAAGAGGAAAACTAAAAAAATTCATAAATATGTAAAAATTAAACAATATTCTCCTGAACAACTGAGTCAAAGAAAAAAATCAAAAGCAAAATAAAAAAAGTCTTTAGACAAACAAAAATGGAAATACAACATACAAAAACTTACGGGATGCAGCAAAGCAGTTCTAAGATGGAAATTTACAGCAATAAATGCCTATAATAAGAAAAGAATCCTCAAATACGTAACATGAATTTATACCTGAAGAAACTAGAGAAATAAGAACAAACTAACCCAAAAGTTATCAGAAGAAAGGAAATAATAAAGATCAGATAAAAAATAAATGAAATATATATTAGAGAAACAATAAAAATCAACAAAACTATGAGTTTGTTTTTTGAAAAGATAAAAGTGATAAGCTAGATTGAAAAAAGAGAGCATTCAAAATTAGAAGTGAAAGAGGAAACATTACAACTGATTTAACTATACAAAGAATCATAAGAGACTATCATCAACAATTATATGCATATAAATTGGATAAACTAGAAGAAATGAATAAATTCCTAAAAACATACAACTTACCAAAAGTAAGTCATGAAGAAATAGAAAATCTGAACAGACCAATTACAAGTAAGTTTATTGATTCAGCAATCAAAAATATCTCCCAGCAAAACCTAGGACCAGATGGCTTCACTGGTCCATTCTACCGAACATTTAAAGAAGAATTATTACCAATATTATCTTTTATAGCAAAAGGATCCAATCCAAAGTCATGTGTTAAATTTATTTGTCATAGTTCACTAACATCTTTCAATGTGAAAAAATTTTTAGGTTTATCATTGGCTTTTACAATCTTGATATTTTTATAGATTACAAGCCAGTTACTTTCCATGTTTCTCAATTTAAAGTTTTCTTATGCTTTCTTGTAATTACATTGATGTTGTGCAATTCTGGCATAAGTATCTATGTGACCTTTTTATTCCATTATATCAGGTGGCATTCAGTTTTAATTTGTCTAGTTACTAGTGATGTTAACTTTGCTTACTTAATTAAGGTGTCATTTTCCAGTTTCCTCTAAAGTATCTCCTTTTCCATTGTATTAGAAAGTATTTTTAGAAGGTAGAGTATGGCTATATAACTATTTCATCTGCATTCAAATTTCACCCACAAGTCATGACATCTATTGATTTTTTTTGTCTAAATTATTAATTACTATGATGGTTACCAAATGATAATTTTCTAATTCTTACTCCTTCAACATTTATTAGTTGGTACCCTATTGTAAATAAATAATTTCTCTTCTTTCCATTGGTTAACTTATTTATATCAGGTTGGACCTATGGGCTCCCATTATATTTATTTGGTTGTCATCTAAGATTATTATTATTATTATTCATTCTGATACTTTAATAATCCCAACTCTGACCAGTTTGGGCTCCTTTTTGCTGACTTCTGTGTCCTTTTGACATATACTCATCATTATTCAGTATTTCCTTACTTTGTGACACAAGACACTCTAGGCTTATCTTTTTCTTTCCTTTCTTTAGCTTTGGGCTCAACCATTTCTCCATGGAGTTCTGTTTGCATTTAGTGGAGAAAGGTATTTAGAAACCAGGATGTGAGCACTAGTGGTGCTCCTGGCTATTGGGTTAACACTGCTGCCAGCCTTCTTGGTAAACAGAACTAAAGCGTATAAACACGCACATATTTCATATCCTATGTAGGTATATACATATACATGTGTATGTGTATGTGTATTTGCATATAAAAATATATTTATAATGTATACATATATTATTTATGAATATATACATATATTTATATGTATATGTTCATATATATGTGTATATATGTTCATCTATGCGTGTGTATATATGTTTATCTATGCGTGTGTATATATGTTCATATATGCGTGTGTATATATGTTCATATATGCATGTGTGTATATATGTTCACATATACAAACATTTTATATGTACACATTTATATCTATGTTTATTTCTATATCTATCTATATTAAAACCATGAGTTTATAACTGTACCTTCAATTGTAATATAACATCACATGATTCATTCTAGTTTTCTTCTTTCCTTACTTTCAACTCCCTTCCCTGAAAGTAATAAACCTTCCTCATATTAACTTCAATATATTTACTTTTTGGATCAATCCCCTCTATGTCATCAATCTCTCATCACTGCTTCTGTCCCTTTCTTTAGATACCCTTCCCATGTCACTTGAGCTCCTATACCTTACACTGGGTGATGGTTTGCTCACTCCTAGGTGGACACCATTTACAGTCTCCTTGGGCTCATCATCTTGCTCAGTCTTTGACACTGTGGTCAGACTGTTATTGTTCTCTACCCCTGCCCAAGTGGATGGCCTCCTCACCCCACCCCTGTCCAGGTGAATGGCTTCTGATAGCTTCTTCTGAGTTCCTACCTCCTTGCTACCATTACTACCACTGCTCCCCAACATAGAGACCTATGAAGGAAGGAGGGAAGCGAGAAAGGAAAGGATCCATTTTGAATGTCACTGGTGCCATCATCCTCTCAGTTTCTCAACCAAAAATGTTGGCATCGTTCTTAAGTTTTTTCTTTCTCTCACATCCCAAAATTGAATTAATCACTGAAAATCTGTTGACATCCCTCATTGTTATTGCTTCCAAGATAATTTAATCCATCTTCATCTTTCTTCTGATTTATTTTAGTGACCTCCTTAGTGGTATCCTTGCCCCACCATTTTTGCCTTTCTATCATCAGTTTTTCACAGCAGCAGAGTGATCTTTCCAAAATGCAAATGACGCATGTCACTTATGTCCTTACCTAAAATCTACCTACTTTGCTAGTCTGTTTTGTATTGCTATAAATGAATACCTGAGACTGGGTAATTTACAAAGAAAAGAAGTTCATTTGGCTCATGGTTCTGCAGGCTGTACAAGCATGGCACCCGCATCTGCTTGGCTACTGGTGAAGCCTTAGGAAGCTTAAAATCATGATGGAAAGCAAAGAGGGAGCCAGTATATCACATGGCAGGAGGGAGCAAGAGAGAGTGAGGAGGAGGTGACAGCCTCCTTTAATCATCCAGCTCTTGCATGAACTAACAGAGTGAGAAGTCACTCATTATCTTGAGAAAGGCACCAAGCCATCCATGAGGGATCTGTCCTTATGACCCAAATACCTCCCACCAGGCCCCATCTCCAGCGTTAGAGATCACATTTCAGTGTGCGACTTGGAGAGGACAAACATCCAAACTATATCACCTAGTGACTTCCTATTGCCCTGGAAATAAAATCCAAATTTCTTACCCTAGACAATTCTGTAGGAACCAGCGCTGCCTACCTCTCTGACTTCATTTCGTTAATTTCTACTTCTTACTCATTATGTTCCAGCTATGGTCTTAAACTCTCTGTGGTCTTAAACTGTTTCTGAAGCATGTCCAAGTCTACTTCCATAGGCTTTAGACTTGCCAATCATACTTTTTTTTGATCATGGGATTGGTTTCTCTTTCCTTTAAGGCAGTAATTTAAACATCACTTTCCAGAAAGGTCTGCCTTGACCACCAAAATCAAAATAGCTCTCTTACTATATAGTGACACACTGCAATTGTCTCTATAACTGCTTTATCCCCAAGGCCTGACAAAATGCTTGACCCAAAATGGTGTATAATGAGCATTTGTTGAATTTTAAAAATATTGTCTGCTATCATTACACTATCCTCCTCAAGTAGATGATCAGTACTTCTTTCTTACATTCTTTATGTAAATTTAAAATAAATAAATAAATAAATACACATATAAAATAAGTGTAAGTTAGAAGTATCAACTATCTTAGAGCATTTTAAATAAGCTCAGATATTTGAAAGCTTTGTAACAGACGACGGGCTGGTCTCATTATTAATGATGTGAAAAGGTTTGGCATAAAGCTAAAAGAATATGAGAAAGACTGAATATGCTGTGAGGAGAAAAGTGAAAGACTCAAGGAAAATTCATGATATTTTCTGATTTGTATGAGTGACACTTACTTTGGTTATCACTAGAAATACTGTTTATCTAGATCTGTGATAATCAGAGTTCCCTATGTACCCATAAGAACTGTATGCCAGATGTTCATTTGACACATTCTCTTATCTTTATGAGTGATTTTTTTCTTGAGAGTTTCTGACCCTAGGATTGTGTGTGTGTGTGTGTGTGTGTGTATATATATGTGTGTGTGTGTATGTATATATGTATATATATACATATATACATATATGTATATATACACATATATACATGTATATATATACATATATGTATATATACACATATATACATGTATATATATACATATATACATATATATATATACACATATATACATGTATATATATACATATATACATATATGTATATATACACATATATACATGTATATATACACATATATACATATATGTATATATACACATATATACATGTATATATACATATATATGTATATATACACATATATGCATATATGTATATATATACATATATATGTATATATATACGCATATATATATATATAATCTGCTATTCTAAAGTCTATGTTAAGTATCTGATAATATCGTATCTTTCATACGATATTTGGGGACCCACTATGTCCCCAAATTCCTGTGATTTTCATATTATCAATACTTTTTCCACAATTCAATCCAGATAGTCTTGTTGCTCCTGTAATTTCCAAATGATGGAAAGGCCATCAAGAAAGGGAACACTTGTTAGGGCTCCTCTTCTAAGAGAATGAGACTTGCAGGTGTTCAGGAAAATTGATTTTTTATTGTTTGTGTTTGTTTGTTTGTTTTTTGTTTTGTTTTGTTTTTTGAGACAGAGTCCCGCTCTGTTACCCAGGCTGGAGTGCAGTGGCACGATCTTGGCTCACTGAAACCTCAGCCTTCCAGGTTCAAGCAATTATCCTGCCTCAGCCTCCTGAGTACCTGGGATTACAGGTGCATGTCACCACACCCAGCTAATTTTAGTATTTTTAGTAGAAACGGGGTTTCACTGTGTTGGTCAGGCTGGCCTCGAACTCCTGACCCCATGATTCACCTGCCTGGGCCTTCCAAAGTGCTGGGATTACAGGTGTGAGCCACCACTCCTGGCAGTATTTTGTGAACTATGCCCATGTAATAATCAGTAATCAGAAACATACATAAATATGCTATAAAACTTATTTTCTAATTTTTTCCTAGTAAACAAACCTTGAAAATTTGGTGAGAACCCCAGATGTGTGTCATGTCTTTGTAGGTTTGTGTTTGCTCAACTAGAAACACATCAGTGGTTTTGCCTAATTAATATTAGGTTCCACATCCATTTGACAAAATTATTCTGAATTTGCTCTTGATTTGTAATGTTAATTTTTTTTGCTTATACACACAAGTGGATTCATTAATCATTCTGCTTATCATCCTATAAGATGCTTTACTAACTAAATATCTCCTTTATTTTTATTTTTATTTTTATTTATTTATTTATTTATTTATTTTTAATTTTTTTTATTATACTTTAAGTTTTAGGGTACATGTGCACATTGTGCAGGTTAGTTACATATGTATACATGTGCCATGCTGGTGCGCTGCACCCACTAACTCATCATCTAGCATTAGGTATATCTCCCAATGCTATCCCTCCCCCCTCCCCCCACCCCACCACAGTCCCCAGAGTGTGATATTCCCCTTCCTGTGTCCATGTTGATCTCATTGTTCAATTCCCACCTATGAGTGAGAATATGCGGTGTTTGGTTTTTTGTTCTTGCGATAGTTTACTGAGAATGATGATTTCCAATTTCATCCATGTCCCTACAAAGGACATGAACTCATCATTTTTTATGGCTGCATAGTATTCCATGGTGTATATGTGCCACATTTTCTTAATCCAGTCTATCATTGTTGGACGTTTGGGTTGGTTCCAAGTCTTTGCTATTGTGAATAATGCCGCAATAAACATACGTGTGCATGTGTCTTTATAGCAGCATGATTTATAGTCCTTTGGGTATATACCCAGTAATGGGATGGCTGGGTCCAGTGGTATTTCTTGTTCTAGATCCCTGAGGAATCGCCACACTGACTTCCACAATGCTTGAACTAGTTTACAGTCCCACCAACAGTGTAAAAGTGTTCCTATTTCTCCACATCCTCTCCAGCACCTGTTGTTTCCTGACTTTTTAATGATCGCCATTCTAACTGGTGTGAGATGGTATCTCATTGTGGTTTTGATTTGCATTTCTCTGATGGCCAGTGATGATGAGCATTTTTTCATGTGTTTTTTGGATGCATAAATGTCTTCTTTTGAGAAGTGTCTGTTCATGTCCTTCGCCCACTTTTTGATGGGGTTGTTTGTTTTTTTCTTGTAAATTTGTTTGATTTCATTGTAGATTCTGGATATTAGCCCTTTGTCAGATGAGTAGGTTGCGAAAATTTTCTCCCATTTTGTAGGTTGCCTGTTCACTCTGATGATAGTTTCTTTTGCTGTGCAGAAGCTCTTTAGTTTAATTACATCCCATTTGTCAATTTTGGCTTTTGTTGCCATTGCTTTTGGTGTTTTGGACATGAAGTCCTTGCCCATGCCTATGTCCTGAATGGTAATGCCTAGGTTTTCTTTTAGGGTTTTTATGGTTTTAGGTCTAACGTTTAAGTCTTTAATACATCTTGAATTGATTTTTGTATAAGGTGTAAGGAAGGGATCCAGTTTCAGCTTTCTACATATGGCTAGCCAGTTTTCCCAGCACCATTTATTAAATAGGGAATCCTTTCCCCATTGCTTGTTTTTGTCAGGTTTGTCAAAGATCAGATAGTTGTAGATATGTGGCATTATTTCTGAGGGCTCTGTTCTGTTCCATTGATCTATATGTCTGTTTTGGTACCGGTACCATGCTACAAACGACTGCTCAAGGAAATAAAAGAGGATACAAACAAATGGAAGAACATTCCATGCTCATGGGTAGGAAGAATCAATATCGTGAAAATGGCCATACTGCCCAAGGTAATTTACAGATTCAGTGCCATCCCCATAAAGCTACCAATGACTTTCTTCACAGAATTGGAAAAAACTACTTTAAAGTTCATATGGAACCAAGAAAGAGCCCACATCACCAAGGCAATCCTAAGCCAAAAGAACAAAGCTGGAGGCACCACACTACCTGACTTCAAACTATACTACAAGGCTACAGTAATCTCCTTTATTTTTATATAAACTATTCTAGGTATGTGAATGAAGAGATGAGTTGCCTATTTCAAGTGCATCATGCCCTTTTCCTCCATTGTGTGTGCTGAGCTTAATATAAGTTCATCTCTTAACTAAGTTTTAAGGTGATTTATTGACCTAGGCACATACTGTCCTTTAACTTGGAATAACAACATTTTGCCAAAGGACATTTTTGAAAATAACTTTGACTGTTGGATGAAGAATATTTTGCAGAGGGGCCATAGAAGAGGGAAAGAGGCCAGTTAGAAAGGTACTGCAATCATCCTGGTGAGAGATGATGGTTGTTTGGACTAGAGTGGTAGTGGTGGGGGTGAGAGAAGTGGACAGTTTAAAAATACGCTTTGGAAGTGTTACTAATAGTATTTGCTCATGGATTGAATATGGGTGCTGAAAGAAAAAGAGAACATGCTGAAAGAAATTGTTAAATATCATTTGCAAAACAAAACAGACACATTTTTTTCTCCTTTGTAAATCATTCTAACTACCAGTTTGCTCAGGCAACACTAATTAGACATATGAAAAAGCAAGTGTTCTTAATAACCAAGTCTCCTTGGATAATGTACAGGGTCAAGGAATCCTCTGACATTGCATACAAAATCTTAAATTTATGCATATGATTTTACTAAGAAGAAAGTCCGCAGCTTTTATCATATTCTCAAAGAAGTCTTTGAACAAAAACAGGTTAAAAGCCTCTATTGGTTCATTATCCCGCAAAATTCTGTGTAGCAAATCAGTCCAAAAGTTAGTGGCTTAAACCACCCTTATTTATTCTCACTCATATGCTTGTGTACAGCGAGTAATTCTGCTCATCTCCACTAGTCTTGGCTGGACTCTGCTCCAGGACATGGATTCAGGTCAGACCTGCTCCTGTGTCACTCATCCTTCTGGGTCTAGTAAGCCACTTGAGGTATGTTGTTTTTGTGATGGTAGCAGTACAAGAGTGAAAGCCCAGCCCAGCAAGAACATTTCCAGCCTCTGCTTGTGTACCACTGCTGACATTCCATTGGCCAAAGCAAGTCACAGGCAAATCCCAAAGAAAAGGAATGAGGAGGTTCGATGCAGCATTAAGTGGGAGGGACTGCAAAGTCACATGGCAGAAGTCACTGATATCTTTTTTGTTTATCACTGATTTTTTATTTTCCTTTCCACACTTGTACTACCCAAAATGTCAAGTTGGCGTTTTGTGGAGAATGGACATAC
Source organism: Homo sapiens (assembly GCF_000001405.40). Taxonomy (NCBI): domain Eukaryota; kingdom Metazoa; phylum Chordata; class Mammalia; order Primates; family Hominidae; genus Homo; species Homo sapiens. Next base: position 42,678,113 of record NC_000011.10, on the reverse strand, counting down.
CAATTTCTCCTACCCTTGTAGCACCTCTTGCCTGAACTTTGTACGTCAAATTTTCCTCAACTATAGTCCTGATCTTTGGATGTGGCCTGATGGAGACTTTTGTAGTCAACCTTCACAGAGACAAAAATTCAATAAAACCAACACACATGCACAATCTGTAAAGAGTTATTTCTACTCCTTGCAATACAATTTCAGTTTTCCAGCAGCTAGGTATCCCCTGGAGCTAAAGGGTCTCAAAACTCAGAATATATTCTCTTTCTCTCCAACTTCAACTCATTCAAAGCTGGAAATATTTTATTCTGTATCTTTTGAATCAAAACGCAGTAAGATGATCTACATACAAAATCAGCTAGCAAATATACGCCCCTTTCTCCCTCTGCCAACAGGATTAAAACTCATCTGTGGAATCAAGAGTTCCCTGTAATCACATCCAACCAGACTTCAATCAAAACTCAGGCATATGAAAGCCTCTTAGTTTCAGATGTATTTAAAAAAATTTCCTTTCATTCTCTGAATCTTTCTTGAAGAATAAACTTTGTGTCTTTTAGAAATTATCTCCTGTTGCAGTTTTTAATCTTTTCCTCTCACCAGGGCAAAGATTGAAGCAATCTGTAATTAATGTCTTGAAAAATATTTTGTTGAATTTAAAAAACGGACCCAGAGACCCAAACAGTAAAAAGCTCCACATACCTACATGTTTTCTTTAATTGAAGAAATGCTAGAGAATTCTGGAAAAATTGCTAACATCCCACGGCATTTCCATACTGACCCATTAAAGGATATGAAGGTCTGTGTATCAGTATTTTAGTGGCTCTCCTGATGGTATAAAGATGGATCAATAATTAATCTTGGATGTTTAAGGTATGTTTTTATTTGGTAGCCAGGGGACTTACCTAGATGACCTCTTTGCATCCCTTCCAATTTAGACCTAACCAAGTTGACTTAATTAAACAGGATTTTCTTTCTCCTTCAAAGTTACCTGTGTTAAGGGAGAAAGGATGTAAGTGTATCTCTGTGTATCGATTTCTTTCCTTGTAGTATGTGTGAAGGAGAAACATCTTGCAAAATCTTTCCTTAGCATAGGAATCAGTAGACAATCTAATTTTAAAGACACCAAAACATAGGGGAATTAATGTGCGACTCTGGTACACATTTGAATCCTGACTTCATGACTTACTCTGTGACCTTAGGTTAGTGGGTGAGCTGGTTTAACCTCAATTTCCTTCAGACATTTTTATGGGGATTATGGAAAATCATGTATGTATAGTCTTCAACCCAATTCCTGCCACAAAGTAAGCACTGAAAAACATTGTTTAATTAGAAATTGCTGTATCTACTAGCTTCATTTGTATATTCACAAATAAGAGGTGATATGGGATGTAAAATGAGTGAAATACTGATTTAGCTTTGTTGATCAAAAACACATTTGAATGAACTATGCACAAAGGCTTATTCTACCTTCTGGTGACATGGAGCACTCCTATTAAATGGCATTTTAATGAAATACTTCCTCAAAGCAACTGATCAGTATATGCTTCTTACTGGGGTCTAACTAAAGTATGGGAACACATAATCAAAGGGTAATCAGAGTCAAGGGTGTTTGTTTTCAAAGATCTAGAAGGGGAAAACTTAAAATCAGATTTTAAATAGGTGGAAAGAAACAAGGAGGCATACATCTCTTTATTACTTATCTTTTATTTATCTTTTATTTAGTAGGCCCTGTCCTGGGTGCACTGAGGAAATCAAAGGCGAAAAGACAAAGTCTCTGAGCAAGCAGGACTCTGTCCTAAAGCGTGTTTGCACCCACAACTTTGTGCTTTGCAGAAAATGCCTGAAAATCTACCCTCTCCTGGTAGTGGGAGGTTTTGTGGGGGGCGGATGGAGGGGAATAAAAAATGATGCTGATGATCTGGGTGGAAACATTTGGGGAAACATTTCAGAGGCCATTCTGAGGAATTTGTGAAAAAAAATAAGTAGTAAAAATAAGAGGGAACCATAACAGATTCTTAATTTTTTTTTTTGTAAGAAGGGATGGAATGAAAAAATGATATTGGAGGATGCTTACTTCAGCAAATATAAATGCAATTGACTAGACAGGGAAGAGAATGGGGTTATGTGGATATTTATATCTATATCAGAAACAACTTCTTGTTAATTATACACCTGTTGTAGGTAGCACAGTTATTCTCTCCATTTGTGGAGTATGAGACAGTTAATTGTAGCAGTGAATGAGACATAGAAGAATCGCTAGGTCACAAGAGTCACTTTAAAAGTTATTTTTAAAAATCCTGTGAACATTTTTCCAATATCTGAATTTATCATGGATTATCTTTCTTCCCTTCAATTCTTACTTTAGTGGAAAGACATTTAAAAAGGGAATAATTAGGACCCCAGCTCCAAGGAAAAGATATCTAGTCAACTTACCTATTTCTAGAACAGGTCCCAGTCACAGCCAATCAGAGAAGCTAATATCTATATATCTTAGGACCTTGAAATGATGTTTACTTTGTAGACACAGAGATTGGGTGGGAGAGAAAAATGATTTACTGTTATTCAAAGACAATACTAGATTTGACATTTTCCAGTGACTTTCTCAGAAAGAAATAAAAAGTGTTTTAGCTTTTACATTTTGAAGTGGTATTTGTAATAGTATATGAAATGCTATTTATAATACCACTTTTATGGACTGTATATGTCCTCCCAACTTTCATATGTTGAAGCTTTAACCATCAGTGTGACCATATTTGGACTTAAGGCCTTTAAGGATATAATTAAGGTTAAAGGAGGTCATATGGGCAGGACCATAATCCAATTTCAGTATGATTGGTGTCCTTATAAAAGGAGAGAGAGAGACACCAGGGATGTTTGTACATAGAGAAAAGGCCATTTGAGGACACAGCAAGAAGACAGCCATCTGCAAGCAGGGAAAGAGGCCTCAGGAGAAACCAAACCCTGCTGACCCCTTGATCTTGGACTTCCAGACTCTGAAACTTGAGAAATAAATTTCTGAAGCTTAGCTACCCAGTCTGTGGTATTTTGCTATGGCCATCTTGAGAAACTAATACAACCTCTATATACAGAACATAAATATGATATTTAAATATAACAGTATGATGTCCATTTTACATTTTTCTTCAATAAAATGAACCTCTATTGAAAAGGTACTGGGCAGTATCCCTATACTTTTAAGTGTTTTAAGGGTCACAGTTTTGCTTTGTGATTGTTACTGTTCTTGCCTAAGGACACATAGCTGGGAAGTAGCAAAGTTGGGATCCGACCCCAAGTTTCACTTTACAAATATGATTTTTTTTTGATAAGTGTATGCTAGATTCCACTGAATGGAATCTAAAGCACACTGCATTTTAACTCATCATCCTTATTGTGGGACATCTGGAAATAGTATTATGACACTGCTCCTTTAATTCTCTTTCTTGAATTCAGACACTGTATTACTACCTCCTAGCAACACTGATCAACTGAAAACAGAGCATCTGGTTTTGCTGCAGGCAACAAGCACATCACTTTCCATGAACACACATATTATGGACTCATGGTTAGGAAAACCTTGCATTGTGTTTCAATTTAATGGCTATTACTTCTTGTTCAAAGGTCTTGCTGTGTGTTCCATTTTCCCTCCAAATGTCGGAGGGGAATGGGAAATTGAAGCGCCATAAAACACTTGGAGGCTTCATTTATTGCAGATTAATTACACAATCAAAGGGAAATAAGGAGCAGGTCTTCTGTTTTCAAACCCTGGGAAACTAGTATGTAGCAGAATGAACCAAATAGACACTTAGTGGTTGAGATTTTTCATGTGCAAGAGAATCAAGTTCACAGGAACAGGACTGAAATGTGTGGAACTTACAGTTTCATGAATAATGTACATGAGGATAATGTAAAAGATTTGTTCACTAAATCCTGAACCTCTAGATTGAGGGCTTTTATAAAACTCTCCAGATGATGTGCAGCCAGTTCAGGAGGTGAAAAATTAGGAAAACAGCCTCGTTTTAATGCCTGGATGTTTTTGTCTAAAAGGCACCCCTCATTTTCAGATGATCAACATTCCAATTGACTTAGTACCTGCACACAAGGATGTGGCCTTCCCCGTAATACTATTTCAACTCTTCCCCTCTCTCTCTCACCCCCACAGCATAGCCACAACGTAACATAAATACTGTTTATGTAACAAGGAGTATACATGAACGGTAAGAGGGAAGCTGTTTCTTCACATCATTTTCTTTTCTGGTACTGGATCATAACTAAAAAGAACCTGGGGACTCATTTCTAATAGAAGAGATCACTTGTACTATATGTGGAATTGCTTCTGCACCACTGAACTCTTCATGTGATTATCAATGCAATGGTGACTTCCTAATAAACTTGGAACTTCTTAACTTCTTGTTTATTTGGAAGGCCCAGCATATGGTGGGTGCATGAGGAACTGGATGGAGGCTCCTAGACAGGCTCCTGTTTCTTTGGCGGCATTAAGGAAGCATTTGGAGAGATGGCAGGGGGGTGTCTCTGATGTTGAGGAATGCGCCAGAAAGGGTGGCTTACAAAATCCTCTAGGTCTATCATCATTTGTCTTTGTGCCGTGCCTGCTGTGAGACTCAGTGGACATCCCGTGACTTATTTTCAGTCCGCACTGTCTTTTTTTGTTTTTACCTCTAATGCTCTTGACTCCGTGGGTGTGATAGCTGGGTGCTTGGCAAATAGTTGTCTTTGGATTCATAAAAGGAAATTCTACCCAAAGAAGAGCCAAAAATCAGTCTATAAAGGATGCTACATTGGCATCTTGAGATGATTTCTTGGAAAAGTAAATAGCATTTTTATTTCTGATAAAATGGATTTGTCACAGCTCCAGGAATTTTTTTGTATGAATCCATACTTGTAAAAGGCATCTGACCAATATATTAGTTTTATAGGAATAAAAGTCTGCAGTTTATTCCATTTTTAAGTAATGATAATAACAATAAATTGGGTGATTATAGCATATGGATAAGTGAAATAAATGACAGCAATGTCATAAGAAATGGGAGAGAGGAATTGGGAACACTCTATTATAGACACCTGAACTACACATGAAGAGATATAGTGTTATTTTAAGTTCAATTTAGACTACTTAAAAATGCATGTTGAAAACTCTACGGCCATCACTAAAAAATTCAAGAAATAGGCTAAGAGAGGAGTTAAAATGGAATAATAGAAAGTATGTTATTAAAACCAGAGAAAGCAGAAGTCACGAGGAAAGAAAGAACAAATGCAATAAATAGAAAACAGTTACAAATATGGTAGATGTTAAACCAACAATATTAGTAATCACTTAAGTATGAACGGTTTAAATATTACAATTAAAAGAGACTGCCAGAGTGGTTATAATGGCCGATTCTAGGACTAGGGCAGAGTATATACAAGATGAATCTGGAGCAAATTTTAGTGTAAGAAAGTAAAGAATTGCTCTAAAAAACAAAATGCCAAATGCCCACAATAATGTTATATGTCAAAGAGACACAGGAAACAACTGAACAGCTCCTGAGGCACAAAGCTGAAAAAATTGCCGCAACAAAATATGGTAATGTTGGATTATATTTGAAAGTATTAAATAAATATTTATAAGTGCGCACTGATATAACTAACTAACTAATTAACTGGATAAATGCAGAAAAGAGTGCTGAATGCAGAAATCCAAGCAATTCAAACTCTGCCCTCCAGAAAGTAGAACAAAATTCTTCCTACTCCATCAGCACAGACTGTTTATAGTGACTTCCTTTCAAAGAGTACAGCATGGAAAGGGAAAACATAGTACTTTATAGCAGAGAAATCTGACAAACACTACCTCAAAATCAACAGATATAAGTCATGTCGACAGTATATTCGTTGATATGGTGTGATAAAAATGGCACTTTTCCTCAGCGGTCTTCCTCCCAGTCTAATTATGAGAGAACATCAGACAAATTCCTATGGAGGAACATTCTACAAAATACTTGAACAGTATTTCTCAGGACTGTTAAGCTCTCAGAAGCAAGGAAAGTCCGAGAAACGGGCACAGTCAAGAGGACCCTAAGACATGACTACTAAATGTAATGTGATATCCTGGGTAGGATCCTGGAACAGAAAAAAGACATTTATGGAAAACCTAAAGAAATCTGATTAATATGTGAATTTAAGTGAATTAAAAAAGTAATATGTAACTAACAAAAAAAAACATGAAAAATATGTAATTATTTTAAACCTATAGAAAACACTGGACATATGAAGAGAAATAAGACTGCCCTACAAAATGTATATTTTGATATATTTCAGTCTTGTAAAAATGAATACATATATATCTAAACACATAATTATGGGACATACATATCCTTTAGTATTCTTTCCCTAAAAACAAAGTCAAATGAATGTTAAACAAATTTAATATATATATATACACACATGTACACACACACAAGTGGAATTATACTTTTATGAAGTCATATATGCTGGTTTTTCATTAATTTATCATAATACTTTTTTCCATTCCATTAGGTATTCATAGAAGAGATGGTCTTAAGTTCTCCACACTACTTGACTCAGTGTGATTTGTTTAATTAGCCTGCTGTCTCTCTTTTTTTTCCTTTATTTTTATTTTAAGTTCCCAGGTACATGTGGAAGATGTGCAGGTTTGTTACATAGGTAAACATGTGCCATGCTGGTTTGCTGCACCTGTTAACCCATCAGCTAGCTATTAAGCCCAGCATGTGTGAGCTACTTTTCCTAATGCTCTCCCTCCCCCGACCCCACCCCATGACAGGCCCCAGTGTGTATTCTTCCTTTTCCTGTGTCCATGTGTTCTCATTGCTCAGCTCCCACTTATAAATGAGAACATGTGGTCTTTGGTTTTCTGTTCCTGAGTTAGTTTGAGGATAATGGCTTCTAGCTGCATCTATGTCCCTGCAAAGGACATGATTGCATTCCTTTTTATGGCTGCATAGTGTTCCATGGTGTATATGTGCCACATTTTCTTTATCCAGTCTATCACTGATGGGCATTTGGGTTGATGCCATGCAATTAGACTGCTCTCTTTTGCTTGATAGTCCTGTGTGTGCTTCAGGTGCACAGGTTCATTGTGCCAGGCTGAGTGTTTTCTGCAGTTAGGCCTACCTTGTCGGGGCCACGTAGATCATGCTAGATAACTTTATAGCCTGTGAGATCTTAGTATCTGTCTCCACTGTTTCATTGTGTGTGCTTAGGCAAGCTTCTAAACTTTTCTGAGTTACAGTTATCTCCTTCATAGGGCTGCTATAAGAATGGGACAAGGAACATAGGGGTTCTTGTTATAATATCTAGTACATAGAGGCACTCAATGAATAAGAGTTACTTTTGTCTACTTCTTAAAGTAGAATGAAAAGTTATCTGTGCCCCAGGGTGCCCCAGCTTCAATAGGTTCCTGATGCCCAGTGACTTCAGTTTAGGCAGAAGATCAAGACATATGCATATTCAACATGGTTCACTTGCTTGAAAGGTCACTGGGAAGATGGTGAGAACTACCAGTTCCTGACAATGTGCCAACCACCATGCTAAGCCCTCAATATTTAATAAATGTTGTGTATACTCCCAAACTGCTCAAGGTATCATTATACCTTGCCTAAGCTTTGGTTCCTCTTATTAGTCTGCTCAGACTGCCATGTCAAGATACCATAGACTTGTTGACTTAAACAACAGATATTTGTTTTCTCACAGTTCTGAAGGCTGGAAGTCCAAGATCAAAATGCCAGCAGGGTTGGTTTCTGGTGAGGCCCCTCCTTCTCACTTGTAGATCGCTGCCTTCTTGCTGCATGCTTACCTGGCTTTTCCACTCTGTGCATGCAGAGAAATATATCTCTCTGGTGCCTCTTATGTTCCTTATAAGGACACTCATCCATCGAATTAGATCCCCATCCTTATGACCTCATTTGCCCTTAATTATCTCTTCAAAGTCCCCTTCTTCAAGTAGTCACAATGGAGGTTAGGGCTTCAACATACGAATTTTAAGGTAACAGATTTCAGTACATAACAGCTCCTAGGTGGTAGAGTCAGGATCAAAATGCAAAGTTACACTTCAAGAATGGCATTGCTTATGGCGGGAAGGAAAACATGTCATTAGTCAACATCATGAGCTTTCATTATCATCCTCATCATCTTTATGCAAAACTAATGAACTGCACTGTATCTGCAGCCATCATTTTTTCTAATGGCTCTGTCTTTTCTTTGAGCTGTGGTTAGATCCCTTTTCTGAAATGATGTCACACAAATGTCAGAAGAAGCTAATGAATTGTGACAACAGACTAAACGGGGCTGCCTGTTAGTGGGAGGGCATTATGGGCTCCAGCTGTGCACATCTCTCCTAATGACAGCAAACCTTTGATCCCGGAACTTATACACAGTCTGTTAGGATCCATAAATTCAATCTTGTGAATGGCTTGGGTTATCTTAGGGGTGTTCTGAAGGCTAAGGTTTATTACTTCTTATCCTTGTATGGCTTTTGGTCAATTTCGTTCTCTGTCTGCTCTTCCCTTACTTTTACATCGCAATCCCCTCCCTGACTCTTTTGGTATCAAGTGCAATTTGTAGTCTTGTCTGAAGCCACCAGCTCACTTCACAGATGGCGAATTGCAGTCGAGAGTAATAGGCCTATTCGGTTCAGCCCAGAGGGTATATTAGTGTCTGATAGCCTGTAACTGCTGAACATTAGACATCATTCACACTGCTCCAAGGCCATCTGTAGGGCCACCTCTCCCTCCCCTTCCTCACACTTCTCCATTCCTCTCTCTACTGCTATCAGATCTGAATTACAGAAAAGTCATGAAGCCATTAGGAATTAGCCCTGGGACTGTGGAACAATGAGTTTTTGTTACTGGTCTGGGTCAGTTTTGCTACAACTAACTGAGCAGACTGTTGGAGCACTTGAAAGAGAAGTCAAGGAAACACTAAATCCAAATTTAACTGCTAAGAGTACCTGATTCTTCTCTTAGAAGGATGATCAGTCCCAAGCTCTCTAGGAGGCATCTTTTCAAATAGAAAATCAGAAATCATGCAGCTGGTGGGGTGTGTTTAAAAAGCATCTGAAGTATTAGTTACCGTATGTACAACATGGTGCTGGCAATACTGATGCTACTTTCTGGGCTTTATCCTAATTAAATGAAGGAAGGTACATGAATATGTCTAGCTTAATGTTTGGCTCATAATAGTATAAATCATTGTCTTCCTTCTTCCCTCCCTCACTCTCTTCCTCCTTTTTCCTGTCTCTTCCTCTTCCTTTATTTTTTTCTTCCTTCTATCCTTCCTTCTTTCATTTCCTTTTCTTCTTTTCCTTCTCTCCCTCTCTCCCTCCCTCTCTTTCTCCCTCTCTCCTTCCTTCCACTTTTTCTCATCCCTCTCTCTCATTTTCCTCATTTCTTGAGTGGCCATATACACTAGAGGACAACTAGTGGCTGGGAAAGGACTTCTTTATAGTCTGTGCTGTATTTGAGGTGTGCTTGGGCATTTTCAAATGCATCTTCCTCTTCAGTTTCACAGCTTTGACATGCCCTCTGAGGAAACATTGGGAATCTTTTGGAACAAATTTAGAAATTTTACTTATTAAGACTGCCATAATATGACAGCTTTTCAATCGTAGGAATGATCTGGACCAACCCCAGCATGGAGGGTTGCATTCCCACTCACATCTTAGACTGCGAGGTTTCATCAGCATTGGGAGGAAATGAGGAAAGGGTAAGGGAAAGAGTGGAACTCACCACCCATGGCTAGAGGTTTCTCAGCTATGGGCAAGGGTAGCACAACTTGTCTACATAGATTTTGAGAAGTATTACTCACAAGAGGAAAGGAGAATACAGTAATTATCAAAATCAGACTGCTAGTCTTGGGGCCGTGGAATATTAATGTTGTACAAACACATGGCATCATCTAGTTCAGAAACTTGAATAAATTTTACTTAATTTGTTCTCAGTCATTTTATTCAGAGGCAAAACTGACAAGGACAACCCTGAGATTAGAACCCAGGTTTTCTGGCTCCCAATCTAGAGATTATTTTTTAAAATATCCCACATGGACTCTGTTTAGGTGCCACTCTTTGGCTACAGTTCCAAGCTGGTTAGCATTTTCCCTTACCTTTCCACTTACCTAGGCCAATATCCTACATTTAATGGTAGAGTTTGAGGGGGCTGAATAAATATGAAGAAATAGTAATTTTATTTCCCATCTGTATTTTGAGGTAACTGAAATATAAGACAAAATAATAGGCAAATAGAGATGACCTATAAACTTTATCATTGACAAAGCTGATACTGAAGAGTGAGGTTCAGGTGGGCGGTGACACTGACCTGCCTAATATTGAATCTCTCCTCTAGAAATCTCACCATGAATATTTCACTGTAAGGAAGGGAATGGAAAAGAAGTCAAGAGCATTTATTAAAAAAAAATTATTATCACGGAAACTAGAGGAATGAGGAATAAGGATCCTCCTACATGCCTCCCTCCTACCCCTTCTAAGGAAAGATAACAATCAAACCCTAAGTCCAAATATATTGTCTGAAAAAGAATGTGATATTTACAACATGTCTAGATCTTAGAAATTCAAAGTAGCTGTTCTGCTTTACTTCTAAAAGTTCTCATTCCTTATTCAAAACTCACAGCAGAATCTGGGCCTTATAAAAAGACAATAAATTAATATGATAAAATTTGCACTAATGAGCCATTTGGAGAGGGCCAAGAGAGAAATTCATGGTTATTGAAGGCTTGCACTCTCTTTGAGTAACCTAGAAAGACAACAGCTTTCTGGAAATAATGTCTCTGCCTTTAGTTGTCTATCTCAAAGGGTGATCATATATAATTGATGACCTCAACTGGAATTGCAAGCTATTTAAACTCAGCAGTGGCCTGGATTCAAAGTTTAATATTTCTGCCTTATGTTCTTCAGATATCTACATTTATTTGTTAAAAAGAGTCACTGATGGAATACTATAGTACCTTTTATCATAGAATACATTTTCCTTATCTTTTCCCTGGTAAATTTTAGTCGTCTCCTTTTCTTTGTTCTCATTTTTTTGATGCTACCCGTTGGGGAGGTTTTCTCTTTTTGTCTTTTTTTTTTGAGACAGAGTCTTGCTCTGTCACCCAGGCTGGAGTGCAATGGTGAAATCTTGGCTCACTGCAACCTCTGCTCACTGCAACCTCTGCCTCCTGGGTTCAAGCAATTCTTGTGCCTCAGCCTCTGAGTAGCTGGGATTACAAGCACACACCACCATGCCTGGCATATATTTTTATTATTATTTTATTTTTTGTATTTTTAGTAGAGACTGGGTCTCACCATGTTGGCCAGGCTGGTCTCGAACTCCTGACCTCAAATGATCCACCTGCCTTGGCCTCCCAAAGTGCTGGGATGACAGGTGTGAGCCACCATGCCTGGCCTCCCACTGGGGAAGTTTCTAAGCACCGAGATGCCAATAGGAATGGCACAAGATGCAGAGAACTGCTCACAGAGAGAATCTGGGAGGAGACCTCCCAATACACACATCTCCAAATTAAAATGGTGGTCACAGGGGCAACATGTGGGAAAAATTCTCTTTATTTTTAAATCATGATTTGTTTAGAATGTCCATTTAGGAGGTGAATTGAGCAGTATGCCATCACTCCCATTTCCTAAGATTCTGTTAACCACATTGATATTTATATTTATTTTGTATTATTAAGTTAATAAAGTATTAAGTATTTGTTAAGTTGTGTCAGGACATCAAAGAACCATAGAAAAGGAATTACAGGAAAGGAATACTTCACACCAACAGCAAAACAATAACTTTAGATCTAAACAGAGGAAAGAGCAGTGTTATGAAAAACCATTTGGTGAGATCTCATTTGAGTGGGGGGTTATGCACATAGAGTAACCACACAAATTTACATCTTAGAGACAAACTGCCTTCACAAATGTCAGGTCCTGTTGAGGTTTAAACCCAGTTGCTGTCATTTATTCTTCAACCCTCAAGTTTTGTGATGAGCTCAGCTCCTTTTCCCTAAATATCCATAGTTCTTGTCATTACGCTCTCCCTTGTAGGTCCTGCCCAAAACCCATGGAATCCCTTTAGGAGAATGAATTTAAGCATCTCTAGATCCAGACAGAGATTGAGGGCTCAGCTTCTTTGACCCTTTGCTTACTCTATTCTGCCTTGCTTTTTTTATTTCTAACAATTAGCTTCCTGCATTCTTTATTCTCCTATACTTGAATCACTGGGCTTACTTAGGAATCTAGATCATTTATGCCTAAGGCTATTGCTTGCCCCTTTCTCTCAGGACTGAAATCTTATCCTTCAAAGGCAGTCCTTGCGTCTAGTCCTTTATTATCTGCTGGACCTGAATCCTCTAATGGGCTTGGATTTACTTGCCCTCTCCTCCAATGTGATCCTCCACACATTTGCTTAGGAATTCACCTGCTGGCCCCGGACTCAGGTATCTTTTTCCCTGTGTAGTTCAGGAGTTGCATACAGACATAGACCAGTATTTCCAGAGCAAACTCGGATTTGGAGGCTTATATGCAGGAAGTTTATTAGAGAAGTCCTTGGAGAACACGAGGGAAGCAGGATTTGACAGAGTGGAATTGTGGTCCCTTCTCAAAAAGGCCTCAGCCAATTCCACAGAAGCTTTAGCTCTGGGAGAGCTCTTTGGAGTGGTGCTGAAAGTGGGCAGCAGGGCCAGGCCTTGATATGTCTGCATCTGCTGGTTGTTGCACTGAGGTTGCACAATCTTGGCAAGGAGGCTCTCTTCAGATGAGGGACACCCCTCATTGCTGCCAGCTATCACTACTCAGAGTGGTTGAGGAATGAGTCCTGTAGGGATGTCAAGCAGTGGACACATCACTCACCACACAGTGTAACTCCAACGTCTAAGATGAGGAAAGACTGTTTCATTACATGGTTCATTCAGCAGCTCACCTGTGTCATAAAGCTTCCACTTGCTCTCTGAATCTCGCCTCAAAAATATCAGTATGCTCTCTGCAGTCTTGGCGCTTAGATGGCTACTGCAGATGCTGAAACCATATGAAACAATATTCAGTGGCAGAAGAGGAACTGATTTATCCCAAATGTGTCTTGGTAAAAATGAGGATAACTTGATATCGAATCTTTTTAATGTGCTTCTTTACAGTTCCAATTTTTCAGAATTGAGTCACAGTCTTTTGCCAACTCGTCACTGCAAAGGAGATGAGGCTGTTATGTGAGGCTTTGTACAAACGTGACTCACTCCTGCAACAAAAGGTGGGGCTATCTTTCTTAAAGCACACGAAAGGTGGATTCTTAGACAAAATTGGGGTTTTTCCAAGAGGACAGGATGGTAGTTATGTCAGCAGAGTAAAAAATGTCTGCAATATGTATTTAGGAGGTTAAAAAATTTTTCTATAGTAATAATAATACTAAGAATAATATTATATTCTTCCAGGAAAACAATTATTATTACTACTAGAACAGCTATTCTTAAACTTGTGCATGCATATGAATTGCCTGGAGAACTTGTGAGCACGCAGACTCTGATGCAGGAGTCCTGGGGTTGGGCCTGTGATTCTGCAACTTGAACAAGCTCCAACAGGTGCCAAGGCTGCTGGTCTGAGGACCACACTTAGAGTTGCAAGGTACTAGCCTATCTAATATTTACTTAGTACTTAACTATGTGCCAGGTGCATTTTAAGGACTTGTATTAGGTTATCTCTTTCAATTGGCGTAATGATCCTGTAAAATAAGTACCATTATTATCTTTATTTTACTAATGAGAAAACTTAGGGAGGTTATACTATAGGGGGGATTCTAAGTCTGTAATTCTTGTTCTGTGAGATGTTTGGGGGACTCAGGGAATTCTGTAGACTCCATAAAGCTTTTGGGGACTACAAAGTAACATGTTTATGGTTCAGGACCCCCAAAAGATTGAAACCATATACTAAAGGATTTCAAAGATCCCATCTAGTTTGGAAATAAAAAATCTGATATCCTTTTTCTTTTTGCAGGATTGTAGTCTCCAATATATCTTAGAACACACTTTTAATAAAAAATGCTCAGATCTAAGTCCAAATTGAGAGCATAGGGTCTTGGTGTTTGTCACAGTTTCTTGCCTTTATCTGAGAGAAAAAGGTATGAATTATCATTAAGTGATGCTACTTGATCACCTTGGCAGTAGACAAGATGAAAGGATCCAGGAGTCTCTGAGGTTTTGACACCTAGCTGATGAAGTCAAAGAATTATTCTCATGACTTTTTTAGGGAACTGACTTTTGGCAGGGACATGACTTTTTTAGGGGACTGGCCTTTGATGAAGCTTATAGCTGCCTACCTCTTCTTCTTCTTTTCTCCCGTCCCTCCCCCAAGTTTCTCCAGGACTAAGAGACCTCAACTTGCTCCAGGACTAAGCTGCCTAGAATTTCATAGAGACATTTAAACAGTAGGAAGGTCTGCAAAGAATCTGCCTTCTGACACTGTCCATCGGCTGAATAGGGCCTGTCAGGTAACCATGTAACTCTTCTTCTGCCAAAGAAGGTAGGGGAGGGTCATTGTCTTGCTAGTTAGTGTTTTTGCACGGTCAGCTTCAATTAAGCTGTAGCTGGAATGAGTTTATTTCATTTGTCTGTGTAACTTTGCTAGTACCACAGAGAATAGAAATAGGAAGCCAGCATCCAATCGTAGAGTTTAGACCTCTGTGCAGGGCCAGCTCCACAAGGGCCTTGTGCGTAGTTTAATACTCTGTTGTTGACGTCTTGTAATTCTTAACAATATTTGAACAAAGGACCTCACATTTTCAGTCAACACTAGGCTCTTCAAATTATGTAGCTGTTTCTGCTCCAGTGATCTTCAATCCTTCGTTCACACAGGATTCAGAGTGTTTTGCATATAGTTCCAAATCCTAGGGACACTACTCTCTTCTTGGAATGAGAATATTGATTTTCAATTGCTGTGTAAGAGGTGGCAAGGAAGAGGATGCTGGCATTTGATTGGAGCCTGTGTGGTGATACTTTTAGTTAACAATCTGCAGGAAAAATTGGGGTAGAGATAAGAGACTCTAATATCTATGGAGCATCTACTTTGTTACCTGGCACTATAAACTGTTACGTTATTTAATCATCTCAATAATTCTCCAAGGCAAGTATTTTATGGATGAAGCTAAGAGAGGCTAAGTAACATACTCAAGATCATACAACCAATAAATACAAAGGTGGGAATTGATCTTAGATCAATCTGGCTTTAAGTGCAGGTGAATACATTATCTTCTGAACATAGCTGGCTATTTAATAAATTTATTTTGGGTTGGGCTTAAGAGAGGTGAAAGGATTGAATGGAAAAGTGCCGTAGAGAATTGGGGAAAAATGCTTTTAGAATCTCATGTTTGAGAGAGAAAGCTGAAGAGGTCATACCAAAAACTGAAACTGGATGTAATAAGATGTTAAAGTGAAAGCCTTATGGGCATCTCATTCACAGGGAAGTGCCAAATGCAGATGCACTTTTTAAAGAGGTAGCCAAAAAACTGATTATAAAACACTCAGACTCCTTATCCACATTAGAGGTTAGAAAACAAGGCAGAAAGAGTAAAGATCAAGAGAAGCTTTGTAATGTGGAATTCTGGAATAAGCTTTTGGTGTGCTACAAATCCCACCATGCACTTCAAAGGAGATGGGGTGGGGGTCCCTTCTATGTAACTCAAACTTAATGACTGGTTTCAATGGTCTGGGTTTAACAACTGTCCTCTTTGACTTGGAGGACATGGTGGCCTGTTTCTAAAAACTACTTGACAAATATAAATAGCCAGAGCCTGATCAACCAGTTGCTTTGGAGTGAAGCAAAGGCATGATCCTGCAGTATGGAAAAAACCTCATCTTTCCAAGGTATAGGGGAAAGAATGAGTGAGTATTTCCCATGGGCCAGAGGCAGGAGAGGGAACTAGAATTCAATACACATTAAGATGACACAGACATGTGAACATTCTTCAGCTAACAGAAATTGATGATATCACCAGATTCATAGGGACTAACAAGGGAGTAAGGGAACAGCTGAACTGAGATTTATTTGTCAAGATCAAGAAAGCTGCAGACAAGGACGTCAGCAAGGTGGCAGAATAGAAGGTCTCCAGCTCATGGCACATTTTTTTCCCCAAAGAAATAACAATCTGGCAGCCACTCACTGACAAACGTGCCTTGGTGGGAGTGTTGGGACCCAGGTAAAAGATTGCAAAATCCTGTGGCAGGAGCCCACGGCTGAGGAGGGCCACATTTAGAAGACAGATCCATAAGACATGTTCACTGATCGTGGTCCTGGCTATGGACTGGAAGCAGCCCCATCCCCCTGCAGACTCAGCTTTAACCCCACTTGCCATGGTCCTGACCCTAGCCCCATTTGTAAAGGGATCCAGGAGGAGCCACTGCCGTCTGTACCCCCAGTAACAGGCATGCTTACCTCAGACCTGACTACAGATCCAGAAGTAGCCCTGTGACCGTGCTCATGCCTTGCTCTACCATGGTCTGGGGCAGGCTTGCTCACTCGGATTTGGCTGCAGAGACGCTGTCTATACCTCAGTGGTAGGCCCACCGACTTTGGACCCAACTGTAGACTCTGACGCACCCCTGTGACCTGCTCCAAACCTGGTCTTTCATGGTCCAGGGAGAATCCTATCCACTGAAGGACCTGGCCAGAGCCATACCCATCAGCATCCCAAGTAACAGTCTCACTGACCACAGGCCTGTGGACTCAACCATAGATCCTAAAACAGCCATGTGACTTGGTTCTGGCTTCTCTCCACTGTAGTCCTGGAGGCAGTTCTGTCTGCTCAGAAACCTGGTGGGATCTGCAACCCTGGTAACAAGCCTGCCATCTGCAGTCATAATTGTGGACCTGGCCATGGCCTCATGACTTTTTTTCTTTGGGTGTGACACCAAAAGCATAGGCAACAACAACAACAACAACAACAAAATAGACAAGTAGAATTACATTACATTAAACTAAAATTCTTCTGTGGAACAAAGAAAACAATCAACAGAGTGAAAAAGCAACTAATGGATTGGAAGAAAATATTTGCAAACCATATATCTCATAAGACATTAATATCCCAAATATGTAAGTAACTCAAACAACTCAATAGAAAAAAAAATCAAATAACAGAATTAAAAATTGGCTGAGGCCATGAATAAGCATTTCTCAAAAGAAGACATGTATTTGGCCAACAGATATATGCAATAATGTTCAATAGCAATAATCATCAGGGAAATGCAAATCAAAGCCACAATGATGATAGATTTGAAATTGAGGGGATGAATATATTAATTAGCTTGATTTAATCACATTGTATACATCTAACAAAACATTACAATGTATCCTATAAGTATATGCAATCATCTGTCCATTACAAATAATATTAATTTTATTATTTTGATATTTCTATTTATTTTTAACGTTTATTTTTGGTTCAGGGGTACATCTACAGGCTTGTTATATGGCTAAACTCATGTTACAGGGGTTTGTTGTGCAGATTGTTTCATCACCCAGGTAGTAAGCTTAGTACTCAATAGTTATTTTTTCTAATCCTCTCCTGCCCCTACCCTCCACCCTCAAGCAGACCACCAGTGTCTGTTGTTCTTTTCCTTGTGTCCATGAGTTCTCATCACTTAGCTCCAACTTATAAAGTGAGAATATGCAGTATTTGGTTTTCTGTTCCTGCATTAGTTTGCTAGGGATAATGGCCTCTAGCTCCATCCATGTTCCTGGCAAAAGACATGATCTCATTCATTTTTATGGCTACATAGTATTCCGTGGTGTATATATACCACATTTTCTTTATCCGATCTGTCACTGCTGGGTATTTAGTCTGACTCCATGTCTTTGCTATTGTGAATGGTGCTGCAACGGACATTCATGTGCATGTGTCTTTATGGTAGAATGATTTATATTCCTTAGGGTATATACCAAGTCATGGGATTGCTGGGTCAAATGGTAGTTCTGTTTTTAGCTTCTTGAGGAACTGCCACACTGCTTTCCACAATGATTGAACTAATTTACACTCCCACCAACAGTATATAAGCATTTCCTTTTCTCCACAACCTTCTCAGTATCTGTTATTTTTTGACTTTTTAATAATAGACATTCTGACTGGTGTGAGATGGTATATCATTGTGGTTTTATTTGCATTTCTTTAATGACCAGTGATGTTGATCTTTTTTATCACGTTTGTTTGCAGCATGTATATTTTCTTTTGAAAATTGTTCATGTCCTTTGCTCACTTAATATTAATTTTTAAAAGCCCCAGTAAGATATCACCTTACACCTGCCATAATGGTTATTATAACAAAGATTAAAGATAAATGTTGGGGAAGATGTGGAGAAAAGGGAACCCTTGTACAGTGTTGATGGGAATGTAAATTGGTACAGCCATTATGGGAAATGCTATCAAGGGTCCTTTAAAAATTACAATAGAAGTAACATGCGATCCAGCAATCTCACTTCTGGGTATATATCCAAAGAAAATGAAGTCAGTATTTCAAAGATACATCTGCACTCCCATGTTCATTGCAGAATTATTCACAATAGCCAAACTATGTAAACAACCTAAATGTCTGTCATCAGACCAACCGATTAAAGGATGGTAGAGTAGAATGGTGGCTGCCAGGGGTGCGGAGATGGGGAAAATGGGGGAGATTTTGGCCAAAGGATACAAAGTTTTAGTTATGCAAGATGAGCAAATTCTGGAGATGTAATGTACAGTACGATGACTATAGTTAAAAATACCATTTTGTATACTTGAGATTTGCTAAGAGGATAGACCTTAAGTGTTCTCACCATAAAAGAAAGCAAAGGTAACTATGTGAGATGATGGCTATGTTAAATAGCTTGATTGTGATGATCATTTCACAATGTACACATATGTCAAAGCATTAAGTTGTAGACCTTAAATCTATACAATTTGTATTTGCCAGTTATATACCAATAAACCTGAAAAAAAGAAAGCTGCAGATAGGAACGTGTCAATGGTGAGTGGCATGGTTTTGCAAAACCAATGAAAGTACCTCCCTGATAAAGAGTCAGCTCTTCTGGAGGCTCAGCCCTGAGAATACAGAAGAAGCCACAAAAGTGCCTGCCAAATAAGAACTTTCCTGCCTTATCACCTCTCCTTGCTCCTCAGCACCAACCTTGGAAGGGACACTCTCCCCTAGAAGGGGAGAGTCTTGAACTTCAAAATAAGTTTGTAATTTTGACTATTGGCTTGGACATTTTAATTTCTAGTCTGTCTACAAAAGGTGAGAAATATCACAGTGTTTACCTGAGTTTGCTCTTAGAAGCAATATAAAAGCTCTTCTCTCTGAGCACATTTAAAAGGAAGCGAGCTACAAAATAAAATTGCTTTCTGGTTACCCTCCATGACTTACACTTGTGGATCATGCTGGCTGATGAGACCTACTCTCTGATTATGGCGGGTGCTGAAGATGCTTGATACCAGTGGAGCATCTAACAATGCAGGTAGGGGAGGCGTTTGGGAATTATGGTGAGGGTGATACGTGGCAGCCTCATCAGGTAACTAGCAAGGCAGTTAATTTCTTCACTTATGCGCTGGGTAGAGTAGAATGATGGTTCCCAGAGAACTCGTATTTCTGGCAGTAAATCCTTTTGGTAGCCCATTCAGTTACCCTTTACTAGACTGGTGCACCCATCCCTCCAGTTGTTGAAAATATTGGCCAGTAAAGGCTCATACCTGTATCCATTTTCTAAGGACTTTTCTTAGTTGATATGAGTCTCTTTACTTATTATAAGTGTCTGGGAGATTAAGCCCACCTCCTAAACTATGGTCCACAGCCAATGCTAACAAATGTGGGGGTTCAAAAGCCCAGTCACCTGGCCTCAAAATGAGACAACTTTGTAAGGCTCTGTATGTTCTAGAATGCCCCCAAGAGTTCAATCTAATTCGAGATTTCAGCAGTCATGTCTTTGCTTAGCTTCTTCCCCTGCTCTATTCTGCTTTCATTTCTCTCTTACAATGTCCTTTTGAGAACATTCTCTCAATAAGTCATTTGCACAAAAATCCCATTTCAGCTGCTGCATCTAGGGAATCCGACCTAAAACCAGAAATGACCCTAAAAGGTGACTTTAAAAGTTGGGATTCTGGAGTTATATCATTTGCTGCCTGAGTGGCAGTGAGGATCCCAGCACTGATAGTAGGTGGAGTACTGATGGTTTCTGCCATGAAGCTGTGGCAGTGAAATGGTTTATTCTTTCACCTGTGATTAATTGGAACTGAATACAGGCAGAAGGGGATACATATGTTTATGTAATCTCACTGAAATATTATTAGGATAATAATTACAGGGACTGTGAACTTGGGTGGTGGTGCAAAGCACCGCTGATATGTTGAAGAGAGAAAATTACAAGTTCAGATCTAGTAATCGCCAACTGGAAGCAATGTGTGAGTTTCAGAGGGCCTCCTTTGAAGCTTTTAAAGAGATCTCACCTTCTGAAGCTGAAAGGTAGTAAGAGCTGATAACTAGTATACTTGGGTTTGGGAAACAGCATATTCCACAATTTGTGAATACTGCTTTTACCAATTTATTAGGTGATAGAGAAAACTACTTATTTTGAAAGAGGCTCAGAGCAAGAAAAGCCTCTGCAGCAGGACCAGACTGCTGCTTTTCCACTTGAGCCATATGGTTCAGCTGATCCCATGTTACTAGAGGTATTTGTAGCGATCAAAAACGCCATGTGGTGTCTCTGGCAAGCCCCAGTAGGAGAGTTACAGCACAGATCCCTAAGGTTCTGGAGCTAGGCCATGCCATCTGCAAAAAGGAACCAAACATGATTCAAAAAATAGCTACTGGCATGATGCTGGGCCCTGGTAGAAACTGGTTATGCGACCAACAGGCATCAAGTAAGTGTGTAGTCAGCATTGCTTATTGGGAACTACATGCTGTTAGATCCACCAAGCAGTAAGGTTTAGTGGACTCCACAGCAATCTATTACAAGATGGTATTACTATTTCTGGAATTAAGTGTGAACAAGTTCAGAGATCACAACTATGCTGCATGAACAGGTGACCATGGCTCTCATGTCACTCACCATTGCTGCACTGATAACCTGCTCTCAGTTCACACCTGTGGCTTCATAGGGAATATTTTGTGATCAGCTGATGTAGGAGGGAACAAACAAACAAAAACACCGTGCTTCGTTTATGCAGGAGTCAGCTCAGATATATTGGTGGAAATCAAAAATACAGTGTGGCTACGCTACAGCCCAACTCATGAGTGGCCCTCTAAAATAGTGGTAAGTAGACATTCTCGCAGTGAGAAGAGTGAGAGTTTTAGCTGGTTTTCTTGGTTATCTACTTTGTATAAACAAAGAAGTGTCCTGAGTTACACAGACTCAGGTGCAGTGGTGAATTACTTTATGGGTTGGTTAGGAGCCTGAAAGGAGCAAGATTGGAATATCTGTGGCAAAGAAGCCTCGAGGAGAGTCATGTGGATGGACCTATGGGAACAGATTCAAAATATGGAAATCTTTGTATTGCATATTAATGCTCACCACAGAATATCTATTGCAAAAGAGTTTTTTTTAAATTTTAAATCAAGTGTATAGGATAACTTGGCCAGTGGATATTAGCCAGTCTGTCCCCAGCTAACCCTTGAATGCACAATGGACTAATAAAATAAAAAGGCACAGTGGCAGAGATGGAGGCTATGCAGGGTGATAGCCTGGATGATCTAGCTAGTGCCATTGCTGAATGCCAAATTTTAAGTAACAGAGAATAACACTAAACCTTCTATACTGTACCTTCCCTGGAGGACACTAGTCATTCACTTGGGGTGCAGTTGATTACATTAGACCCAATACCATTCTGGAAAAGGTAACAATTCACCCAGATTTGAAATGGAACATTTTTTTGGTTTGTTTTACCCAGGAGCATTTTATTTTGCTTAATCTTTAAAAAAATTTTTATAATTATTATTTTTTTTTAAGTTCTGGGGTACAGGTGCAGGATGTGCAAGTTTGTTACATAGGTAAACATGTGCCATGGTGGTTTGCTGCACCTATCAACCCATCACCCAGGTATTAAGCCAACATGCATTAGCTCTTTTCCCTAATGCTCTTCCCTCCCACCCTCGCCCAACAGGCCCTAGTAAGCGTTGTTCCCCTCCCTGTGTCCATGTGTTCTCATTGTTCAGCTCCCACTTATAAGTGAGAACATGCGGTGTTTGGGTTTCTGTTCTTGCGTTAGTTTGCTGGGAATAATGGCTTCCAGCTCCATCCATGTCCCTGCAAAGGACATGATCTTGTCCCTTTTTATGGCTTCATATTATTCCATGGTATATATGTACCACATTTTCTTTATCCAGTCTATCATTGATGGGCACTTGGGTTGATTCCATGTCTTTGCTACTGTGAATAGTGCTGCAATGAACATACACATACATGTGTCTTTATAATACAATGACTTATATTCCTTTGGGTATATACTCAGTAATGGGATTGCTGGGTCAAATGGTATTTCCGGTTCTTAATCTTTAAGGAATCGCCACACTGTCTTCCATAATGGTTGAACTAATTTATGGTCCACCAACAGTGTAAAAGCATTCCCATTTTTCCACAACCTCACCAGAATTTGTTTCTTAACTTTTAAATAATTGCCATTCTGACTGGCATGAGATGGTATCTCATTGTGGTTTTGATTTGCATTTCTCTAATGATCAGTGATGTTGAGCTATTTTCCATATGTTTGTTGGCTGCTTGTATGTCTTTTTGAGAAGTGTCTGTTCATATCCTTTGCCCATTTTTAATGGGGTTTTTAGTATTTTTCTTGTAAATTTGCTTAAGTTCCTTGTAGATTCTGTGTGCAGAAATAAAAAGCATTCCTATACACCAACAACAGACAAGCAGAAACCCAAATCATGAATGAACTCCCATTCACAATTGCCACAAAGAGAACAAAATACCTAGGAATACAGCTAACAAGGAATGTGAAGACCTCTTCTAGGAGAACTACAAAACACTGCTCAAAGAAATCAAAGATGACACAAGCAGATGGAAAAACATTTCATGCTCATGGATAGAAAGAATCAATATGGTGAAAATGGCCATACTGCCCAAAGCAATTTAGAGATTCAATGCTATTCCCGTTAAACCACCATTGACATTCTTCACATAAATAGAAAAAAAAACTATTTAAAAATTTATATGGAGCCAAAAAGGAGCTCATATAGCCAACATAATCCTAAGCAAAAAGAACAAAGCTGAAGGCATCATGCTACCCAACTTCAAACTATACTACAAGGCCACAATAACTGAAACAGCATGGTACTGGTATAAAAATGGGCACCTAGACCAATGGAACAGGATAGAGAACTCAGAAATAAAACCACACATCTACAACGATCTGATCTTCAACAAACCTGACAAAACAAGCAATGGGGAAAGGATTCACTATTTAAAAAAATGGTTCTAGGAGAACTGGCTAGCCATATGCAGAAAGTTGAAACTGGATCCCTTCCTTATATCTTAGCCAAAAATTAACTCAAGATGGATTAAAGACTTAAATGTAAAACCCAAAACTATAAAAACCCTAGGTGAAACTCTAGGTGATACCATTCAGGACACAGGAATGGGCAAAGACTTTTTGATGAAATCGCCAAAAGCAATTGCAAAAAAAGCAAAAATTGACAAATAGGATCTAATTAAACTAAAGAGCTTCTGCACAGCAAACCAGACTATCATCAGAGTGAACAGACAACCTACAGAATGGGAGAAAATTTTTGCAATCTATCCGTCTGGCAAAGGGCTGATGAAATGAAACATTTTTCAGGCATGGTTTGCCTTTTCTGGTAACAGTGCTCTGTCAACACCACTTCCAACATGAGATTCTGTGTAACTCCTCCTTGAACCAAGGGGCTTACTTTATAGCAATGAAGGTACATCAGTGAGCACATGACTGTGAATCCAGATCCAGCGGACCTCCTACATGCCGGCCTTTCTAGAAGCTACTGCCCTGATAGGGCAGTGGAATAGCTCCTTGACAGTACAGCTGTGGTGCCAACTGGGAAAGGGCACCCTGCAAGGATGAGGCACTGTCCTTCAACGTGCAATGTATACCTCAAACCAATAGCCATTGCATGGGCATGTCCACTATAGGTAGAATATCTGGGCTGAGAAATGGAAGTAGGCAAGTAAGTGTCTTATTCTCTATCACTATCTGGACCTATTTGGGGAATTTGTGTTTCCCATGCTTACAACTTCAAACTTTGCAGGTCTAGAATTACTGATTCTTAGAGGGGAGATGCTTCCAGCAGGAGACCCATTATGAGTCTCACTAAACATAAAGTTATGGCTGTTGGCTGGTCACTTTCAGCTTCTCACGCCAATAGATCAGCAGACACAGAACAGAATCACCAAACTGGAGAGGGTAATAGACCCTGAAGGCTTCTGGGGAAGAATATATTTGACATATTCATGGCACTGTTATGCCAAATTTAACTTTAAATTGCCAAATAAAGCAACCATGGACTGATATGGGCATAATAAACAAGTGTGAGATCTCTCAGGGATGAGGATCTGGGTCTCCTATTCAGTCAAGCTAATGGGGGATTTCTGTGTGGTCAAAGAATGATGAGTATTATTTAGTTCCAACCTCAGGACCAACTGCAGTAGCTGGGGCTGAAGTTCATTCCACTAACCCTCTGCTTATACATTTCTCCAGAAATGTGACCATCCGGAATACTGTAGAATATATGCCTGGATGGAGTAGACTTAGTGTAAAATAAAAGTGGTTCTGAGTCTGGGCATGATGGCTCATGCTTGTAATAATCCCAGCACTTTGGGGGTCCTAGGCGGGCAGATTGCTTGAGCCCAGGAGTTAGATACCAGTCTGGGCAACATGGTGAAAACTTGTCTCCACAAAAAATACAAAAATTATCCTGACATAGTGGTATGCACCTGTAGTCCTAGCTACCTGGTGGTGGGGTGGGGGGGCGGTGGGGGCAGTGTCTGAGGTAGGAGGATCATCTGAGCCCTGGGAAGTGGAGGTGCAGTGAGCCATGATTGTGCCACTGCACTCCTGCCTGAGCGATAGAGTGAGACCCCGAGCCAAAAAAAATAGTGGCTGAGGCTATGTTTCACCTGCAACCATATCTTTCTGTAGCTTCTTCTCCTGTTCTATTCTTGTTTGCCTCATTTACTTACAGGTTTCTCTTGAGATGACTCCCTCAATCTGTCACTTCACATAAAATATATATCTCAGGCTTTGTAGCTTATTAAGATGACATACAACCCACCAGATCTGGGAGCATCAACAGGCTTCTGGGGCAAGATTAGAATTCTCTTGGAGTGTAGCATTCCATAGTCAGCTGTTGGCCTTGAGTGAGATTCCTACATCTCTGAATGGCATTTTTCTGTCTGAAACACAGGATTAGCAACACCTTCCTTTGAAGGACTTAATCACACATATACACACAACTCAGCACTGGGTCTGACACATAAGTGTTCAATAAAGTATAGATGTTTTTATTAGATAGTATAATTAGTTCATCCATAGCATTTTTCCTACACTTCACATTTATTTACTCCCTTGAATAATTTTACTTAATATTGGGGAATAAAATTCCAGTTTATTACTGATTAGAATTAATTTGGAGAATACAGCTTAGATATATATCTACAATCAAGCTTTCTATGACTTTGCCATGATTTAAACTTAATTGCAATTAATAGGCAATGTTGGGCAACTGTAAGCAACTATCTTTCTAAGGAATAGAATGTATACATACTTAGAAGATGACTCTTCTCTCGTTTATATTATTTTCTCTCTTTCTCCAACTATGTCATAAAATGATATGATTTTCTGCTTTTGTCCTTGGGCTAGTCGTGTATTCTAATCCAGATGCTTACAAACTCGAGACAACTCTTACATCAACTGTGTGTTTAGCCCAGTGCCTGACACAGACAGTATGCCCAATAAAAGCTTACAGAATAAGTGATATTAAACGTAGCAATATTAAATCAATTCTTGCTGCTAATCACCATGGAGTAAGCTAGTACATGATTATCTATACAAGAAACAATTCAATCACAAATAATTGCTTACAATCTGGAGCATTTTTTCTTTTAACTTTAAGCTAAATTTTTATTTTCTCTGAACCTGGCTTGCTTGCTCTGTCTATCTATCTATCTGTCTGTCTGTCTGTCTGTCTGTCTGTCTGTCTGTCTGTCTATCTATCTTCTGTCTAAGCTTGCTCTATCTATCTATCTATATCCATCCATCCATCCATCCATCAATCTAATCTATTTATCCTCAGTGTGCAGTTATACTGACATTTTTCTGTGCTTTTATGTCAGTTGCCATGGAAAATAAGTGACTATCCCATTCAAACTGTTCCCATGTGATTTTATGTATGCCTATTATATATCAGACTATTCTACACAGACTCTCTAAATTTTGTTAAAATCTGTTTAGCCATTTTTCAAAGATGGCTTTACAGACTCACTCAAGGCCTCACAACTGGTAAGAGGAAGAGTCAAGATTTCAGTTGTGGTCTGGAGAGCTACAAAAAACATAATAAATTATTCAGCAGTGTATTCTACAACAGGCAAATATATGGCTTGCTTTGGTTATCAGCAACTTTCTCATCTCATTCCTAGTTTTCAGCGGTGAAATGACTGATAAGGAAAACATTTATTCCTCGATTCTCACATTTCTGAAGAGGGATATTTGCTTCACCTCTTAGTAGGGGACAATATTAAAAGCAATTCTCCAATACTTTCTGTCCCTATCTCTGTTGTTTCTGTAGGAGTAGGTTTTTGTTTGTGTTTGCTTTTTTTTGTTTGTTTTTAGCTGATTGGTGATATGTGTAAAGCTTGTCATCCATTGAGTAATCTTAAGAGCTAAATGGGTCATCCCTGTATTCAAAAGGCAAAGGGCTCTCTTTATCTCTCTCTCACTTATTCACTTGCTATTGTCTTTACTCTTGCTCTTACTCTTAAGTGTTTTCTCTTACAGTTGGCTTCCATATGAATCAGTAAGAAGTGCTGGGAAATCTTTACTGATATCTACCTTCATTTAGGAAACAGACTAGTAAGACTTCATCAGGGCCTGGTTTTCCAATTTCTCTGACTAGAACTAGCTGGTTAATTTACTGCATAAAGTTTTGGAGAGAGCAGGAGTCCCTGTCATGACCCCCATTTTGAACTTACTAGTAACGAGCAACATTTGATTCTCTGTATTCTCAATTAGTTAAACACTAGAGTCCCTCAAAAACCTTCAATAGAATTATTTTGTTGAAGAATTTACCAGTGAAGCTATTTAAACATGAAATTTTATTGTAGGAAGGTTTTCTTAATATTACAAATTAATTTCTTTAATAGATGGGATACCAATCTAATATCTGATACCTCTGGTATCATTCTTGATAGATTATGTTTTTAAAAACAATTATTAATATCAAGTGAATTTAAATATTTATTGGCGCAGAATTATCCAGATTATCCTTTTATATCTTTTAAATGTCTGTAAGATGTATCGTGATATCCTCTTTTTTACGTGTAAAACTTATAAATCATTAATTTTCAGCTTTTATTCTTTTCTAATAGACATATAAAGCTATGAAATTCCCTCAAAGTGCTGCAGCCCGCAATTTGAACATGTCTTGTTTGTATCATCAAGTTAAAATATTTTCTAATTGCCCTGTGATCCCTTTTATAATTCCATATACTATAAGAGAAGTATGTAGCTTAGTTTTCAAATATTTAGGTATTTTTTAGTTTTTGGATTTGTTTATTCTGATTGGGTTTCAGAGTGGCTTTAAAATATATGTGTTGATGGCTTTCATGGATTTTATAAGATTCTTGACCATTGCCTCTCCAAATACTATTTTTTCCTTTTTATAGTTGATTCCTTATCAAACTCCAATTGCATGTATGTTAAAGTTTTTTTCTATATCCCATATGTCTCTTTCTTAACCTTCTGTGCTTTAATCTGGACATTTCCTGTGTGCCTTTTAAAAAATTTAATTAATCCACACTTCAGCTGTACCAAGCTATTCTGAACTCCTAATTTTAGCTATAGTATTTTTTGTTTCTATAAACTCCATTTGATTTTTTTTGTGACTTTCACTTCTTTGCCAAAATTTTTATTATTTTCTTTTTTCTTTTCTTTCTTTCTTTCTTTTTTTTTTTGAGACGGCGTCTTGCTCTGTCGCCCAGGCTGGAGTGCAGTGGCATGATCTTGGCTCACTACAACCTCTGCTTCTCGGGTTCAAGCGATTCTCCTGCCTCAGCCTCCTGAGTAGCTGGGATTCCAGGTGTCTGCCACCACACCCGGCTGATTTTTGTATTTTCAGTAGAGATGGGGTTTCACCATGTTGGCCAGGCTGGTCTCAAACACCTGACCTCAAATGATCTGCTCACCCTGCCCTCCCAAAGTGCTAGGATTACAGGCATAAGCCACCATACCCGGCCCTATTATTTTCTTAAATATACTAATTGCAATAATTTCAAAGTTAATTTCTGATTAGCTCAACTATCTAAGTTACCTGAAAGTTTATTTCCATTGTGTGTTTTTTCTTAATACTGTTTCTTGCTATGAATGCATGGATACCGGAAAACTACATGAGAAAAACCCAAAATAATTATGATGAGTGAAAGAAGCTAGACTAAAATGAATGCCTACTATTTGATTCTATCTACGTAAGATTTTAGAAAATAAAACTAATCTCTAGTGACAGAAAGCAAACCGTTAGTTGCCTAGAAATGGGATAGAAATCAATCTGTACACATTTGAAACATCGTAACAACAGAAGCTAATAATAAGATAGGACAAAGCAAGTTAAGATAGGGTCGGGAAAGGATCATTTTGGGAAGTTACATTTAATCTGAAATCTAACGTCAAATAATATGTAAACCATGAAAAGAGGGGGAGGGAGGCTGGGTGCAGTGGTTCACGCCTGTAATCCTAGCACTTTGGGAGGCCAAGGCAGGCAAATCACTGGAGGTCAGGAGTTCGAGACCAATCTGGCCAACACAGTGAAACCCCATCTCTACTAAAAATGCAAAAATTAGCCTGGTGTGGTGGTGCACACCTGTAATCTCAGCTACTCAGGAGGCTGAGGCGGGAGAATTGCTTGAACCCGGGAGGCAGAGGTTGCAGTGAGCCGAGATTGCACCACTGCACTCCAGTCTGAAAAGAGGGAGAAGGAAGAAAATATGTTTCAGACAGTGGGAGACATATATGTTGCAACCTGGCACGAAGAAGTAGAATAGGTAGACTAGAATAAATCTCGCTCAAAGGATGTGAGAAGATAATTGTAAGAAATAAGGTGGGAGATACAGTCAGTGGCCAGATCACAGAAATTGTAACTAATTAGTTGGAGTAAGGTAATTAGAAGTCCACCAAAGAGTTTTAAGTATTTGGGAGTGGATGACATGATTCATTTTGCTTCCCAGAAATTAAGATGTTGTGTAGACATAGTTTCAGATGGGAGTAAAATGAGAGACACGGAGGCAGTTAAATCTTCTACCACAGTACACATATTACTGGCTTGGGTCAGGCCGGTAGCATGAGTGTCAGGGAAAATTTTGACTGATTCAGATGTGAGGAGTGAGGGAAAGGAAACAGGAGGGATTGAGACATTTTTTTTCTTGGGTAATTACATTGGTGATTGCACCATTTACTAATATGACATTGGAATAGGAACATGGATTTTGAAGAGAAAATGTTAAAAATCCTTCAGACATGTAGTGTTTGAGGTGTTTATCTTATAGCTAAGTGAATATTTTCATTTCAGAGTCGTATTTATCAATTTGGAGCTATGGAGAGAGAAAGCTGGGAGATACGTGGAAGGCATTGGAAATCAAGGGGTAGTATACAGGAAACAGAAGGCTGAAGACTGAACCCTTAGGAACACCAGGAGCTATGCAGAGGAACAGGATATTAACAAGTGCCATGGAAACTAAAAATAAGGAGGATGTCAATAAGGAAGTGTGTCATCAGAGCCAATTATTAACAAGAGGTCAAGAAATTGGGCAAACACTATGTAGCTGCTTAAGTATTATATCCCATTCATATGCTATTCCCTCTGCCTCCTATGTTCTTCCGCATTTCATTATTTGTAAACTCCTGTTCCTCCTTCATGTCAGTTCAAGGGCCACCTGTTTTGGGAAATTCTCCCTGGGTTTCACAGGCAGACTTTGAGGCATGCTTTTTTATGCTTCCACTATGTTTTGATTCTGCTCATCAGCTTGCACTTTAATTATCTGTCCACAAGCTTATCTCCTAGCCAGCCCGTGACTTTTGCTTTTATTTTCCCAGCATCACTGCATTTCAACCTTGGCTGAATCCCTAGTGCCTAGAGTAGTAATTTTATGGAAGACGTTACAAAATTATTTGTTGAATGAAAAAAAGTGCGTTTGAAAAATATGAGGGAATCTGAATTGCTAATGATGAGAAAAGGCAAATGATGTTTCAGGGCATAGCTATCACAGGGATTGTGACACAAGCTGGTTTAGGCAAATCAGTGCATTTTCCTGGCATCAGCGTCCCCATTAGAAAAATCAAGATGTTGTTTACTGGTGATATGCTATGTTCTATGAAGAGTCCTACTTCAGCAATTATTTTATTTCTGGATTTAAATAAATATTTTGATTTGGAAAAAGAATCTTTCCTTTTCGGTTTGTCTTAGGGTTTCCTCTGATTTTTAAAAATGGGTATTATCTGAGTCTAGAAAGCATTGGATCTCAGTCTCTTTTGTGTCTTCGTTACTTTTATTATCCATGAGAATTCGTGAGCATGGTGTGGTTAAGACTCACAGCCCTAGCAATGTCCTAAATACATGTCAGCAGGTGTTGAAAGGCTGTGGATGAGAAAGTGCCATCACTTCCTGGGTAATTGGAACAAGGCAGAGGACACTGTGCTCAGTGATTTGACAAAGGATTAACCTGTCTCCTCTACTGTAAAGCAATAATGGGCTCATTTGTTACTCATGGCACTGCTTGTCACCACATGACTGGAGTAACACATTCTCTTGCACACCTTCTCAGGGTCCCTGACCAAATAGCTGAAAATGGAGATGTAAAGATGGGAAATTGATCTATTCACAGGACATACTTCAAAGTTCCTGGGTGTGTTTTGCTATAGCCATGAATATTAGTGCCAGCCCAGGTGTTTAGTGGCTCATTAAACTCTAGGGGTAGACATAGAAGATTAAATGGGAGGCCCAAAAGTCATGTTTCTCATTTCATATCCTCTTGTTATATGACTTTCATGGTAATTCATGTTTAGAAAATCCCTAAACATATTTACTTGTAGGGTATTTGTAAAATAAGGTTACTAATAGAACCAAACGTAGTATACATTATTTTTCTTAGTATCTGACTATGAAAACAGAATCAGGACCTGTTGGTAATAGGTAATTTGTATATTCATGTTAATTGATGAAATAGAAGAGTATTTTTTTTTTTTGAGATGGAGTCTCACTCTGTTGCCCAGGCTGGAGTGCAGTGGCAAAATCTTGGCTCACTGCAACCTCTGCCTCCCAGGTTCAAGCGATTCTCTTGCCTCAGCCTCCTGAGTAGCTAGGACTTCAGGCACCTGCTGCCATACTCGGCCAATTTTTTTTATTTTTAGTAGACCA
Organism: Homo sapiens; assembly: GCF_000001405.40. Taxonomy (NCBI): domain Eukaryota; kingdom Metazoa; phylum Chordata; class Mammalia; order Primates; family Hominidae; genus Homo; species Homo sapiens. Next base: position 42,646,496 of record NC_000011.10, on the reverse strand, counting down.
TGTTGGCCAGGCTGGTCTTGAACTCCTGATATGGTAAGTTAAATTTAAGCACTTACCTTTTTTATTTTAAATAATGCTATTTATTTTAAAATTTTAGATATTATATATTGTGTTTTAACTATGGAGGATGATGTCACCATCACAATCCACCCTCAATGTTTTTCTTTTAGTATATAACATTGGCAAAAATATTCATTGTTTTATTCCTATTACATAAGTATTGTTCACTGATGACACTTCCTTTTTGTGCATAGCTATTTATGTTAGTAAGAGTTAGTAAGTCCCTCACTTATTCATTCTCTTAATTTCCTATGTCACAAACTCTTTATTCTCAAGTCCAATTTCCACCCAAATTGTATAGTTTCATTAAATATTAATTAAACAAAAGAATCTGTGAGTTCCTTTTAATTTTTTTTCCAAGCCCTCCTCCTGGAGTCCTTTGACTTTCTGCTCTATCCTGAACTTGCTCTTTAAATCAGCTACACAGCAGTTTTCCTGGGACTTCCCACCTCTTTCAACCAGAATTACAAACACCATTTTCAGAATTCTTTTTCATGATTTGCTCCCTTGCTTTGACGGAGCAAATATCTGAGGATCTTCTTGGAAAAAAGTGCATGAATCATAAATTTTGTGAGCCATGGCTATTATTTAGGTATTTTTCCATCTGTATGTAAATATTTGTACATTTCTTCTCAACTTTGCATTCAGTGACATTACATTAGCAACTTGAAATTGACCAGAGTATATTTGCACCATGGAAGTCAGCAAACACTACAATTCAGTGCTTTTGTTTGTTTGTTTTTCCAGGAGAGCCAGTTGCTAAACATTTACCAGCATGCCACTGCTGCCCCCTGCTACTCATAAGCTTTTCAGGAAGTTTACAGTTTACAAATTGTTGAATTGATTTGTTTCTTGTCAGCATCCTTCTCTGCCTGCACTTGCTAACTGCCTTTCTCTGATCTGTTTATTATTCTTCCAATATCTCCCCATCTCTTAAAAATTGGTTATTTCTTGTTCATACATTTTTATCTCCCAATTATCGGTTGAGACTGGTTTGAAGAGAGGAAAGCAATGTACACACTTTTATATTCCACCATGTATATCCAGATATCCCATAGCCCACATTTAAATTGAAGAAAACTTCAATTTCATTTTTCAAGGCAGATAGCCCAGGTGAAAGATGATGTTGGCTTGAATCGGAAAGGTGGCAGCAGGGATGGAGAGAAGTAGATTGAGCAACTCTTGAGAGTTTCTAAGAATAGGAATGAAGGACGTTTCAAAAATATCTCCCAAGTGTTTGAATGGATAGGTTAATGGGGTGCCATTTGTCATTTAATGAGAAAATGAAACCTGAAGATGGAACAAAGCAGGCCAGGAAAATCAAGAGTTTGAATGTGGATGTGTTAAATCTGAGATGTGTTTGGATTGTGCAAGTAAGGATAGATAGTTGGCAGTTATCTATATGGACATGGAGACAATAGAGGGATGTTTTACGTTTCCAGCCTTCCAACCATGACTTATTTTTTTTCTAGGAAATCTGTTGGGTTTGTGTAGGTGGGTGCATATGTATTCTCGTGACCATATGGGGGAAAGGATCTGCTGATCCATGTGTAACTGATTATGGTGTCTTGGGGATGCTTAGTAAGTTCCACAAAGATGTCCTTTAATCCATCTGGTTTTGGGGCATCCTGATGGAGTCTGATGTTGAAGTTTACTGTTAGTGAAACAGAGCCTTTTATCATGACATCATTAGGGCCCATAATGCTCCCTCAACCACTAGCTCTGGCTGGCATAGCAGATAGTCTAGATCTGGGCAGAATCTTGTATTCTGTCCATGGATAGAGATGTCACACTTCAACTTCTACTATGGGGATACTTCATGAATTCGTGAGGCAGCCACATGAGAGGCCTCTAGACTGTTCACTCAGCTACCTTCTGTTTCCTCCACTGAAAGTACCTAGGAATTTCTAGATACCATCTATGCCTGTGGATGCTGAGGGAGGCTAGTGGTACTATCTTTAATTATTTCTCTTAGAATTACCTCTTAGCTATTTTTTAGCCTAACACTTGGAATAGTGTCTTACTGCACATGGTATTTCTTCAAAGGAAACTGAATTTTTCCCAGTCCATGGCCAGAAAATAAAGCAATGAGCTGTACTGTTCTGCTCTTAGTGCAAACCTTATGGTTATTTTAAACAGCATTATCTACCCATGGCTTTGACCCAGAATGGAAAGCTAGGGCACATGTGTCTCACCACTTCCCCTGCTTCCTTACTGCTGTCGCGTTCCTGTCCAGAACCTGCTAGACTGGATTTATCTTCTATTTTTTGTCAGGTAGTGAGATAAAAAATTGTTCACATCATATCCTCCATATCTCTAACCTATGACTTCTGGTAAGGCTCTGCTTTCAGACCAAAAGCTTTATTTTATGGGAAGGTAGTTTCTGAAATTTGAAAATTCAAGTTTTGTTTTTTTCTTTACAAATTCTACCCTAATGAACTCATAGACATGTGAGTGTTTTCTCACAACTAAGAGGTGAAAGAAGAATCCACAATTCCTTCTACCCTATAATCCTTCTACCCTATAATAAAGGGACCTCTCATGTGCCCTTGCAAATTTTGAAGTCTTGTCATTAAGAACTCTGAGGCACTCTATCTCTGGTCTTCCTGACCCAATGAATACAGAAAACGGGTTGTTTTGTAAGGTTGCACCAGTGTACCATTCACTATTCAATTCCTTTCTTCTCACCCCTGTGTTCTCTTCAAATTTGCCTATTCCTCTTGAATTTGTGAAAATAAAAGGTCAGGAAAAATTAACCTAGTGATTTTAAATTTGTTTACTATCATGATCTTTGACTGTTACAAAAAAAAAAAAGTGCATGGAATCCCAAACTTAGAACAGATGAGTAAAAACCTGCTGGGGTTCCTGATAGAATAGAGTCCTGAAGCCAAGACAAACGGGCCTTCACCTCATCTATTCAGTTATCTCTATGATACCTAAAGCTTTGCAGTGCATACTCTGTGGATCCCTATGTCAACCATTTCTGGATTTGTCATAGATATGACTTTTTTTTTTACCTTTATTTAAATAATTTTAAAAAATAAATAATAGCTTCTTAGGTCTTTAAGACTATCTGTAAACTAACTCCCTGTCTCATGCCTGAGAAAATTGAGGCCCAAAGGAGTGATGTGATTTGCTTTAGGTCATTTGGATAGTATCAGAGCTGGAACTGAAACTCTAATATTCTATTATCTAAATTGATGCATTTTCCACTGTAGTGACCTACTATGAAACTCAGGGGGTTCTTGAAGAAGATCTCTCTTCTTCGTGATCACATAGAGAAAGCTATGTTTAGACTCTGGAAGAGGCATATTTGTGCCAGCTTGTCTCTTCACTAGCCCTGACACATTGTTCATTTAATTTGCTCAGTCTACAACTCCATTAGCTTCATCTTATGGTGGGACTGGCCCATTTATCCCTGTTTAAAATTTAATCAGATGTTTCACTGCTCATCAACACTTTAACGGGACCATTTAGAGCCCTGAATCTACACACATCTCTGCTTAATTACTGCTAGCCAACAGATGTCACTTTCACTGTCCTCTCTTCCTTTTCTCCTTCAGTTGCACAGAGTTAAAAGAGAAGCTTATTCTTTAAATAAACCTTAAAGCAGAAACACAATCAGAGATAAATAGAGAGGCACCAGCCCTATGTTTCTGCTTGATTGGAATCTAGTTGTTTGGGGAAGTGAAAGGCTGTAGTTGGTACCTCATCAGGACCTGAAGCCTGCTTTTGATTTTTTTCTTGTACAAAGTGAAAGGAGCATGGGAAGAAAGAGGGATGCAGAATAGGTGACGGGGCTCTCCTATCTGCCATGTTTGTCATGCCTTTCTTAGCCTGCTCTCTGCTCATGCATGTTCCTTATTCAACTGTGAAATTGGAATCACAAGAGGAGTGTTGCATTTCCATTGCCAACACTCTTCTCATGGTAGAGCACAGAGAAGAGAGACAGCTTTTGAAGCTGGAAAAAGAGATGTGACAGGTGACAAGCACTCTTGGCATATAAAAATAGGTTCAGTTTATTTGGTATTATCATATCCTGGGTGTCCTCAACCACCCACTCTCCAATACATATAAATGTGTTTCCACGGATAATCTAAATAATATCGCAGGTAGCTTCTGAGCATGAGAAATTCCTTTAAAATGACATGTTAATAGCTCTTGGCTTTCCCTTTGAAAACAGTCAAAAAAGAACAGGGTTGTGTTTAATGCCTTGGAAGTATGGAAGAATTTCAGATAACTAATTAGTATTTTTGGATTGAACACGACAGGGTTTATACAGGCTGCTTCTAATCTACTGCATTAGTTATCTAGTGCCATAATAATGCTGCATAACAAACAATCATAAAATTTCAGTGGCATAGAGCAATAAATGTGCTTGCGAGCTTCAGCTGCTCTGACCTGGCTCAGGTAATCTCAGCTGGGCTTGCTTATGTACCTGAAGTCAGATGAGGCTTCACTGGGTGGTTTTGCTGTTTTTGGCTGGGCTTTCTCATGTCTGAAGGTCACTGGATGATAGACTTGGCTAGGATGACTGGGACAACTTGACTCTGTTCCACATTTTCTTGCAGGCTAGCCCAGAGATGTTTTTATGAAAATGGCAGAGGACAAGGGAGCAAGTGGAAATGCACAAGCACTTTTTCCAACCTTTTCTTAAATTATATCTAATAAAATATGTAATTCATGTTTGGCCAAGCTACATTATATGGCCAAGTTCAGAGTCAGAGTGATAGGACACCACTAGTTACATTTTTCATCATCAGTGTTATTATTTTTAGAGCTGGGGTCTGTCTCTGTTACCTAAGCTGGAGCGCGGTGATGTGAGTATAGCTCACTGCAGTCTCTAGCTCGTGGCTCAAGTGATGCTCCTGCCTCAGCCTCCCAAGTAGCTAAGACTATAGGTATGCATAATAATGCCTCGCTAATTAAAAAAAAAAATTTAGAGACTGGGCCTCATTATGTTGCCCAGGCTGCTCTCAAACTTCTGGCTTCAAGTGTTCCTCTACCCTCAGCCTCCCGAGTCTCTGGAATTATAGCTATGATCTACTGTACCTGGCCCATAAGACTATATAAGAATGTTTGTAGATAGAGGGAAGGGTAAATAATTAGGGTAAAGAATACAATAAATCTAAGGATGTAAGACTGAACGCTTCCTGTGTAGTATTAAGAACAAGATAAAATATTCACTTGCACTGCTTGTATTGAACACTGTCCTGGGAAATCTTGCCAGTTCCATAGGTAAGACAAAGATTTTTAAAAAGGCATGCATACTAGAAAGGAAGAGGTAAATCTGTCTTTGTTTATAGATGACAGGGTCAAATATATAGAAAACCCTAGGGGATACACTAATGATACTGGAACTGATAAATGGACTTATCAAGATCACAGAGTAAAAGATCAATATGCAAAAATTGGTTGTATGTATATATGCTACAACTAAAAACTTGAAATGAAATTAAATACAGAAGACTTAGATATATATTTTTTTCTTTTTTTTGAGATGTAATCTCACTCTTGTTGCCCAGGCTGGAGTGTAATGGCTTGATCCTGGCTCACTGCAGCCTCCACCTCCCAGGTTCCAACAATTCCTGCCTCAGCCTCCTGAGTAGCTGGGGTTACAGGTGTCCACTACCATGCTTGCCTAATTTTTATATTTTTAGTAGAGATGGAGTTTCATCATGTTGGCCAGGCCAGTCTCAAACTGCCTGCCTTGGCCCCCCAAAGTGCTGGGATTACAGGAGTGAGCCACTGTGCCCAGCCTAGATATAAATTTTGATGTGTAATGTCTTCACACTTTAAACTTTAAGATACAGCTGAGACAAATTAAATATCTAAATAGATGAGAGTTATGTAATACTCTCAGGTTGAGAAACTCAATATGATTAAGATAACGACTTCTTCAAAATTGTTCTCTAAATTTAATACAATCTACATCACAATTCTAGCAGAATTTTCTTTATAATCTGACAAATTGATCCTAAAATGTATATGGAATTGCAAATGATCCAGAATATGCAAAACAGCTTTGAAATAAACCAAGAAAGTTGGAGGCCTTATACTATGTGATTTTAAAAGTAATTATAAAGATACAGTAATCAAGACCACATGGTTTTGACAGAACAGATTCACAAATCAGTGAAGCACAATTGAGAATCCCAAAATAGAGCTGTATTTACACGGTCAACTGGTTTCTGACAAAGATGTTCCATAGTCTTTTTCTGGAAGTGGATGGGCCCCTTCCCAATTAACAGGTAGGATGTCAAAGATGATGACACTTCACACACCAAGATAATTTGGGAGAAAATGTATTAGGCACAAAGCACTCCTGAGGAGAGCAGGTCAGGCACAAGCAGGTCTACACTGGCTTGAGTGAAGTTGAGAGAGTAGGGTGAGACTTTACACTGGCTAGGGGATGGCACTGGGGAAAAGTTTCCACATGCAGCGTAGGGCTTTTTGAGGTTTGAGTTTCCCACTGGCATCTGCTAAGATGTGGGACAGGAGGGGAACAGGAAGGTGAGTTTTGAAAGCTGTCATCATTTAAACATCAAAACTGGGGTCAATCTCTTAATTACAGGTATAGAAGTGATTCAGTGTGAAAATGATAATAATTTAATAAATAGTGAGATAATTGGATATCCACATGGAAAACGAAGAACCTTGACCCTTTTATCACAATTTACAGAAAAATTGGTTAAAATGAATCATATACAATTTCAGTTAAATAAAAGTATTCCTTTTAGAAAGAAACCTGTTGTGCAACACGGTGACTATGGTTAAGAACAATGTTATTGTATTCTTGAAAATTGCTAACAGAGTAGATATTAAGTGTTTTCACTACAAAAATATAAATACATGATATAATGCATGTTAATTGGCTCCAATTAGCCATTTCACAATGTATGCCTATTTCAAAAACATGTTGTACATGGTAAATATATACAACTTTTATTTGTCAATTTAAAAAGTTTAGATAAAATATAAAAGATCAAATGGTAACAATTCAAGAAGAAAACAGGATAAAATCATTGTTATCTTGAATGAGACAAAGGTTTCTTAGTTTGGACACTAAAAGCACATATTACGACAGAAAAAAAGAAGAAATGGACTTCACCAAAATTAAAAGTCTTGCTAATTGGAAGATACTGTTAAGAAAAATAAAAAAGTAAGCCACAGATTTGGAGAAAGCACTTGCAAAAATATCTGACCAAGAAATTTGATGAAGAGTATAAATAAAAATCCTACAGTTCAATAATAATTCATATAGCTCAATTTTTTAAATGGTCAAAAGACTTGAACAGATAATTTACACACACACACACACACACACACACACACAAAATACAAATAGCAAGCAGTACATGAAAAGATGCTCAACATCACTGGTCTAACAAAATAAAAATTAAAACCACAGTGAGCTGCCATTACATATCCACTGGAAAAACTAAAATTAAGGAGACTGAAAATTACAAGTATTGGCACAAGGATGTGGAACAATTGGAACATTCATATACTACTGGTGGGAATATAAAACATCATTCTGGAAAGCAGTTTGACAATTTCCTACAAAGTTAAAAGTGCCCTTACCAAATGACCCAGCTACTCCTCCTGTAATGCTTACCCATGAGAAATGAAAACATATGTTTACATGAAGAGTTTGACAAGAGTGTTGATAGCAGCATTATTCATAAGAGTCCCAAATTGGAAAGAGCCAAAATACCCCTCAACTGGTAAATTCATAAAAACTTTTGGCATATACATACTGTGGAATTTTTCTGAGTAATAAGAGATCAAAATATTAATTTTTATGTAAAATAGATTAATCTCAAAAACATGCTAAGTGAAAGAAGACTGACATAAATACTGAGTATCATATGATGATTCCACTTATCAGAAATTCTAAAAAAAAGGTAAAACCATTGTGACAGCAGATCATTGTTTTTTGGAGCGTGGAAGGTGGAGATTGTCTGTAAAGAGGCATGAGGGAAACTTTTAGGGTAATGGAAGTGTTCTAAAACTTGATTGTGTTTACACGATGGTATACATTTGTCAATACTCATTAAGCTGGATATTTAAAAATTGTCAGTTTTAAGGCTTCAAATCACACATTAGTAAAGCTAATACTTTTAAATTGGTAAAATTATTTTCTACCGTAGGGCCAGAGGACCCAGTGTCCTTCATATGCCTTCTTACAAATCTCAGTATATCAGGAAATACTACAGCTATGATATCCTACTACTTAAACTTATGGAAGTGTGTCTAATGACGCTAATGGACATCCCCATGGTGCTATGTACACACGACCTGCCTCTTCCCTAAAGAGCAAGTTATTTGTCAGACACTCTGCCTCTTCTTCAGGGCTTACGTTTGGGCCACATGTCTTATTGTAGGAATATCTAGTCACAATGAACCACAATCCTCTAGTGCCGAAAAAAATCATCTAACACCTGTGTATGGATCCCTCAGAAAACCAAAAGGATCAGAGATTATGAAAGTCAGAACAACAGGGAAAATTACACATTCCTTTTCCTTGCTTTGTCTTATATTGCCATTTCTTGCTTTTCTTTTCTTTTTTTTTTTTTTTTTTTTTTTTGAGTCAAGGGTAAACATGTTTATTGATAGGATTGTCTCTCTCTGTTGATTTTTTTTTTGGGAGGGGTCACAAAATCTACCTGATACTGAAGTCTGCTTACTTGTGGCTTGACAATGCTGACAACCTTAGAAACTGTACATTGAGATGCAGGATGGTGGCTACATATTAACATTTATACTGTAGATGGGAAGAGGGGAGAAATTTATTGATTTATGCCAAAAGCCTGATCATTTTTCCAGCAATTGGAGAATAATTCATTAGTAATTACTCATTTGAATTTAAAAGGCTATTTGTGAAGCCACATGTATTAGTCTGTTTTGTGAAGCCACATGTATTAATTAGTCTGTTTTGTGAAGCCACATGTATTAGTCTGTTTTGTGAAGCCACATGTATTAATTAGTCTGTTTTGTGAAGCCACATGTATTAGTCTGTTTTCATACTACTGATAAAGGCATATCTGAGATTGGGAAGAAAAGGAGGTTTAATTGGACTTACAGTACCTCAGAATTCTGAGGGGAGGCCTCAGAATCATGGTGGAGAGTTAAAGGCATTTTTTATTTCTTTTTGTTTTTGAGACAGAGTCTTGCTCTGTTGTCTAGGCTGGAGTGCAGTGGTGCAATCTTGGCTCACTGCAACCTCTGCCTCCTGAAATCAAGCAATTCTCCTGCCTCAGCCTCCCACGTAGCTGGGATTACAGGCACCCACCACCATGCCCAGCAATTTTCTGTATTTTTAGTAGAAACGGGGTTTCGCCATGCTGGCCAGGCTGGTCTCAAACTCCTGACCTCAGGTATCCGCCCACTTGGCCTCCCAAAGTGCTGGGATTACAGGCATGAACCACAGCACCCTGCCTAAAGGCATTTTTTACATGGTGGCAGGAGCAAAAGAAAATGAGGCAGAAGCAAAAGTGGAAACCCCTGGTAAGCCCATCAGATCTCCTGAGACTTACTCACTATCATGAGAATGGTACAGGAAAGACCGGCCCCCATGATTCAATCACCTCCCTCTGAGTCCCTCCCACAACATGTGGGAACCCTGGGAGATACAATTCAAGTTGAGATTTGGGTGGGGGCACAGCCAAACCATATCATTCCTCCCCCAACCCCTCCAAATCTCATGTCCTCACATTTCAAAACCAATCATGCCTTCCCAACAGTCCCCCAAAGTTTTAACTCATTTCAGAATTAACCCAAAAGTCCACAGTCCAAAATCTCATCTGAGACAAGGCAAGTCCCTTCTGCTTATGAGCCTGCAAAATCAAAAGCAAGCTAGTTACTTACTAGATGCAATGGCGATACAGGTATTGGGTAAATACAGCTGTTCCTAATGGGAAAAATTGGCTAAAACAAAGGGGTTACAGAGCCCACACAATCCAAAATCCAGAAGGGCAGTCAAATTTTAAAGCTCCACAATGATTGCCTTTGATTCCAGGTCTCACAGCCAGGTCACGCAATGCAAGAGGTGGGTTCCCATGGTCTTGGGCAGCTCCGCCCCTGTGACTTTGCAGGGTACAGCCTCCCTCCGGGCTGCTTTCAGAGGCTGGCATTGAGTGTCTGAGGCTTTTCCAGGCATATGATGCAAGCCGTCGGTGGATCTACAATTCTGGGGTCTGGAGGATGGTGGCCCTCTTCTCACAGCTCTACTAGGCAGTGCTCCAGTAGGGACACCGTGTGGGGGCTCCAACCCTACATTTCTCCTCCACACTCCCCAACAGAGGTTCTTCATGATCACCCCCTCCCTGCAACACCCCCCACACCCTGCAGCAGACTTTTGCCTGGGCAGCCAGGCATTTCAGTACATCTTCTAAAATCTAGGCAGAGGTTCCCAAACCCCAATTCTTGACTTCCGTGCACCCGCAGGCCCAATACCACATGGAAGCTGCCAAGGCCTGGGGCTTCCACCCTCTGAAACCACAGCCAAGCTGTTACGTTGGCTCCTTTCAGCCATGGCTGAAGAGGCTGGGACATAGCACCAATTCCCTAGGCTGCACACAGCGCGACAACCCCGGCCTGGCCCATGAAACAACTTTTTCCTTCTGGTCCTCTGAATTTGTGATGGGAAGCGCTGCCATGAAGGTCTCTGACATGGCCTGGAGGCATTTGCCCCAGGGTCTTGGGGATTAAAATCAGGCTGCTTGCTACTTATGCAAATTTCTGCAGCTGGCTTGAATTTCTCCCCAGAAAATGGGTTTGTCTTTTCTACTGAATGGTCAGGCTGCAAATTTTCTGAACTTTTATGCTCTGTTTCCCTTTTAAAATTGAATGCTTTTAACAGCACCCAAGTCACCTTTTGAATGCTTTGCTGCTTAGAAATTTTTTCCGCCAGATACCCTAAATCATCTCCCTCAAGTTCAAGGTTCCACAAATCTCTAGTTCAGGGGCAAAATGCCGCCAGGATCTTTGCTAAAACACAAGAGTCATCTTTGCTCCAGTTCCTACAAGTTCCTCATCGCCATATGAGACCACCTCAGCCTGGATTTTACTGTCCATATCACTATCAGCATTTTGGGCAAAGCCTCTCTAGGAAGTTCCAAACTTTCTCGTATTTTCCTATCTTCTTCTGAGCCCTTCAAACTGTTCCAGTCTCTGCCCGTTACCCAGTACCGAAGTTGCTTCCACATTTTCAGGTATCTTTTCAGCAATGCCCCACTCTACTAGTACCAATTTACTTTATTAGTCTGTTTTCACGCCACTTATAAAGGCCTACCCGAGACTGGGAAGCAAAGGAGGTTTAATTGGACTTACAGTTCTACATGGCTGGGGAGGCCTCAGAATCATGGTGGAGGGCTAAAGACACTTCTTGCATGGCGGCAGCAGCAAGAGAAAATGAGGAAGAAGCAAAAGTGGAAACCGGCCTCAGTGATTCAATTACCTCCCCCTGGGTCCCTCCCACAGCATGTGGGAATCCTGGAAGATACAATTCAAGTTGAGATTTGGGCAGGGAGACAGCCAAACCATATCACCACATTTTGTTACAGTTAAAACTTTAATGTTTCCAAATAGGTGTGTCTCAATCTATATATCTTGCTTTCAAGACTGCTTGTCAAAGTGCATGTGCAGGCAATACTTAAAATGTGGTGCTTGATAGTGGATGTGGTGTTGCAAAGGCAGGCTGATACCTACCGGTATGTATTGGTTTATAAATACAGCCTCAAATAATATAGAACCTAACAAAGAGATCTTAGAGGCCATTTAATCCAAACTCTCATTATACATGTTGAGAAAATGAGGCACAGAGATGTTAAATGACTTGTCCGAGTTAATAATGTATGTGACTTTGTATGTTTGGGACTAAAATTGAGGTTTTCTGACTCTTCTTCTGTTATTCTTACCACTACACTACTATATTGTACTTCAAGTCAAATAAAAATTCAGACATCACTGAATGTAATACTGATTGGAGAGGAGCTTCCAGTGAATGAGAACGGTGCCAGGGCCCTGTATTCTAATGGCATGTGTTGATTCCAGCCACTATTTGTGGTGTTCAAAGGAACCCACATCTGCAGGCTCACAGCATTACTCTAGTTAAGAGTCAGAAAGTAACTGAGTGGGGATTAAAATAGTTCCTGGTAGTAAAACAGAATGACAGCCTCATAGAATTTGATTCTGTTTTCAATATTTTATAACAATTTCCTTTTTCTCCAAATGAATGGTGGTTCATGTGGTTCCAGGATGAATTTCTCTTGTAAAGGTTCTTACTCTTTAAGAAATATAGACACAGCCATAAAAACAATTCAGTCTTTTACCTCATTGCCTTCTTTCTAAACTGGTAATAAATTGTTGGCTGAGGCTAGATAGGCACATAATAGGTAGTGAGAAAACCCTCCATCAATGAGAAGATTTATCTGTGAGTAGTCAGAGAAACATTCCTTTATGCAATAAATACTAGAGGTGGGAGATATGGGCCAACAAGGAATGAATTGACTATAAAGAGGCATTTATCAGGATGATGGTAAATATCAACCTTCAAAAAAGGAGAATTCCATAAACCACAGTCAGTACTTAAATTTTTATCATGATATTTTTGACAGAATCTGCCTCATGCTTTAAGCATTTTTCCTTAAACAAATTTATTCTAGACTTCCCTAAAGATTTTGCTTCCAACACTTCTCTATGTCTTATGTTGAAGCCTTATTGCTATGTAGCATTAGCTATATTTTTGGTATTTTTGTTTGGTTTATTCGTTTAGCAGAGTTTGGTTTATTCTACTCTTTCTACCTGGTACCTGTCTGGTTATTACTAATATGGACAGAGAATTTTCAAGGTTACATTTAGTCTTTTGGAAAATGCTAAATGCACAGATGGGGCTCAGTAATTAGCTACTGATTACTTTTTGGAACTGGGTATTCTCCTCCTGCAAGACTATTAACTTACTTTTCAAATGATAACTTTTAAGGTGTTAACTATTTTTTGTGAAATCTTCATTATAGATTTATAGGAGTCTTCCTTCTGTTGGAACTACGATTACTTGTACATTTCTTTACATCATGGAGAGATGTACAAAGTTGTGTAGAAGACCCTTTGTAGATAAGCATCTTTTGTAGATTTTGTATTATAACTCTAAAGGTTTGTTCATTATTCTGGAAGGGCAAGGACTGAAACTGGGCCTAAGTAGTGGAAGATGCATTTCTTTTCATTGACAGCTATATTCGGATTCATCATCCATGTTACACTTTTTTTTCAACCAGAAATTTGAATTGTGGAATATCAGCTCATTTGTAAACTGCTTGCTAATCACCATCTTAACTTTATATGAATAGAAATAATTTGAGGTTGGTGTAAATGTGAGAGATTCAGACTGCAAAGTGCAAGCTATGAATTGACGACCCCACCCACCTACTGCCAAGCACTGTTTTGAACTCCCTGATTAAAACTGGGAAAGTCCAATTTGATGTCTGATAGTGCATTGACATGGTGGGTGGAATACTTGGACTGAATTAATTCAACAAGCATTTACTGGGTACCTTTTATGTTTTTGGATTAGTAGGCTAATGTAATTGAGGCAGAATCACTGCATATCCAGAGCTAAAATTTGCTGAGCACTTACTATGTTCCTGTAACTCTAGTTAGCACTTTGCATACAGTACTTCATCAAATCTTCAGAAAAGTCTTGAAGCAAGTATTGGTATTACCGAAAACTTATAGATAGGAGAAGTGAGACTCAAATAGGGCAGGTAATTTGCCCTGGGTCACTCACCTTATAGCAAAACTGGGAGTAGAGGCCATTCTTGTGTGATTCCAGAGCCCCTGATGGGAACCTAATTGCTGTGCAGCATCACAACTGAAGGGTTTGATGAGCCTCATTCCCCTCTGCAATTTTGCTCAGCGTTAGCATTAGGAACCCTAGATTTTGTTTTGTATTTATTTCCAGTAATTGTCAACCTACTTGCCAATTTCTTTGTGTTCAATAAATGTTTGCTGAATTGATGCATGTCTAGAGAGGGATGCTCCTCCTCATGGTTTCTGCACTGACCTTGAATGGCTTCTCATTTCATTTCTTAAAACAGAGATAATGCAGAGGTACTAAAAAGGACAAAGGCGATCAAATAACCGAGTTAAAATGTGTTTTTTCCCAAACACTAATAACACAACATTTGAATGAAAGTGTTGAACACAACAGATTATTTTTTTCCTCTTCCGAAGGGTACAGTTATTCATGAAGTGAAGGACAAAGGCATTTTGTTGCATTCTTATGAAAGAGAAACATATATCAGAGGGCATAATAAAATTTTCGATAATAGAGTTTTGCCTTTCTATGCCAAGCCTATCTTGCAACATACATTCTTAATGAAGGAAAAGATCAACAAGCCACAGACATATTTTTTTGCGAGATAGAAAGCAATTAGAAAATATAAAAGCGAGGTAAGAAAAAAGCTCCAACAAACTGGAACAATTACAAGCATTATAAGAAAATCAATAAAATAAAATCAAACCTCCTCTTAAGGCAACAAGTCTATCCAAGTATTGTTACAGACTATCTGATTATTACAAAGAAATCTCAGTTTGGAACATTACAGTGAAATTAAATAAAGCCACAGATGTTAGGACAAAGCATGTGAGTCAGCTTTTATGCTTTGTGAGGATGTGACCTCATGAAATATATCCTTTTGCAGAGAGAGATCTGCAGAGGGCGCCAAATTAACTGAATCAGGATAGAATAAACAAGAATTGGGATTCACTTTCAATCAAGTTACTGGTTAGTCATTTCAGTCTTATTCATCAGCCAATAATATTGAGTTAGAATGGAAGGCACAGGATTGTGCTAGATAATGCAGAAAGTGCTTTTCAAACTCTCTGTCCTCCCCACTGATTTCAAAAACTTATTCATCTCTCAAGAGTCATATCAATTGCTACCTCCGCTGGGACATTATTCCTGATTTTTTTAGGTAGAATGAATCACTCCCTTTTCTGGGCTGGACAGCAATTTATTTAGTTGTAAGCTCTCCCATGCATATCTTATAGCTCTTAGTCATTCCACTGTCATGGTTTCCCTATAGCTGTCTCTGCAGGTTAAGAACCATGTCTTATTGACAAAGGCAGCAGAGAAGCAAATGGTCAAAGAGCATTTTCTGAGGGATAAATAAGGGAACAAATCTAGAAAAAAAAGAACAATTGTCTTAAGCTAACACCCCTTTATCAATTTCCACCTATGAAATGGGTTTATATCATTTATTCATTCAACAAATATTTACTAAAAACTCATCATATTCCAGGCACTTTGTTAGGTTTAAGGGATACAGAAATAAGACATGATACCTCAAATCAAGGAGATCTTGGTTTAGGAAATTTGTAGACTTATTTAAAATACTTTACCATATGCCAAATTGAAGGTTATATATTTTCTTTACCACAATTAAATAAAAAAACTGGCCTATTATTTTCAAAAGTGTCAAAGACAAGGAAAGCTTGAGGAACTGTTTCAGACTGAAAAAGATGAAAAAGCTTTGGGAACAAAATGCAATGCCTGATTCTGCAACTGCACCCTTTTGCTGTAAAGGAATTAACTGGAGCAACTGTTTTGAAGGATTAGATGCTAGTAGCATATTAGGATTAATTTTATGATTTCGATGATTTTACTGAGTATGTAGGGGAATGTTCTTCTTGTAGAAAGTTTTTTGGGCAGAAGGAAAATATTACCAGATGGAAATCTGGATTTACATAAAGAATATTGGAAATGGTAAATATTAAATAAAAACAGCAAAATATTTCATGTAGAAATTCACAAAGATGTTTCTAATTTCAGTCACTTCAGTGACTTGATGTTGCCAGAGTTGGTTTTGTTTGTTTGTTTGTTTGTTTCTTGGAGAATGTTACATTCTTTTAACATCCAACAAAATCATTATGTGTGCTGGAACAAACCACTCGTGAGAGGTTTTCAAGGATGAGTGTGCCTTTGTACATGATAGCTTCTCCGGTTTCTCAGAAGTCAAAACCAGTCACAAAGTTTGTGACTTTGTTCAAAAGAAGAGTGGGGCCACTTGTTCCCAGGAAAAATCATTGCACCATCTGGTAAGTCATGGGTAGGAAGGTGAGCATTTTGTACTTTTATTTTTAAAGATAGCTTTAAAAAACACATATGTATATATAACTATAAGGAAAAATAGGATATTACTTATAATAAGAACACACGGAGAGAATTGCTTTAATATTTTAGTGTAGTCCTTCTATCTCTTATGATGCATATGTAGCATGTATGAATTCTACCCTACAACTATATTGGCAAGAAGCATATTTTTGTTTCTCCAAGCAAAATTAAATGAGTCTTTGCATACTTTTCTTTGCATTCCTTTCACTATCATATCTTCCTAGAATTCCACAAGAAATCTAGAGATTTCAATGGTACCCCAAAATGAAGGGCCATCTTTAATCCATCAGAGCTCCAACTGAGACATCCACTGATTAGGTGATGTGGATCTATCTTCTCAATTCTGCTGTACCAAGGAGCTTTATCTATGGCCCCAAAACCACAGCTCTCAACATCATGGCTCTTCATGTGGAGGGTTTCAAAAATCTACAATCCACCTGGACAATGTCCTGTCTCTTGGCCATTCTGCTCCCATAAATCTCCAAATCCCCAACCCTCTTCACTTGGCTCAGGATACTCCCTTGTTGCTGGACATCTCAGGGTTGTATCCCTCACCCTATGCACAGACTTTAGCTTTTTGCTTTTGTGATCCTTGGCTTTTTTTTTTTTTTTTTTTTTTTTGAGATAGAGTCTCACTCTGTCTCCAGGCTGAAGTGCAATGGCACAATCTTGGCTCACTGCAACTTCCACCTCCCAGGTTCAAGCAATTCTTCTACCTCAGCCTACCAAGTAGCTGGGACTACAGGTGTGTGCCACCATGCCTAGCTAATTTTTGTATTTTTAGTAGAGACGGGGTTTCACCATGTTGGCCAGGATGGTCTTGATCTCTTGACCTTGTGATCAAGGTCAAGACGGGCGCATCTCAGCCTCCCAAAGTGCTAGGATTACAGGCATGAGGCACTGCGCCTGGCCGAGCCTTGGCTTTTAACAACAGAACAGCTTGCTTATCTTGAGGAGATCTCTGGATTTCATGATCCTTCTCCCTGAGGATGTGTGTTATATAACTATTTCTTTCTGATTCTTCTGCAGTGGTAAAAGTACCACATATTTTAATAAATTATCCTGCCACAAATCTCATAACTTTGTATTTTATAGTATTTAATTATTTCAGCTTAATTGAGTTCATATTTATTGTGGGACAAACAACAAATATACTACGTGGGACCCAACAATGAATAAATTTTCTGCAGTTGAGAAACTCATAGTTTGGTGAAGAGTATAGTTCCCCACATGACTATATTGATGGTCTGCGGTCCATATGAGTGATGGTCTATAAGGGACCATGTTTCTGAGAAGGAGCCTCTCTTTTTCCTTTGATGTTCCTGTTCCTGTCTGCAGCTCCACACCCCCAGCAGACACACATAAGCACAGGTGCAAGTTATTAACATCTGTGATGCTGCATAGGGAAGTAATTTAGCGATTCTTTAGACTTAGTGATGCCAAGAACCGCAGGTGTTTCTGAAACCTTCCTTTCAGTTGATTTCAACTCTTTTCTCTCTTACAGCAAGAGTGGGAGTTGTTGGTGTCCATAGATACCTGCTGGGTACAGAGACTAGTTCCAGATGCTGCTATAATATGTGGCTCACCCAGGCAGAAATACCCCTCATTAAGACTAAATTCTGCCAGTAGCGATGCTTACTTGGCTTTTCCTACTGTGTGGTAACTGAATATTGACTATGGTTCTTCTATTGGAGCCACCCAATTCCAACATTAGAGCATCTCAGAAACAATTGTTTAATTGGGTCTTTACAAAAACAACAAAATAATGTGTTCAAAGTGCCAACATTTGGAATGAGAATTCTATTAAGAAAGTATATATAATATAAATAGATGACATTTATTGATACACTTGGTATAGTGTTGTGTTCTTATATAAAATTAACCTACTTAATTCTCATAACTTCATGAGGTTGATACTATAATCTTTCATTTTATTTATAAGTAAGCCCAAGCTTCAAGTTGTTATGCCCAAGGTCAACAGAACAAATGGTGACAGAACTAAATATTGTGGTCTCAGCTCCTATGCTCTTTGCATGAGATTTTACTGTCTTAGAATATGTGCAAAACTTTAAATGATATTCAATATGGTTCTGAATTTAAACTATTAGCTGCTTCCCTAGACAAAGTGCCCATATCATTCTTGTCTTTACATAGCCTGCATTGGAATTACTGGTGCATTTTTTTAGAGTACTTATTATAGTTTACAGAAAACTTTTAGTTATTGCACTTCTATTTGCTCCAAGTTACCTATCAGTACTATCCTTATTCACTGACGTCTATGAAAATTTGTTCCCTTCTCCGCTAAATGCCTGCTGCTAATTATTCATGATGGAGTCCATTAATTTTCTATAGCTGCTACAATAATTTACTGCAAACTTAGTGGCTTAAAAGAACACAAGTTTATTATCTTACAGTTTTGGAGTTTAGAAATCTGATGATAGCCCAGGTTTTGCTGGGTTACAATCAAGGTGTCAACAGGGCTGTGTTCCTTCTGGATGTGTTAGAGGAGAGTCCACTTTTCTTGTTCAGCTTCTAGAGGCTACCCATATTCCTTGGATTGTGACCTTCTTCCATCTAAAGTCAGCACTGGCTGGCTAAGTCTTCCTCATGCTATGTCACTCTGACACTGATTTTTCTGCCTTTCTCTTCCATTTTAAAGGACCCATTTTATTAAATTGGGCCATCTGGATAATCCAAGACACTATGTTAGAGTGAGCATCAACCTCAATTTTATCAACAACCTTAATTCTCCTTCATTTAACAACAGTTTCACAGGTTCTGGGAATTTGCACGTGAGCCATGAACATCTTTGGGGACCTATTATTTTGCCTACCACATGGAGAGATAATTTTACCTCCCCTTGTTGGTGTTTACCTTGCTCATCTCTGAACTCTGATTTAAATGCTCTCTCCCTCTCTTCATTTTTCTGTTGCCTTCCGACAACCTGAGAGGTTATATTGCTTTTCTTAGAGAGGAGAGATCCTTTTTTGATTGGGAGTGAGCTAAAATTGGAGCCTGTGTTGAGGAGCACAAAGAGCACTCATAATATGTCCTGTGTAACCCTAATACATTCTCCCTCTTGCTGAAGCACCTAGAAGTCATTTCTGTTCCTGTTTCACCACTGCTCATCCAGTATGACATGAATTAAGTTATTCAGGGTTCTAGGATGGCTTAACTACATAGAGGCTAGGGCCTGGGGCTATAGGGTTGGATAGGTAATTGCAAACTCCGATTTTCAATGAATACAGGGCCATTCTTGAACAGGCATTATTTGCAATAATTGATGTTTTTAGCTTATGGGGCTTTAGGTAATCTGACCTAAACCACTTTGATGAGAAAACCAAACTGCAGAAGACTAAATGACTTTCCCAAGGTTCTATTGAAAACCGCAATTACATTGGCACCAACCTAATATTTCCAATCAATTGCAGAGTTGAAACTGGATTCATGTGACTACTTTTCTACTTCACCACACTTCTTTCCCTTAAGTAGGGAGCCCTTTTACACTGGTCCAGGTGCTTTCAGTGACTTGCCAAGTGTCACAAGGCTCTAAGCTGTAAAAGGCTGGAATCCGTGACTCTTGTTTCTTGTCCTCTAGTCTAGTGTTTCTTCTTCTACAAAATGACAGATCCTGGAATGCAGTGTTCTTAGGGATGTGTTCCGACTCTGGATGAGATATTTCACGTGTGTTAGGTGAATGATGAGATCTAAGTAACTCATTAGGCAAGGGCCAATGTTGGTGACAGAGGTATTGGGTAATAACAGCTGCTATTTTTGAAGACATTTTTCATGCCAGGCCAGGCACTGCACTGACTGCATTACAGGCATTTTGTCACTTGCTCCTCAGAACAGCCTCATGCATCCATGTGGTAAATGATACTGTTTGTCAGCGTCTCATTATCTACTTTTTCCAGGCACAAAGAAACCTATACTTGTGAGCCCCGTGGTGGAAAGAGGTTGCAAGCTCACAAGCCAGTTTTGGCCAATGACACATTTATGGAAGGGATACACTTCACTGCAGGCCCTGAATGATTCTCTAGGCTCTCCCCTCCTCTGTAGCATTACAGAGGCCCTGGTCCTTCTGGCTGAAAGAATGGAAAGTGATTGTGAACAGCTGCACCCCCTGTCAAATGGGGCATGCAGCTTGAGCAAGAAATATACTTGTAGGGTACAGCCCCTGAGCTTTCGGGATTGCAGCCACACAACCTAGCATGAACCTTGTCCATGCTAATATAAGTAGGCATTAATTATCATTAGCCAATAAAACTTAGGAGCAGACAAGTTAAGTAAATAGCATCCCTGTAGATAAGAACAGGGATGCAACAAATCTATGCCTGACTAATTGCAGGGCCTGTGCTATGAATCCACATCACCACACTCTCCTAGTAAAAGACAGGCTAGCAGAGACGCTGCCCCAGCAGAAGGATAAGCTGCTGTTGAGGCAGCGTTTGCACGTCTGTTCAGCCAAGTCTAGTATCTTTGGCGTCTTTTTCACTCTGAGTCTTCAGAGCTTCTTACTTCTCTAAATTCCCTTGTTCCCTTCTTTATTCTGAGCCTGTGCTCTCGAATACCTTCAAACTCTTTAGAAAAATTAATCGCGGTTCTAGTTTTCCCTCCACACTTCAGGGCATTTTGCACATGCCCTTGAATGATTTTCAACTTTAAATAAGTCCCCTGTCTCTGTAATCCCTGAGACGTGTGTCTGCTTCTATCCCTTTTATGGAAGAAAACACTTTGTTCTAAACAAACAACAAACAGAGAGGAGGGAGCTAGTTGGGAAAGGCAGCCAACAAAGAGAAGCTGCTTAGCAGAGACAGGGAGCAACACAGAAGCATCAGTTAAGCTGGAGTAGAGAAAAGAGGCATGAGCAACAAGACACCTAAAGACTTGATCATCTTAGACTCACTTTTCCAGGTGTGCCCACTTGAGCTGTGTTGTCACCCTTTATGCTGGGGGCGGGGCCTGGGGTAAGGGGTAAGGAAGCCACTCTGCGTTTGACTTAGTCCAAGGGAATGACTGTGATTGAAAAAAAAGTAATTGTTGAACAACAGGTTTGGCTGTTTCTGTGCAGCAGGACTCTTCTGGTTTTAGAACCAGACCCAGCTGCTTGCATAAGGCTTATGTCTCTAAGCCATAAGAAGGTAGGATGCTGCTTCAGTCAGTGATTTTAAATGCTGAGCACAGTACTTCATACATACTGATGTTTTAGCTGATAAAACTTAGGAGCAGAAAAGTTAAGTAAATAACATCTCTGTAGATAAGAACAGGGGTGCAACAAATCCATGCCTGACTAATTGCAGAGCCTGTACTATGAATCCACATCACCACACTGTCTCCTCGTAGAAGACAGGCTAGCAGAGAGGCTGCCCAGCACAAGGATAAGCTGCTGTCGAGGAAGCATTTGCACGTTTGTTCAGCCAAGTCTGATGTCTTTGGGGTCTTTTTTTTTAGTGATAGAGGGGTTTAGGGCCATAAATGACATAAGTCACAAAGTGAAAGGAGAGAGAGCTGCACTAGAGGAATTTTTAATCTTCATCCTCCCCCAACCCCTTCTGGAGAAAGCAGTCTTGGAAGGGTTATAAATGCTCAACAAGCTATCATGCTGCATTGGTAGCAAGCTTTTAGTGTAGCCCAGGAAGGTGAAATTAAATCCTATCGGGGAGAGTTTCATGGGCAGATTTCTGGGAAAAAAAAAATCAGACTGTTCCTAGCAGACCTACAAAAAAAGGAAAGATAATTGAATGGTTTTAAGCTTCACATAATTGGAATGAGTTTAAACAAAAGTGAAGGAGCATCGTAAGAGGAAATCAAACAACCTAAATTGTGCCCTGTATTCCATCTCCTTCAGAATCAACTAGAATCTCATTGAAAATGCATATTGCTGGGCTCCACCTTAGACTTAGCATTTGATAAAGCCTTTGGGTAGAGGCTGAAATCTGAGTTCTCTAGGAAAATCTTTCATACTCTAAGAACCACTCTCAGAGAGTTATGGTAGGATGACTTGCTGTAATATTTTTCAATTCTGAGACTTTGCCATTTAGGTTCTAGAACTGCTGACAAGATATGCAACTTTCCACAAATCATTTGATTTTTTAATTTCCTTATCTATCTGGATGATCTCTAATGCATTTGAGGACTTAAAAATTAGTATGTTTTCCTGGGCCCTACCCCTGAACATTCTGATTCAGTCAGTCTAGGGTAATTTATTCTATCAGCCAGGTTTGGAAACCATTGAACTAAATTATCTCTAAGAGTTTTCTAGCTTTAAAATTTTATGAGCTTACATTATTTAAAGTTATCAAAAATATGCTATGACCCATCTTATCCATGTCTTCTTCAGTCAGGTTGTTTTAGGAGCTGGGTCCCTTTTCGGGACCAAATTCTGATTATTTTATTTTTCCAAATCACTATGAAGTAGACATTTTTTAGGAATACTTTTTTTTTCTCTAGCAAATGTAGTACCAAATTACTGTTGCACCAAAAGACGTTCAAGTGAACATCATTACGATGATCTGCATTGTAATGCCCTCTTACAGGAGAGGGTATTTTCTAATTGTCAGGAACTGAGCTCTGAAACTAGCATGGCTCCTCAATAATAAGAATGATGATAGAAGATTGACAATTCTTTGTACCATATCTGTGGACAACACTGTGGGATTTTATGGAGTGGGGAAGTCTTCTTACCATTTTTTAATTTCTTCTCCCAGAACAGAAATTATGGGCCACAGTACATTTTTATCACAATACTTCATACCTTACTACCATGGGGCAAAAATTTCCCTAGTCTGAGTCATTAGTAGAAACACACAAGTCAGGCATACATGACTTCTATGTATAGGGAAAACTTTAAAAGAGGAAATTGGTAAATAACACATTTTTCTACATGTGGCAGATATATACCCTGTATTTTGGAAGAGACTCAGAGAATGTAGTGTATATTATCAGAGAAGGAAAAATTATTATGTGGTATTATTGAGGATCTTGGGCTTTATAAAAAAATTTCCAAAGGTTCCCATTACACAAAGTTAGAGGGTTTCTAACAAAGTAATCTCACCACCACCAAAGTGAGTTATTAAATATAAACCCATATGCTGGTGGCTTTTTTTCTAAACAAAGTGTGGATAGATGTCCACAAATGACCCCTGTCATTATATATTATTTGATTTTTCATTTGATTTTTTCCTCTATTTATTCACTAAGTATTTATTGAGAATCTACTACATATAAAATACTGTGCCCGGCATTGTCAAGAATTTTAAACAGCATTACACGTGGTCAGTACTTTCTTTCAGAGCTTAAAATGTAGTAGAGGATTCAAGGCAAGTTCACATACAAAGCTGTGTGATCACACAAGATATAATAGAAACAATGTCCCCAGGCAGTATAGGATTAAGAGTCAAGTAAGTAGAACAGATGTGTGTCTGGATGTACCTGTGTATCTTCCACCTGTTGTCTCTTACCAAGGTAGAATTTGCTCTTCTGTTCTGTCTGTCCTTTGGTATTAGGTCCAACCCCAACAAAACCATCTTCAGAAAACATTGTGTTAGTAGAAGGTGGCCTGAGCATCAGGGTTTCTTTTTCTGGCCCCTCAAGCCTATTTACTTGCCCAATTTGCCTGAAATTTCTGATGCTTGTAAATCAATTCATGCTGGCAAACTACTTGGTGTTTTGTCCCACAAATTTACCTTGAATATTAGGAATATTTTTGCGCAAGACACAGAAACCTAACTTGACGTAGGGGTGGATAAATCTAAAGTTTAAATTATATCAGCACACATCTCACTCTCTATCTCTCAGCTTTGCTTTTTCTTCATTGATTTTGAACATTAGTAAGCTCTTGTCACGTGGTAGCAAAGAGGGCTCATTGCAGCCCCAAGCTTACATTTCTCCAATGCCTTCATTTTAAAAGGTAAATGCTTGTTTTCCTCACACTTCCTGCAAATCTCCTAGGGAGAGAGGTCACTACCCCTCGTTAACCAACAACTGTGACCTAGCTGATAGGTTTTGTGTTCACTTCTGGACCTGGAGAATGATAGGAACCCAAAGACATGCTGGGCTGGTAAAAATCAGCACACTGTCCTTACAATTTGCCCTTTGGAGTATGACAAAATAGATGTAATTTTATAAATATGCTAATTGCTTTTCCTGCTGCATGTTTTAGCCTACTTGAAAAGACAAAATGCATTTTAGTAAATACAGGTCTGGCTGCAAATAACACGGTACCCAGTGCCATAAAATGTAGCAAGAGAAAAGAAAAGAATAACTCATTTTGTTAGACTGACAGAAGAGAACTTTACTTGAACACACTGAACTCCCATGATTGTTTGGGCTTATCTTCCTTGTTTCTTTTACATTAGTACAAACCACCTTAACTCTATTATGCAATGTAAAATGCTTGTGCTGTCTTTGTATTATTATTTACAGCTGACAGAGATTATTCACTCCATGGGAAGGAAAAATTCTGTCAAGGGAATCCTGCAATAATTAGTTTCAAAGGTAGATGTGCACACAAATGGGGAAGAAAGTAATTAAAAGAAAATGTGCAGGTTGTCATCCAATACATTTGCTGTAGGATAAATATATTTAGTTTTAAATTCCATTGGAAATATATTAAAGCTATATTTTCTCTTGTAATTGAGTTTACTGACACCTGTCTCTGGGAATATTCATAGCATCAGTTTATAAGAGAGTGAGTTTTGGTGGCTCACTTCTGTAATCCCAGCACTTTGGGAGGCCGAGGCAGGCCGATCATGAGGTCAGGAGATCGAGACCATCCTGGCTAACACGGTGAAACTCCGTCTCTACTAAAAAAAATACCAAAAACAAAACAAAACAAAACAAAAAAACTTAGCTGGGCGTGGTGGCGGGTGCCTGTAGTCCCAGCTACTCGGGAAGCTGAGGCAGGAGAATGGCCTGAACCCGGGAGGCGGAGCTTGCAGTGAGCTGAGATAGCGCCACTGCACTCCAGCCTGGGTGACTGAGCGAGACTCCGTCTCAAAAAAAAAAAAAGAGAGTGAGTTTTGGTGTGTTTTATCATTTGAAATTTAGCTCAAGGACCAGAAATGAGCCAGTCTACTTAGAAGAAAAAATGAAGAAAACTATAACAACTTAATCGACTGAAAGAGAACTAATGATTTTGTAGGTTAATAATAGTGGAGAATCTTCTGTATCTATTTCCTTGGTTCCTAATGGAATGTCATTCTGGTATCTTTCACAAGTGGCTACCTGAAATATGAGAAAGTACTGTGGTTTTGGATTTAGGCCAGACATGGATTCCAATCTTGCTTCTGTCATCAACTGGCCAAGTGACCATGGCAAAATCTTAGTTTTCTTGCTCCTGTAATGGAATTCAAATAGCTACTTTATAATGTTGATAATACCACTAATCGAGATAATGTTCTATAAGTGCTTACTGAAGTGCCTGGCAAAACATAGACACTCAGTAAATGTTAGTTCTCTTTGCTTCACTTTCATATGCATTTCCATTTATATGAAATTCTGTAACAGACAGAGATAAATTAAGATGATAGATGCTACCAGCAGAGATTTCCTAGGGAAGCATTGGATGGACTGAAAAGGGGCACAAGGGAACTCTCTGGGGTTGATGGAAATGCTCTGTATCTTCATTGGCATGATGCTTGCAGAGGTCAAAACATTTATCCAAACTCATCAAAGTGTTAACTTACACAAGTTCATTTTATTATTTGCAAATTGTACTTAGAATTAGAAATTAGAAGGTAGAAGAGGGAATGCGAAGGATATGTGTAATTATACAGTATGAAGACAGTCCAAGGCACAAATTTCTATCAACAACTTTCTGTATAGTTGACAATTAGGTATAGAAAGAAGCATTTATAGCTGGGACCAACAGGGACCTGTTCCTGCCCTGGGGCTGTGGTGCCTTCCATGACATCCTCCTCCCAACCTGTGCTGCCATCCCACTCCTTCTCTCCCCTTTCTCCTTTCTTTTCTACCTTCTTCTGCTCTTCCTCCTTTCCTCCCCCGTATGTATTTATTTTAACAGTTTTGGAAAGCACACATACGCAAATGAAAAGCAGCAGAAAAAATACTCACTTATACTTTACCATTTCTACTTCTAGATATTCCATGATTTATATGTTTCTCTCTTACCATAAATTCAAGATGATGCTGATTATACAGTTTTGAAGCCCGCTGTTAACTTATCATAAGCATGTGTCTACTAAAATCCTTTCTAAAGATTATTTAATTAGCAATACATTTCATTATGTAGCATATAGTAATTTAGCGATTCATTCTGTGAACATGGATATTTAGATGGTGTTAATGTTTTGATTTTATAAACAACTGTGATGAGCATCTTTGTATATACATGCTTTCAATTTATTTTCCATTTTAAAATCAAAGTTACACATGAACATATTTTAAAGTCAGCTACTTGTACAAGTCATATTTTATCGAAAAACAACAATAAACAAAACACTCTACCACATCATTCTCCCTTATTGCCACAGGTTTTCTCTTTCTGAAGGCAACGTATTGCTTTTTGTTTTTTAACTTTTATTTTAGATACAGAGGGTCCATGTGTAGGCTTGTTACACGGGAATATTGCATGATGCTGAGGTTTGGGGTATGGATCCATCACCCAGGTATGAGCATAATATCCAAGAGGTAGTTTGTCAATCCATGTCCCCATCCCCTCTAGAAGTCTGCAGTGTGTATTGCTTCCATGTTTATGTCCACCTGTGCTACTTTCTATTATTGTAGCTCCTTTTTGATATTTGCTTTCCTATTTCTAATTAATGTGCTTATTTTGCCACTCATTAATTTTTAAATGTTGAGTACAGTCTTTTGAATCCTCGTGATGAAAAATGAGATTGAATTATCTTTTACAGCACTCCTCACCAGGTACCACACATACACCCATCTATGCATCATCCCAAAAGAGTTGCGAAGGTCTATAACCCATTAAATATTACTTTGTCTTGCTTTGAAAAGGCAGTTATGGCTAAGAGTAGGATTTGAACATTCTTCATTTCTATGATGAAATATTATCATAATATAATCTTAATGACACAGTCTCATTATGACTTTTGACATGTATGAATATATTTAAAGCTATTACATATTGACAGATCAATCAGCTTTTTATGCTCTTGAATGACCTCAGACTACAGTTAGCTTTCCGGAAAAAAGACAGAGTAGGCTCTTAAAGGGTTTCTTGTTGGCTAGGCTTCAGTGTTGATAATAATGCCTATCAGCCAGGCTTCATTCAGAGAAGCAGAACAAAGAGTGTATACATACATGTGTGTTTGTGTGTGTGTTGCAGGGATCTGAACTTATGCAATTGTGGAAACTATATTAGCAGCATCTGAAAGGTTGTAATCATTGTATCTGAATCTGGATTTTGAAATCCACAATGTAGGCAGTTGGGAAGGGAAGACAGGTAGAAAGAAGGGAGAGCAAGAACAAGCCGGAATCTTCAAGCATAAGCTGGAGCCCACACACACACACACACACACACAAAAATTGAAACCTGTACAGTTCTTGTGCCTCATCTTGTAGGTGTAGGTATCCTGGAGAAGCGGGGGAGTTCATCATGGTGCTAAACACACACACCTGCCCAGGAAAGAGAGCTGCTGAAGGAAGACCCAAGGGAATTTAGACCATTTGTAGGCCCAGCTACTGCCTTGTGACAATGAGGCGAATCAGCAGATCCACCACAACGTACATGAACTACAAAATGACTGCTATTTCCTTTTTTTTTTTTTTTTTTTTTTTTTGAGAAGGAGTCTTGCTCTGTCACCCAGGCTGGAGTGCAGTGGTGCGATCTCGGCTCACTGCAAGCTCCAACTCCCGAGTTCACACCATTCTCCTGCCTCAGCCTCCTGAGTAGCTGGGACTACAGGTGCCCGCCACCACGCCAGGCTAATTTTTTATATATTTTTTTTAGTAGAGACGGGGTTTCACCATGTTAGCCAGGATGGTCTCGATCTCCTGACCTCGTGATCTGCCTGCCTCAGCCTCCCAAAATGCTGGGATTACAGGCGTGAGCCACCACACATGGCCAAATGACTGCTATTTCTGCCTGTTCTGGGACAAGGGGTTATCTCAGCATACAAGCCTGGTCCATGTGCATTCTTGCATTCTGGGTTGCATTATTGATGGATGCTTTTAATCATGTTGCAGTTATTGGTCTAGATTAGTTTTAAAACCTAGTATTTTGAAGATTGGCCTAGTTACTAGGTGTGTGACTTGTATAGCGCCCCCCTGCAACAAAAAGAGCTAAGAGATTCCTTGAGAAGAGAAAACCAAAAGTCAGTGACAATATTAAGAATGCTGCTGGGCTCAGTGGCTCACGCCTGTAATCCCAGCATTTTGGGAGGCCAAGGTGGGTGGATCACTCAAGGTCTGAAGTTCAATACCAGCCTGGCCAACATGGTGAAGCCCCGACTCTACTAAAAATACAAAAATTAGCTGGGCATGGTGGGGCACACCTGTAATTCCAGGTGCTTGGGAGGCTGAGGCAGGAGAATCACTTGAACCCGGGAGGCGGAGGTTGCAATGAGCCAAGATTGCACCACTGCACTCCAGCCTGGGCGACAGAAAGAGACTCTGTTTCAAGAACAAAACAAAACAAAAAGAATGCTGTGCTTTTTAAGGGGGAAAGGCAAATGCAACAGTAACATCGTACTTAGTGGTGTGTGTGCTAAAAAACCAAGTGCTCTGTATACAGTGCAAAATATGAAAAAATGTCTGCTGTTTCCAGTCTACCCTCCAAATATCCCACTAGAACATCCCTCAGTGACCTAAAGACAGAAATATAATTTGACCCAGCAATCCCATTACTGGGTACATGCACAGAGGAATGTAAATCATTCTATTATAAAGACACATGAATGTGTATGTTCATTGCAGCACTGTTCACAATAGCAAAGACATGGAATCAACCTAAATGCCCATCAGTGATAGACTGGATAAAGAAAATGTGGTACATAGACACCACGGAATGCTATGCAGCCATAAAAAAGAATGAGCTTATGTCTTTTGCAGGGACGTGGATGGAGCTAGAGGTCATTATCCTTAGCAAACTAACACAGGAACAGAAAACCAAATACTGCATGTTCTCACTTATAAGTGGGAGCTAAATGATGGAAACATAGAGGGGAACGACACACACTGGAGCCTTTCAGAGGGCAAAGGTTGAGAGAAGGGAGAGGATCAGAACAAAGAACTAATGGGTACTAGGCTTAATACCTGGGTCCTGTTGAAATAATCTGTACCACAACCCCCGATGATACAAGTTTACCTATGTAATAAACCTGCACATGTACTCTGAACTTAAAAGTTAAAAAAAAAAAGCATGTCCTTGCACTTCCCCCACCCAACCAGAAACATATAGGAATGAGATTTGTGGAAATGTGGCTCAGCATAGCCAAGGTGACATTTTACAAAGCCATTGCATCATGCAATCAGGTGTTCTTTCTCTCTGAGAACACTGTTTTATAAGACTCTTTGACTCAGTCATTTGCTTCATGACCACAAGCTGACATTGGTAGCCATGCAGACATAGAATTGCTTTCAGGTTCTGATAGTGATGTGGAGAGGACATCACTGTCCAGGACTTCCTATCTTACTGCCAAGCTTTAAATTTGCAAAACCCATATAATCTAAGATAATCCATAATAGCAAGGTTTGTTGCCTCCGAAATGGCAAGGTTAATAAAATACTTTCAAAAATCATCTTGAAACTCCTTTAACAAATGATAACATGCCATTAGACTTTGCCACATAATATGCTTATTTACAGTTTACCCTACTTGTAAACTGACCTTTGTTGAGGACTTGTTATATGTCTGCTACTGTGCGAAGCTTTTTTAGATATGACATCACTTAGTCTACAAAACATATGAGAGACAGGTGACATCAATCCTATCTAAAAATGGGTTAACTGAGGTCTTCCATGGCTAAGTATCATTCCTAATACCTACATCTAATAAATGCTGGAAGGAGGATTGAAACCAAGCGTACCAGATTTTGTTTCGTAGGATGTGAGCACACATTTTGCCCACGTGAATAAACTGATAAACCTTCGAATGGTAAAGAAATTTAACTCACTGTGTATTTTTTTTCAAAACTGCCTTTTAAGATAATTAATTTAGCCAATTCCAGCTGGCAGGAGCTTTTAAAAGATTACATGTAGTAATATTTTATTTATGAGCCAGAAGAGAATATACATTGCATCAATAGTTTCAATGAATCCCAATATTCCTTCTGATATCTTGGCCAACATTGGGAACTATCAAACTATGGTAAGATTCAAACTATGATAGGATATGTAACTCAGGATATCATAGTTTGATATTAAATTATATAGTTTGATAGTTACATAGTTTTTGTAAGTTTATCAACTATGATAGGCTGCTATCACAATTTTGTAACATTTCATTTTGCTATGCTTAGGTCCAGATGCATGACTTTAAATACACAATTGCAGTTGTTTTTGTTCTAGTCATTTGTGGAGAGGAGCTTTGCCTTTACAACCCAGAAGACCTTGAAATATCAGTCATCTGGGCCCTTCATTGATGCTTTTTCTTCATGGTAGCCATCATCAGGGCCACCAATGGAGACTTCATCTCCAGATGGAGCCAAGTACAATACATGCAGAGGCCTCAGGCAGGCAATGTAGGGTAAAGGCCAGGATCTAAAGTTCCGGAGATAATTAAATTAATTATCTCTGCTAATTAAACTCTGCTACTGATTAGCTGTGTGAATTCTTTCTGACTGCTTAATCTTGCTACGTTTTGTGTTCATCTATTAAAAGGGCTTTATAATAGCAGCTACCTCATAAATTTGTTTTTGGAATTAAATGAGATAATGAAAAGAAATTCTTAGTTTGATGAATAGTAAACAATAAATGTCAGCCATGTTATTAAATTATCATCATTATCATGATCGTCATCATCATTGTTGGCACAAAATGGCAGAAAAACTGTCTTGAAGTTAGTTGGAGGTTCCCATTGCTCTGATGGAGCTGCAGATTATGAAACAGCCCTATGGGAGTCCATAGAGACCCATTCATAGAAAACACCCAGAGTGAGAGACAGGAGATGTGAGTCTGCTTTAGATCTTAGCCTTCTTATCTGTACAGGGAAAGGCATTAGACTGGTTGATTTAGAAGACGTGGAGTACTATGGTTGTTTGCTCGTCAGTCATTAAGTAAATATATTATGCTATTCAATAGGAAGGGGATAAGTGTGGAATTCATTTATTTGTTCATTCAAAATGTATTCATGGGGTGGCTATTCTGGGTCTGATACATACTATTTTGAAACTGTGGCACACCTTTCAATTAAAGAGATAAAAACTCCTGACCACATGGAGTTTGCATGCATGGGAAGAGACAGACAACATATCTAAAAGAATGAAGTATATGGTATGCCAAATAGTGATAAGTATTAAGAAGAAAAATGAACAACAAAGCATAGAAAGGTTATAGGTAATTGTGGGAGGGCAAGGTTGCAATACAAATGGAATGGTCAGAGAATATCTCACAGAGGAAGTAATATTTTAATCCAGTTACTGAAGGAGGTGAAGATACAGGAAGAGAACATTTTGGACAGAAGGGACAGCAAGTGCAAAGCTCTGAAAGGGGTCCTGATTGTCCCTTTCAATGAAGAGCAAAAAGGAGCCACTGTGCTAGTGTGGAATGAGTCAGTGCGAGATTCACAGAAGATGAGGTCAGAGTTCATTCAGGTGTGTGTTGGGGAAAACGGAGGGGACATACCATTTAACGATATCTGAGCCACTCCAAAGGCTTTGACTTTTACTGTGAGTGAGATAGAAAACCATTAGCAGGTTTTGGACAGATGAGTTATATAAGTGGACTTACTTTTAAAGGCATTACTGGCCAGGCACAGTGGCTCAAGCCTGTAATCTCAGCACTTTGGGAGGCCGAGATGGGCAGATCACGAGATCAAGAGATCGAGACCACCCTCACCAAAATTGTATGACCCCATCTCTTCTAAAAATACAGAAATTAGCTTGGCGTGGTGGCGCATGCCTGTAGTCCCAGCTACTTGGGAGGCTGAGGCAGGAGAATCGCTTGAACCTGGGAGGCAGAGGTTGCAGTGAGCCGAGATCACACACCACTGTGCTCCAGCCTGGCAACAGAGCAAGACTGTGTCTCAAAGAAAAAAAAAGATAAAAGATATTACTTCAGGTGTAATACTGGGAATAGAATATAGGGGAGTAAAGTCAAAGACAGGGAGTTGTGTTAGGCTAATCTGGGTAAGCAGATTAGTGGCTTGGACAAGGGTGGTAGTGGTGGAGGGGCAAAATGTAATAGGTTTCTAGATAGACTTTCAAGGGCAATTGATCAAGATTTGTTGTTGGGTTGGATTTGAAGTGTGAGAGAAATGAATGAAATGAAGGTTACTTTGGCCTTTGCCCTAAGCCACTGGAAGGATAGGGTTGGCATTTACTGTGATAGAAATATGAAAAGGAACAGATTAAGGGTGGAAGATCACACATGTGTATAAATAGATGGACAGACAGAGAAATGGATATATAGATATGAATACATATGTGTCAAATTTCAGATGCCTGTTAGCCATCTAAATGAAGATGTTGAATAGGTGGTAGGATATATAAGTAGGGAATTCATGAACTAGTAGACCAGGGCTGGAGAAATCCATTTTTGAGTCATCAACATACAAATAGCATTTAAAACTGTGAGATTAAATGAGACCACTAAAGGAGTAAATGTAGATAGAAAAGATTAGAACTCTGTGGGGGAGACCTGGAATACTTCAAAATTTAGAGGGCAGGTTGATAACGAGAAATTAGTAAAGAATTTTGAGATCCAGTGAGATAGGAGGAAAGCCAAGGGAGTGTAGGATTCTGGAAGTCAAGTGAAAAATATGTTTCCAGGACCAGAAGCTGTCCATTGGATTTAAAAATCTGAAGGTCTTTGGTGATCTTCCCACTAAATAAATTGGAAGCAGATTTGATTGGAAAATGAAGCTGACCTTGCTCCTATTTTGTAGTAGAACTCCAGGTGGATACACTGAACTAAATGCTTGGGCACAGACAGAAATAGGGCATGGCATCTGAAGAAGTATCCAGCCATACTGGGTAAAGTTATGAGAAATCAGCACAGGGGAGCTTGTTGATGAACAGAAGCTAAGAGGGCTGCAGTGCTCATATTGCATTCCATGTCATGTCCTGGAGAGGCAATGACAGCTAAAAACAAGCTTGTTTCCCATGTGACTGATATTGAGGCATTTAAAAAAATTAACTGTTCATATTCTTTTATTTAAAGGTATGGCCTATGTATGTAATTCTAGGTAAGATGCCATTGAGTCTCATTTAAGGAGTTAAGATGTCTCCCGTATGTCCTCTCAAAGCAGTTCCTTTTAGTACTCATAGCTTCAAACTGCTGTCTTGGTAATTGTGTTTATTAAATGAATTAGTGAGTGGAGAAAAATGTAGTCATTTATTTTTCCTCTGGGGCAATCTGCACCTTCAGTTTATTCTGCATATTCAACTTCATTCAACCTTACAACTTGAGGCTTTTTGACAAAGCTGATTTGATCTTCCAAGGCTTCCTGTAATAGTGTCTATATTGTGGGAGATGACTATAAAAAAGAAGGGTTATCCTGCTTACTGTCTGAGTATAACTGAGATACAGCGTCTTTCATTTCCCATCATGGTAAATGTCTGTGCTTTGTAATTACCTAAGGCCATTACAATATCTCCTTCCATCCCACCCCAGGGCCCCTGGCAATTTATGGCTATGATGTATGGCTTTCATTATTATGAAACTAGTGATACAATTTCACCTTGGGTGTTCCCTGGAATTGAGTTATCTGTGGGGGTATTGCTGAGATTAGACACCAAGGCAGAAGGATGTAATCATATTATTAGCAAGGACATGGGGATTCTAAGGTGTTAGTGGAGCTGCAAAAGGCTTCCGATTACAGTATTCAGGCTGATCAGAAGTTTCCTAACAGTGTTGTGTCCAATTCTCTTCCTTTGGTCAATATGTATTTTACACCTACTATGAGTGTCGTATGTGGTGTAAAATACATATTGACTGAAGGAAGAGAATTTTATAACTATTATGTGTAAGCGTAAAATAGGTACCTTATTATCTATAAAGGAATCACCTTGTGTTTTTCCTGTGGTACCTCTACAGCTCATTTACCCTTCAGAAGCAATGAATCAACCAATTGAGAAAGAATGTATCACAATGTGTTTCCCAAGCTGGGTCTTAGAAGTTTGAAGACTAAAGTGTCAGATTTTTCTTTGCCATTCCAAACAATATGATTCTGAGCCAGACGTTTGTTCTTCCAGAGGGTGAGCCTCCTTATAAAATGGAAATGACATTTACCTCCCAGGGCATCAAACAAAAGTGCCTTGCACTCAATATGCATTTCAATAAATGGCAGGATTTCCTCATAAAATATTTTATTTGTTCTTAATCCTACCTCAAGTACCAGAACGCAACTGTAAATCACAATCAATATTTTCTACAAAATAAAATCTTCTTTCAAAGGGTTTGCCTTACAAGCCATCAGATAAAAAGTATGTGCCGTGGGCACTTGATCTGTGTAACACTCACTTGCTTAAGTTACAGAGGATCTACTTAGGGGATAAGAGCATTAATGACAGTCCCTTTTGTGTATTGAAGCTTTCCACTTAGCCCCCACTTTGCCCCACAGCTCCTCTCTGAGAATATCTTTGGTCTTGGGATTGTCCTTGGGGCACTGCAGAAAGGCATCTTCCAGGGACATCAAGCTAGTGGTAAAGTTATCTCCTGATGGGGACTGGGTATTGCTCCTGTTCATGGGTGACTAATAGGTGAGAGCTTGGTGTGGACAGAAGGACATTCTTATCCACAGGATGTCTGGACACAGGTTCAGGCCTATCTGGCTGACTGTTAAGGACACCAGGTAGTACTGGGGCACCCCAACATACTTATCAGCTTCTTCGCTCTTGGAACACTTTTTCAGCTCTATGGAAGTTTTTTTTCTTCTACTTACCTCCTTTACACTCCCTTAGCTTCTCATGTATACTGCCTTTAGCTCTTGAGACCAAAAGCTTCATCCTCACCCAAACTCCTCTCAATCTCTTACACAATCACCTTCTCTCTTTCCCTCTCACAGTAGCCCTTAATGGCCAACCAAGAAGTTCCTGTGTGTAAATCATTCCTGAGCTCAAATTATGAGCCACAGAATAAATAGTCGCCCTTTACTCCAGGATCAGTTTTAAAATAAACGTGCTTGATACTGTATTAGAATTATATAGAGAGACAGAACCAATAGGATATATATATATATATATATATATATATATATATATATATATACACATATATATATATATATACACATATATATATATATATGTAGATGGATAGATACAGATGATACAGAAATATACATAGATATATAAAAGAAGACTTATTAGGGGAGTTGGCTTATGTGGTTGCGGAAGCTGAGGAGTCCCACAACAAGCCTTCTGCAAGCTGGAGGGAGACCTTGGGATGCTAATAGCGGGGGTGGGCTCAGTCCAAGTCCAAAAGCCTCAAAAGCGGGAAAGCTGATGGTATAATTAGTAATCCCCTGAGAACTTGAGGGGCTGCTGTCATAAATCCTGAAGTCCCAAGGCTGGAGGGCCTGGATTTCTGATGACCAAGGGCAGGAGCAGGAGAATGTCTGAGCTCCAGGAGAGAGAGCAAGGGAATCCTTTTCTTTCCATTTTTTGTTCTCCTGGCCCCTGATGATTGATTGGTGCCCACCCACACCAGGGCAGATCTTCCCCACTCAGCCTATTGACTCTCATAACAATCTCTTATGGAAACACCTTAGCAGACATTCCCAGAAATAATGCTTTAGCAGTTCTCCAGGTATTCTTTAATCTAGTGAAGTTGACACCTAAAATGAACCATTGTAACTACCTCCCT
Source organism: Homo sapiens (assembly GCF_000001405.40). NCBI lineage: Eukaryota > Metazoa > Chordata > Mammalia > Primates > Hominidae > Homo > Homo sapiens. The sequence goes on along the minus strand of NC_000011.10, from coordinate 42,610,315 downwards.
ACTTTGAGAAGAGGGAGTATTTTCATCCTATTTTGGGGAAGATGGCCTTCTTCAACAGAATGTATCCAATGATTTCCTATAATGCATCACAGATAAGCATAACCTTGGAGTTTTCATGTCAGAAAATAAGGTGAACTTTCATATCCTGCTGCATTTTCTGTGATTTAGTGGCCACAACAGGAAAACATTGCTGCAGAATAAACTGTTGTGTATCTTGGCTGCCTCCCCTGTCTTTTATAGCAAGGTAGTTGACTCAGTGTATTCTTTAGCTTCAGTACTACCTGAAGAATAAGACAATCTGGGATGTTTTATTTATTTTTGAAAAATTTCTGGAAGGAATAGATTTTCCTGTAGGGAGATATCATTTGTGTCTTCAGATGTTGGAAACATTGTAAAATAATGTAAGAGAGAGAATGACCTGTTGTTTTATCCTGAAGGTTCAACTGATATTTTTTTCCCCCACAGATTTATTTAGATATAATCCACATACCATAAAACACAATGATTTTTAGTATATTCACAGAATTGTGCTACCATCACTAAAGTCAATTTTAGAACATTTTCATCATCCCCAAAAGAAACCCCTTACTCATTAGCATCCCTTCTCATTTCTTCTCTTTCCCTAACTCTAGGCAAGTATTAATGTACTTTCTGCTTCTGTGTATTTGCCTATTTTGGACGTTTCATATACACGGGATTTTACAATATGAGATCTTTTGTGATTGTCTTCTGTAACTTTGAATACTGTTATTAAGTGTTATTAAGGTTTTTTTTTTTTTTTTTTTTTTCAGATGGAGTCTGGCTCTGTCTCCCAGGCTGGAGTGCAGTGGTGCAATCTCAGCTCACTGCAAGCTCTGCCTCCGGGGTTCACACCATTCTCCTGCCTCAGCCTCCTGAGTAGCTGGGACTACAGGTGCCCCCCAACACACCCAATATTTTTTTGTAGTTTCAGTAGAGATGGGGTTTCACCGTGTTAGCCAGGATGGTCTCGATCTCCTGACCTCATGATCCGCCCGCCTCGGCCTCCCAAAGTGTTGGGATTACAGGTGTGAGCCACCGCGCCCGGCCTGTTATTAAGGTTTATTCATATTGTAGCATATACCAATACTTCATTCTTTTTTAGTGCTGACTAATATATTTCTGTATAAATATACCACATTCAATTTATCCATTCATCAGTTTATGAATATTGAATTGTTTCTAATTTTTAGCTATCATGAATATTGCTGCTATGAGCATTTGTACACAAGTTTTTGTATGAATATATATTTTTATTTATGGTGGGATTATACCTGGCAGTAGAATTGGTGAGTCTATGTCCAGTCTTTTGAGACTGTCTCCCAATGTGGCTGCAGCATTTTATAGTCTTACCACAAGTCTATGAAGGCTCAGATTTTTCCACATTCTAACCAACATTGGTTATTATTTGTCTTTTTTGTTATAGTCATCCTAGTGGGTGTGAACTGGTATCTAACTGGGGTTTCTATTTGTACTTCCCTGCCAGAAAATGATGTTGAGATCTTGTCATGTGTTTGTTTATTGGCAATTTGTATATCTTCTCTGAAGAAATATCCATTTAGCTCCTTCTCTAATTTACAAATTGTCTTTTGTTATCAAAATGTAAGAGTTCTTCATTCTCTGTACAAGTCCCTTATCAGGTATGTAACTCACAAATATTTTCTATCATTCTATGGCTTATCTTTTCACTAATTTTTGGTATGTGTTTATCGGGTATGTCCTCTGAAGGGCAAAAGTTTTTTATTTTGATAGAGTCCAGTTAACCTCTTTTTTTTTCTTTTGTCATTTGTGCTTTGAGTATCATATCTGTAACGGCTTTGACTAGCTCAGTCGTAAATAATTATTTGTATTTTCTTTTAAGGGTTTTGTAGTTTTAGCTTTTTCTTGTAAAGTAAAAATTAAGCTAAATGCTTTTTCTGCATTTGTTATATGTATAGCTTAAAAAATTTAAAGTATATATATGTATGTATGTATATGTGTATATATATGTATATATACACACACACACACACACACATACATACATATATTTAACATAGCTTATGATAAGATTCATTTATGACAGTGGGAAATTGGAAACAACCTAACAGTATAATAATAGGGGTATCTGATTTTAAAAAATGGTGCATCTATATGATAGAATATAATGCAGCCATTAAAAATAATATTTTAGTAAGTATAAGGATTTATAAATACACCAGTGAAAGTATAGTAGAAAATAAGCACTCATTAATATTGCCAAATTATTCTCCAGGAAAGAATTTAGCTTTTTATGCATATATACAACCAAAATAAAACAACTGTGATTAATCTCTGAGAAGTGATTTAGGAATTATTTTTATTTTCCTTGTCATAAAATATTTTCCTAATTTTCTAAAAACAAGCATGTAGTATTTGAAAAATAATTCTGAAAAGTATTAAAACAATCTTGTCATACAGTAAAAGGAAAGCTTTCAAAGATCTCTAGGGTTGCAGCAAAAGGACTCAGGAACCAACTTAAAGAGACTCCCACTGGCTAGATTTTTTAGGATAATTTGACATTAATAACCCTCACAGAAATAGAGTGCACAAATCAAATACATTTACATTTATGATTGTATAATAATACTATTAATGACTATCTCATTGATCATCTTTGTAAGTTACTAGGAACCAAAACATTATTTTTTAAAATGATAAATTAAAAAAGAACCTGGCATTTATCATCATTTTCCGTTAGAAACTATACTTGAGAGTAACTGCATAGTTACTGAATAAGTATTTTTATCAAAGCATTGTAGCTAATAAATGAAGAGGAGATTGCAGAATTAGAATACAAACATTTTGGAATCCCAGATGAAACAATGTATATAGGCAATGATCATCAATGACTGTTCAGATTACACAAAGAAAGACAATCTACATTATACACCTTCTGATGGAAATGCATGTGGCCTATGAAATATTCTTGACAAATGTCAACCCTAATTCTGGTTGAGTCTCTAGAGCCAACTGTCAATATGTAGAAAATAGAGAGGGCAGAAGAACACGGTAATTTATACCACCTTGACTTATTCAGATTCAGACAATGGAAAACTCTGTAACATCTATCACCTAGCTTATTTGCAAAAGTTAAGAAAATGAGGTTTGGAGAGAGGAATAAAACTGTAATTTAAAAGTTACTTAAACAACATATCAATAATTCAGACCTTATATAAATCCTGATTTGAATGAGTCACTGTAACGACTCCCACTGTCCATGGGACAGACAGGTATATTTGAATATAGACTGTATATTTGATGATCGTATAGAATAATTCTTAAATTTTAATTAGGTATTATAGTTAATTTTTCTAAAAAAGATTGCTTACCATTTATATATGCAACCTGAAATTTTTTTTGAAATAATATGATATCTGGAATTTCTTTCATGAAAATATAGTGAGGGAGGAAGAAAAGAAGGGGAGTATTGAGAACATAAGATTGCTCAGAAGTTGATAATTGTTAAACCCAGATTCTATGTACATTAAGTTTTTAGGCACATGAAGACTTATTAAATGAGTCTTCTGCTTTTGTATACATTTGAATTTTTAAATAATACATATATATCTATATATATACACATATGTTTTTTTCTGAGACAGTGTCTTTCTCTGTCATCCAGGCTGGAGTGCAGTGACATGATCATGGCTCACTGCAGCTTTGAATTTCTGGGCTCAAGTAATCTTCCCACTTCAGCCTCCCGAGTAGCTGGGACTACAGCAACTGCCACCATGCCTAGCTAATTTTTAATTTTTTTTTTTTTTTTGTAGAGATGGAGGTCTCACTATATTGTCCAAGTTGGTTTCAAATTCCTGGCCTTATGTAATCCTCCTGTTTTGGCCTCCTAAAGTGCTGGGATTACAAGCATGACCCACTGTTCCCACTAAAAATAATTTTTTAATAATCAGGCTTGATTAATGGTTGGGAAGGGGGTAAGCTCTGATTGTGGTGCTCAGAATCAAATTACCAGGCCACACAAATACTCAGAATTAGGTAGATGTTGGTATTATGTGGTAGGAGAACAATTTCACCTCTTATTTCCATTAGCTTTGAGAATTAGCCCCTTAGTGCCCCGGAAGGCAGAGAAAACTGACTTTGAACACATCTCTTGGAAAGGATATTGACCTTGATAGAAAATGTGTCTTGGCACATAATGTAATATCCTTGGCTAGGCTAGCCTGGGCTGAAGAGTCTATTGTTATTCCTAAAATTTCTGTTCTGCCATGGGATCTTAGGGCTGAGTCATTTAATTTCCCAACTTCCAGTTTTCCCACTTATCCTGTCTTGGAGGTAGAAATCCTTGGAATCCCCTTCAGGAAAGTGCTGTTAGTCCTCTCTGGAGCAGAGCTCACACTTGGGAAATAAAACCATGTTAGGAATTAAACTAATTGAAAGCAAACCCCTGAGGTGCTGGTGAATTCACAACACCTCCTCGGCTGGCACAGGTGGCCTCTGTCTGTACAACAGGTGGTCCCTCTGAAATTGTATGCTAACTGAGATTATAGAAATCTAATGATGTCTTAATGGCTCTTTGGAAGATATTTAAAATTAACAGTCTTCTAAGACATTTTAATGCAGTCAATCAGTCTACCCTCATTTTTCTCCTTTGTGAATCTGGATATGGGGTATGGTCCATCAGAAGTGTGTGGAAGGAACTGATGTTTTGCCAGTGTCTCAATAGTATCAAGTCACAACAACCTTGACTTTTCAAGGTAGTATAAAGAGTGAACTATAGACATTAACCTGGCTTTCTGCTAAAGTGTGGGGAGACAGGGGATATGTGATAGGAAATGATTTTGAGCCAGATAGACTTGAGTCTTCCTTCCTTTTCTACCTCTTATCAGCTAGGTGAGTTTATAGGAAGGCTAACTCCCTTCTAGTCTGAAAACAAATGGATTTCACTGTCCTCACCTTTAAAAGAGTCTAATAATACATACCTTGGATAATTGTTATGAAGATTAATAAGAATATTCTAAATAGTTGGTGCTTAATAAGTGGTAGACTTCAGGGCCTGATGGTATTTTGTAAATTTATAACAAAGTAAATTGATAAGGTAATTGCTAATGTAATCATAATTATTAAAGTCACTGTTAATGTAATGATATATTATCATCACTAACTGTTAGATCTGAGAGGGATCTGAGAGCTCATGTGGTTCAAGCCTCTGAATTTCCATTGAAGCTGACACCTAGAGTGATAAAGTTACTCAAGCAATCACATAACTAGTTCAGATTTAGATTCGACCAGCATTTATTGACCAGCCACTTTTCTTATACATTCATATAACAATGCCAAGAGCAATAAAAAACATTTATGACTAGGAGTAAAGCCCAAGGTTTTACGCTTTACTAGTATTACTGCTCATACCAGAACCCTTGGAAATAGGTTCTGTTATTGTTTCCATTTTACATAGTGGGAAAGTAAGTGTGTGAAAATTTGGCATCTTATCCAATTTCATGATGCACTAAGAGGCCAAAACCCGGGGCTATCTCCTGTCTAATCTTGTTTTCTTTGTGGGCTGTTCTGTTTCTGAATGCCTGTAAAGCTTTCTTCTGAGATGCTCATCAAGTTATCTACCTGGTGGGAATCCTAAAAGTATAATATGCACAGTGTAATGAGAAAAACTCCCAGATCCAGGACTCATACCACTTGATTCAAATATCATTCAATTTGCCACTCAGCAGCTGTGTGACTTTTAGTAAGTTAACTAACCTCCCTGTATCTATGTTTGGAAATAAACGTAAACCGTAAGCATAAATTCTCTTTGGAGACTTGAATGAGTTAACACATGAAAGACACGTTAAAATAGTACCTGGCAAGTGGGAAGTGCCCCATAATGGACCACTGCTATAAATATTAACAGTTAAAGAAGCTGAAGCTTAGAGAGGGGAGAAGTAGAGCTATTTGAATTCAGGTCATCTAATTCCAAGTCTGGCTCTCTCACCACTGTAGCAAATTGTTTTTCCAGCTGCTTATCCCAATTTTAAATACAGATCTGTTTTCTCATCTATCAGGAAGTCTCAGGTCATTTTGTCTAGGGGTGTCTTAATCCAGTTTGAAAACTCTTCCTACAGGTTCAGCTTTGCATGTCTTTTCCAGATGGTCAGAGCTCTGAAATGAGAACTTTTCTCACTGGTTTATCCTGGGGAGGATGTATCCTGTTTTACTTTATTTTTCTCAAACCTGAGTCTGTGACACTTCCTGTAGGAGGCATCAGTTTTTTAAAAAAACAGCTTCATTGAGATAAAATTTAGATTCCGTAAAATTCACCCTTCTTCACTTGGTTTAAGTATACAAGTGCAGGAATTGTAGTATATTTACCGAATTGTACAACTGTCACTGCAATCTAATTTTAGAACATGTCCATCACCCTTAATGGGAGAAACCTCTTGCCCATTTACATTCACCTCCCATTTCCATCCCCAGCCCTATGCAACCACAATTTCTGTCTCTGTAAATTTACCTTTTCTGGATTTTTTATATATATGGATCATATAATATGTATTCTTTTATATCTTGCTTTCTTCAATGAGTATAATGTGTTTGAGTTCTCTCCTGCTTTAGAGCATATTAGGACTTCTATTCTTTTTACTTGCTGAATAGCATTCCAAGCCTTTGAGGTCTTGGCAAATTAACAATCTGAGTGTGTTCCCCAAGCTTCCTGTGTTGAAAACTTAATCCCCAATGCAACAATGTTGAGAGGCAGATCTTCTAAGAGGTGATTAGGTCACGTGGTCATACGGACTCTGCCCTCATGAATAGATTAATGCCATTATTAGGGGAATGGGTTAATTATTGTGGGAGTTGGTTCCTGATAAAAGGATGAGTTTGGCTCTCTGCGTCCTCTTCTCACTCCCTCTTTCCTGCAATTCACGACCTCTTGCCCTTCTACCTTCTGCCAAGGATGATGTAACAAGAAGACCCTTGCCAAATGTAGGCCCCTTGATCTTAAACTTCCCAGCCTCCAAAACAGAGAGAAATAAATTTCTTTATGGATTACCCAGTCTCAGATATTCTATTATAGCCATATAAAACAAACTAAGACACATGACTATACTGCATTTTCTTTATTCATTCACCAATTGATGGACATGTGGGTTATATCAACTTTTTGACTATTATGAATATTGCTGCTATGAACCTTTCTGTACAGATCTTTGTGTGGACATCTAGTTTCCATTCCTGGTAGATGCCCACGAGTCAAATTGCTGTGGCATATGGTAACTCTGCTCTTCACTTTTTAAGGAAACTACTGAACAGTTTTCCAAAGTAGCGGCACCACGTTACATTCCCACTAGCAATGTGTGATAGTTTTAATTTTTCTATGTTATTGATAACACTAGTATTGTTTGGTTCATAGGCATTTTTATGGGTGAGAAATGGTGGCAGAGTGGGCATTTTTACAAGGATTTCGATCTAAACTAGAATATAAATTGGTCTTAGCTTCCTTCTTTCTTCATTGTATTTCTTTAAACTGCTTCAGACACTCAGGAGGGTTCAAGACCCACCTAGACCAGTCAATCTCACTCTTAAGCAGGAATCCAATCATGTGCTTGTACATATGCTCCTGCTTGTGTGTGTCCATTGTAGGTGGTAGATGCTCTGTCAGTTGGGGAACAGACAGTGTTTTCCTATTTTTGTTTTTTGGTAAAATAATTAAAGTGTTCAGTAGATTTAAGTAAAGCATTAATCTTAACTTATAAAACTTATTTTTATGGTTCTTAATAACCAACCGATGCTCACTAGTAAAAAACCTCGAAATTAATGGAAGAATGAAAGTCTGTGAGACTATGCAACACTCGCTTATAAGAACTGAGGGGAAGAATGGGACTTCAGATAGTTTGATATCCCTTCTAGCAGGAAATAAGTCACATTTTGAGAATCATTTTATCTTTCTCTAACATAGATTTATCAAATGACATTAAAGAGGATCCACATGAATTTTTTTCCAGGAAGTTAGGAATTGCAAATTGAATGACCCAGATTTCCTCCTTATATTGTGTGCACGTGTACCATGCAAACCTGGCCTCCTTACCCCTGGAGAATCTCATAACCTTAGTGTAAATTCATCAAAGCTGCTTGATGCTATGTACCATGAGGCACAGAAGAAAAGTAAAAGAGATAGCCCTACTGTTAAGGTATGAACACTTTATGTGGAAAAACACAATCTAGGGTAATAAATTGCAATCATTTAAAATAAAGTGCCAAACCGAATATATTCCAGGAACATAAGGGTAGCCTCTGGGAGATGATGGTTAGAATTCTGAGGGAGAGATTTATGGCCTAAGTAGGAAATAATGTAGACTTTAAAGATTTCTAGGATTCCTACAAATGTGGAATTGGAAGGAGCCCAAGATGTCCTAATGTCTTGCTGAGCAGAGATCTCATATTCTGTCATAGGTTTGAAAATTGCAAACTTTTTGGCAATGGAAGGAATCTATTTGGTTAGAGGCAGTAGGTGAATATGATTATCTATCTCTGTTATCTCTATTTTATTATCTCTATGCCTGACTCTGGTAGGAGAAAAGGAAAGGGGAAGGAGTCTCATTCCAGGACACTTTTAGTTATAGGTCACTTCTCTCTATGACTGAAAATCATTCTTTAAATTGGAAGTTCAGCATACTTTCCCAATTATCTATAACCCAGTTTCTACATTATTTAAACCAAAAGAATGTTTTGTTTTGGCACTATGACAGAAAAATTTGGACAATTATATTGATTGATTATAAAACTAACCAAATCTCAAACACAAAAATTGACCTCTCGCTTCTACATCTTGAATCTCTTGTATGGTCAAAAATTTACAGAACTATTTGTATTTGTTTTTTCAAAAAGTCTTCATTACTGGTTGGTTCCAATTCAATTGTGCTGAAAAGTAGGTTTTAGAAGAGGAACATAAGTTCTGCAGTAGTTAAATTTACCCTGTTCTGTGCTATCATTCTGTTGTCAACATAAAGTTATCAAAAATGTACTTATTTTTCTCGTTGGCTGCCTAGGTCAAAGATGAACTTAAAAATTTCATCTAGGCAATTGTCATAAACTCATCATAAAATCTGAAGCAGGCATTTATTAATTTTATAAAATAGTAAAGAGTTTGTGTTCTTTTAGACATTATAATAACTGAATTATACATAGTATAATTACACTAAATTTGAAAATGAGAAAAGTGAATCTTACAGAGTGGTAAATTCTTCCAATATTACACAGCTAGTTAGGGAGAGAGCCTAGATTCAAACTGAGATCTTTCTGCTTGTAAATCCATAGCATTTTAACTCATTTGTTACAATATTAAAAGAATGTTGTAATAAAAAATTTGCATGTGCACCCCTATATGTATGTATAAAAGAGCAATAGAAAATTAACAAAAATCATTTGCTAAATATTTGTAATATATTCCTACAGAAAGCCCACTAATGAGTTATTGGTAGTTGATTTGTACTTTTCATAAGCTTTCGCTTTATCTAAATTGTTATTGTCTGAAAGGAACTGTAGAAAGGAAATTTATCAAAATATTATACTTGAGGGAAAGGATTCCCTATGTAATAAATAGTGCTGGGAAAACTGGCTAGCCATATGTAGCCATCTGAAACTGGATCCCTTCTTTACACCTTATACAAAAATTAATTCAAGGTGGATTAAAGACTTAAATGTTAGACCTAAAACCATAAAAACCCTAGAAGAAAACCTAGGCAATACCATTCAGGACATAGGCATGGGCAAGGACTTCATGTCTAAAACACAAAAAGCAATGGCAACAAAAGTCAAAATTGACAAATGGGATGTAATTAAATTAAAGAGCTTCTGCACAGCAAAAGAAACTATCATCAGAGTGAACAGGCAACCTACAGAATGGGAGAAAATTTTTGCAATCTACTCATCTGACAAAGGGCTAATATCCAGAATCTACAAAGAACACAAACAAATTTACAAGAAAAAAACAAACAACCCCATCAAAAAGTGGGTGAAGGATATGAACAGACACTTCTCAAAAGAAGACATTTATGCAGCCAACAGACACATGAAAAAATGCTCATCATCACTGGCCATCAGACAAATGCAAATCAAAACCGCAATGAGATACCATCTCACACCAGTTAGAATGGCAATCATTAAAAAGTCAGGAAACAACAGGTGCTGGAGAGGATGTGGAGAAATAGGAACACTTTTACACTGTTGGTGGGACTGTAAACTAGTTCAACCATTGTGGAAGACAGTGTGGCGATTCCTCAGGGATCTAGAACTAGAAATACCATTTGACCCAGCCATCCCATTACTGGGTATATACCCAAAGGATTATAAATCATGCTGCTATAAAGACACATGCACACTTGTGTTTACTGCGGCACTATTCACAATAGCAAAGATTTGGAGCCAACCCAAATGTCCATCAATGATAGACTGGATTAAGAAAATGTGTCACATATACACCATGGAATACCACGCAGCCATAAAAATGGATGAGTTCATGTCCTTTGTAGGGACATGGATGAAGCTGGAAACCATCATTCTCAGCAAACTGTCTCAAGGACAAAAAACCAAACGTGGCATGTTCTCACTCATAGGTGGGATTGAACAATAAGAACACTTGGACACAGGGCAGGGAACATCACACACCGGGGCCTATCATGGGGTGGGGGGAGTGGGGAGGGATAGCATTAGGAGATATACCTAATGTAAATGACGAGTTAATGGGTGCAGCACACCAACATGGCACATGTATACATGTGTAACAAACCTGCACGTTGTGCACATGTACCCTAGAACTTAAAGTATAATTAAAAGAATTATACTTGGTTATATATGGCCAGTAGGGTTATGGAGTTTTTAAAAATGGTTTTTTTCTATTTTCTAAATTAATACAATTTTATTGTTTTTATTGTTCTGTATTTTAGTTGCTAATTATAAGCTATTATACTATGTGTCTTTTACGGCTATGTCAGGAGTGCCTGGGACAGAGCTGGTGCTCAGGAGACACGTGGACAAAATACATGGATAACAACAAAGAGTGAACTGTGCTTTCTTATGCACATTTTTTCTTTCTTTAATCTACTTTTAGCATAAAGAGGCTTTATTATTATCATTATTTCACAGGGAGAGATGGCATTTCAGAGTGGTGAAGTAGCCTGCCTGAAATCAAATGGCAGTAAGAGCTGACATTTAAAATTATTTCATTTGACACTAAAACCTGCCCCATTATCCTGATAATGGAGGTATTTATTTTTACATCAGGAACTCGGCATTTCCGAAAGTTTCACGTGGACTTTTCAGGAAGGTAGGTAATACTGATTGATACCAAATTGCGATGGTATTTGGTAAACTCTGCTGGCAGTAGTTTGGTCTTTACTTCTGTGGGTGCCTGGAACCAGGTTTCTCTCCTGGCCTACCATGGGCACAAGACACCAGATGTTGCTATGGGAAGAAGATGTTCAGAAAACTTCTGTGGAACTGGAACATGTTTATCTGGATGAGCCTTACCTTCTCTGCCACTTTCTTAATTGCCAAACTGTATCCAGTTGTTTGTGAAAACTAAAAAAGAAAGAATAAAAAATTGCTGATACGTTTTCCCTTTCTTCAAACCAGCATTTTTCTGTAGCAGTGGAAGGCTGACAGAGCCAGCAGGCCTCCAGCTACTGCCTTCCTAATTGGTTGTGTTGTTTTCTGGGCTCTCACTGGCTTTTTTACCAAGGCATAAGAACAAGCTCCAGATGGTTCCTCCAAAACTAACCTTTGTGCTCCAGGCTTCGGCCAGTCCATCTGGCCTTTTATGCATATTAATAGATTCTTCACCTGAGCCCTAGAAATCAGAAATGGAAATGTACTTGTTTCCTTTGTCCCTGTGTTGCCAAGAGATAAATCATTGAAGACCAAGGTGTCTTTTTCCAAAGGTAGCAATTCCTGGCTGCTTAGGATTGTGCCAACTTTCTCGTTTTGCTGTGCTTAACAGGACTCTGAAAGAGCTTCATTAGACCGTATTTTAAATTCCTTCATCCTCATTCTTTATTCAAACCGCTCTTATTTTCTTCCTTGCTTAAGTATCTTTTCACTGTGATAATACTAAATCTTTTGAATTATTTGCTTGTTAGTGGGCACATGCTACAGGAAAAAATATTCATAATAATAGTTTCCATTTATTGAGTACCACCAATCCTGTAAAGATACTTGTAAAGTATCCCCATTTTATAATTATGTGAGAGTAAATGACTTGCCCACTTACCACACAGCATTCTCTCTCTCTCTCCATATATATAATATATATATGTCCAAATACATATATATGACAAATCCAGTGTATAAACTCCGTTCCATTATCAAATCATGCTTATTTTTTCTAACTATGCAAAATTCACTCTTGATTTTTTTAAAAAATCTTTTAAACCTGACTGTGGCTTGCAGCAAAGAGAACCACCTGGTATGCTGCAGAGAGCAGGATAAGGTGGCATCGTGGCCATATGCATCTGAACTCTTCTAACTATGCAATAAAATGCTGGTGAAATAAAAACTATAAGAAAAAAACTTGTATCAAAATGCGATCTACAGAAGATTTACATTTTGGTCACACATTTATGATAAAAAATTTGAAGCATTTATCCCAATATATGAACACTTAATATACAAATTTTGGACTGAGTCCTCATCTACATTAACCTGCTAGTGATGGCAGAACTCCCATTGAGCATATATTAAGTATTAGTAAAGCATACTGTCTTTCCTGTGATTTTACATAAAAATAAATATAATAGTAGTTCTAATATTTTCTTTCTACATCCTATTGATATTTCTTGCATATGCTTATATTGCTTGTATATTATTATTACCTCTAGGTTTAGGTAATCTGATTTTCCTCCATTAATAATCATATCCCTGCCTGATTGTCACTTAATTGCTGCAAAATCCTTGCCAGATCCAAGCAGCTGAATAGCCATCCTCTGATGACCCTGATGGATGCAGAGGGTGTGATGTAGGGAAATGGTTTGGAGTAACATTAACTTCTTTCTAATACCTAGGACTGCCCCACTTCTTTCCAAGGACCATTTATTAAAAGGCATTTTCATTCTCTCTGAGCTTTCTACCACTGATTTGAAAACTAATCACATGCTCTCCTAGTTTGTCTCAAGAATTTGTTGTAAATGATGCAATGAATAAACACACAAAAGAAAAGCATGATTTTTTTGTAGGTTCATACAGCGGACCATAAAAAAACATATATTTGGCTAGCAGTAAAATCTATCAAAGTTTTTCAACAGCCGCATATTTTTTACATTCCTTCACTGCCACCAGCAGCTGCCTCTACATATGTTCCTTGATTTTATGGGTGCATTACAACAGCATCAAAGCTGTTGTAACATTGCAGGCACGTTTTTATGGGGAGTGATTTCAGCATCACGCCATCCGGCTGGCCCACCCCAGCCTTCTGTTGCTGAAATGGAATGGCAAAGACATTTAATGAAGGAGATAAAGAGTAAGATAGAGAGTGGGTAGCCAAGGATGAATACTGCCTTTCTTCCATGCTAGGGAAAGGGTCTCAGAGATTACCTCCTTTAGCAGCTCATCAAGACAACCAGCGTCCCCAGAGACGTCCAGGAGGGCAAAGTGTCACAGCATCCTCATTTCTGTAAGGAGACAGCACATGGAGAAGCAATTTATAACCTTCATAATGACAGCATGATATGTGTATGTGGTTATTAATAGATGAGAGTGCTTATGTTCCAGTAGGGTGATCCTAATGATTATATCATTATTATCATTGCATGTAATAATTATGTAATTATGTCATTAATATTGAACATTTAGGCTGTGTCTACAGGAAGGAAGTATTTCCAAGAGGTTTGCATTTAGGGACCCAAGTTTTATTTTTCCTTAGATCTAGATAGTGAATGATCAGATAGTATGGGGGTGGCTCGTATTCATGTCCAGAAGGCCCCCAGACAGCACCTCTTTCCCAAGACTTGTCTTTGCTGTCTGCACAGGGCACAGACTTGAACATGTCTAGTCTCTGCTTCATGATAAAAAGGTGCAAGGCTGGGCAGTAGAAGGAAGGGAGGATGCAAGCATGTGCATGAGAGGCAATATGATGATTTCCCTTTTGGCATAGAATATAGGAGCTCGTGTTACCACCTTGAAGACTGAACAAAGCCTCTTTGAAGAGAAGTGAGGGAGACTCCATTATCATTCCTGAGGAAGTCATAATTTATGCAAGAATTTCCAGAGCTGGGCTTCAGTCTGCACTTCCAATGAAGTGAAAGCCACTGCCTTCAAAGTGATAGTATGTTTCAGTTGGCCACGTGTTAACTAACTACCTTGAGCATATTGAAGCAGTGCATTTCCAGGCATTTCTTCTTCTTTTTTTTTTTTAATGCAACTTCTACTGTTCCAGGTTCTATGCTAGATGTCACCTAGCAATTTGCTGACTTCTTGTTACAAATAAATCCTGAATACCTTTGACAGAAAAGAAACACAGCATTCGTTGGTGCTAAAAAACAAAACAAAACAAAAAACAACTCAGAAGTTAGCCAATGCACCTTTATTCCATCTTACAGGTGGTAAAGCTGAGGTGTAGAGATGGAGAAGGGAATTATTCAGGGTACAAAGCAGAGTGGAGAATAGGCCAGTGGAGAATAGTGAAATCTTCTGATGTCTTTTCCAGTGCATGTTTTCAGAGTTGCTTTTAACTTTAGGCTTAGAAGTCAGTGACCTTAGCCTGCAGGTTGTCACTTCTTTATTTGGCTTTCATGCATTCAGAGAGTCTTTTTTGGAAGGATGTGTGGGGGGGACACATTTTTCCAGGGTCAGTGATGGACTGGCACTGAGCCCACTGTACTCCTCCTGCCATTACAGCTCATGAGCAGACCCACACCTCTTGAAAGCTACGCCCCTAGCTAGATGCTCCGTGGTGTTCTATCTGTCTTTCCTTTGCACCATCCAGAACATTTTACATTCTTCCCAATGGTCCAAACACTTTTTATCTGGCTTAATCCCTGTGAATTTCTCTGATGATGTTTTAACTAGAGAAAAGATAGAATCACGGGTGTCCTGTTTTGTCACAGTTACAACATTCTTGATCTCTTTATGAACATTAGCGTACAAAGAAATTAGCCCGCATGGCAGCACACACTTGTAATCCTAATACTTTGGGAGGCTGAGGCAGGAGGATAGCCTGAGCTCAGGAATTTCAGACTAGTCTGGGCAACACAGGAAGACCTTGTCTCTACCAAAAAAAAAAAAAAAAAAAAAGCCAGATACTCAGGAGGCTGAGGTGGGAAGATAGCTTGAGCCCGGGAGATAGAGGCTGCAGTGAGCTGTGATTGTGCCACTGCACTCTAGCCTCAGCAACAGAGTGAGACCTGGTCTCAGTAATATTATTATTAATAATAATAGAAGAAATCAGAATGTATATTGTCATAACATTATTTAAAAATATTTTTTATAAATTCTTTACTTTCCAGAGGAATCTTTTGGACTTTTCTTTACATTTCATAAATTCATGTTCAACATCTTCTCATCATAATGTTTATTCCTGTCACTCCCACCTCAGTAAAAACTTAGAATTAGGAGATTACCCTGGTTTACATGTTCTAATAAGATTCTGTGGAAGTGAAGGAAAAAAGAAACTTTTATAAGTTTGTAAAAATAAAGATAACTGAAAAACAGACTCTATGTTAGACATTTGCAAATAATATTTTAAATCTATGCAATGCAAGTTTTAAATTCAGTGTTATTTTCCACGTGACAAATAAGGAAAAGGAGACTTAGAATACCTGGATTTCTCCTACAAATTTTCATAGATAAACAATAGCACAGCCAGGATTTCAACTCTTTCATGTGCTTCAAACTCATTTTCTTTTTACTGTACTGTGTGGCCAGGCTACATACTGAACATATTCCCATTATTTCTCTCATTTAATCCTCACAATAACTCTTTGAGACAGGTGTTGTCAGTCAACTTGACAGATAAGGAAACTGAGGCCCAGAGAGGTGAAGTCATCTGTTTTAGGTCACTCAGCTAATAAGTGGCAGAGCTGAGGTTCAAATATATATTGTCCTGACTCCAAAATCCATGTGCTTCCTATCTGAACATCTGACTTGTAAGTAAAATGTAGTTATGGACCTATTTGATCAGATGGTCAACTCTCAATGATTTGTTTACAAATAAAGCCGTGTTATTATTATTTGTTTTAATTTCAAAAAAGGTTAGGTATTCAGATTTTTTCAAGTTACTTCTCTGATTTCCCTGAGCAGTGGAAAATAAGTGAAGAACTAAGGAAAGATGTGGGGTTTCAGAAGAAGTGGCAACCAAGAGCAGATGTGGCTGAGATTTCCAATTTTTTTCCAGGGTCGCCATATGGCAAAATGATTAGCTTTTGTTTAAAATGATGTTCTAGATTAGAATTCTGACAGATGATGAATGTGAACCACAGAGAAAATATTTTGGATGAGTATAAAGAAATGATTTCTAAAAGTCAGAGCTGTCGAAATATGGAATAGTCTGTCTTGGAATGTGACAATATTCAGGAGAGGCAGGGTTACCAATTGGCAGGGTTACTGTAGTGAAGATCTGATGACATTTAAGGCCCTTGAGATTGGATGATTTCCTGATGTGGCTTTGCATTCCTGTGTATTCATCACTGGATGCTTGCCTGCTAATTCTGCAGAATCTGGAATGTGTTCCCTACCAGTTGGCACAGGTGGCTTAGAAAAATGGAGAGCCAGGAAGGATGGATCTCTGTCTCAGTCTTCATCGAATATGAGAATGTCAATCTATAACACAAAAGGGTGGAGAAGATTAGTGCCAAATATCATCAAAGAGCCTCTGTCAAAGTCCTAGAGAAGAAAGAATATACAGTTTTCAGTGTTTCTCTTTCATTTGTGTTTTGCTGTGTCTTTGTGCCTCAATAATCAGAAAGGAGGGGGAAAAAACACTTGTATCAGGCTGTTGTTTGGAAAGGGCACAGATTAACTAAAATCTAAAGTTTTGAGTACAGTTATCATTCACAGTATTGATCATTTTCTTTTTTGTTTGGCAAGGACAATGTTTATGATAATATAATTATTGGGAGGTTATTATATTTTAGGTATTATTATTTGTGACATCTTATAGGCAAGCAAAATAAAGTTCAGAAAGCTTATACAATAAAATCACACAGCTACTAAATGACAGCTAGGGTTCAAATCTGGGTCCATTTGATGCCAAAAAATGTGTTCTTATTCTCTTTTTGTTATTGAAAATCTCCTTCATCTGTGATGAGTCTTAACTTTTATATCACGTGGTTTGTTAATATTTCTCTATTGGCTGGTTGTATCTTTTTTGATGAGATGTTAAGAAGGAAGCCCAGTAAGTCTCTTCTGTGTATATTTTTCAACCATGTGGACTGTCCTTCTATAAATAGGGCAGTGGAAAGAACACTAGATTAAACACTGACCTTGGTCTAGTTACATCATTCTCTTTTCACCTTAATTCCTCTGTCATTAAACTAAAAAAGTGTGTTAGTTTGTGTTCCCTGAAAGCAGAGTCTGAAACAAGCACCTTGGCGGGAAGATTTTATTAGGAGTTAAACCTTGGAAGCAGGTGTGAAGAAGCAAGGAAGGAAGAAAAGCCAATAAAAGGGAACAATAGTGAGGTCACTCTTATAGGCAACAGAGTTGAATTCCTCTGGGACTCCTCAGGAGCATCCCAAATATTTTCCAGGATGAAAGATAGGAGAATGGTACACTTGTCCATCTAGTCCTGCCTCCTTTTCATTGAGTGTTGCCCTCAGGAGCTCCACTCATGTGGTGCTCAGAGAGCTGACCCTGGAGCAGAATATGGAAAAGCAAGGGATACACTTGATCGGCAATTGACAATGCAAAGGAAGCATAAACTTTCATAGAACTGTCTACCATAGTAGCAACTGAAATCAAAGGTGGCCTTAGGGAGTATCATGTGGCACCAGTGAAATCTGCCACACAGAATTAAAATAGATGTGTTTTAAAATGTCTTTCAAAATAAAATATATAAATCCATGCAATTTTTGATCTGGAGTTACATGCAACCACTTAATATAACTCCCCATTTTTCAATGGTGAAAGTTAAGGTTTCAAAGAGAAATGATTTACCCAAACCACCCTGTGAGTTAATGGATGAGCTGAGCCTCAAGCCTGAGTCCTCTGGCTCTGGCCCCTGTACCTCATGGTTCATTTCCTAGCTGATGCTACTAATGCCTAATTAATGACCACTTTCTTTCTGTAGCCTGGAAGTCCTAAAGATGGTTATCTCCACTGGCTTAGTTAAGCCTTTTCAAATGTTATCCCAACAGAGTTGCCTTATCTATGTTGGTTAATTCTTCCTGAGACTCCAGAGTAAGGGGGATCAGGATTATAATGAAGGGGGGAGGGTGGTCGCAGGCAATTCCTTCTCCAGAACTGTGCGTGACCCACATTGTTCAAATCTATTCCTTGTAATCCTTTCACATTGCCATTACCAGTTGCATTTGCATACATCTATTGTGCACAGCAAAAGCTCTGAGGGACTGCCAGAACATGAAATCCAATAAGGATACTGAGTTCCGTCTTCTGAACTAAGGAGTGCAGTAATTAAAGCAGTATTTACAATGCAATAAAGGCAGAGCTAATTACTGGCAAATGAGATAGAGATGATGCTCTTTCCCAGTGAAACTTGACTAGAACCAGCCTTTGCTGTAAATCCTCCAACTGTCTCTTTTGTTAATTATAATCTTCATGATCCCCTTCTTGGCAATATTTGCCTAATTTATTTGCTACTTAATAGCAAAGAATTAATGGAAACTGAGGTAGGAGGGATAGAGCTCCAGATGACTATTTGGGCCCCTGAATCGGTAACACATTAGTAAAGACCTGGGAGCTATTGCTAATGACCTTAAGCCAAAATGAGGGCATTCTTTTGAACAGGCAGCAAGACCTGATGCTTCAGTAAGGCGCACGGGGATCTACGTTTGATATCTGCTTCCAGACCACATACAGGATTGGCAAGTTAGGAGCTGCCTTTTCTACATCTTTGTTATTAAAAATATATCCTCAGTTAGGAGCCTCTTTGCTTTGTGCTGGGACTGATCAATGTTTTCTCAGGTGAGGCCTTATCACTATCCCTGGTCTCAAAATGCTTGAGTTAAAAATTATTAATGCAGACAGGGGTCAGAACATTTTTCCTGTAAAAAGCTATATGGTAAATATTCTAGGCTATGTGAGGCCACATGTGATCTCCATCAAATATTTTTCTCCTCCTCCTCCTCCTCTTCTTTCTTTTTCTCCTCTTCTTCCTTCTTCTTAACAACCCTTTAAAAATGTAGAAGCCACTGTTAGCTTCCCGCTCATACAAAAACAGGCTATGGTTGAATTTCCTGAACACCATTGTGTGGTGACACCTGCAATACATTGTACATTCGTACACTTAGCCAAAAAAATACCCCACTTGGTGCAGAACCGGATAATTAAGCGGTCATATCCTAACCATCTATTTCTGTCAATGATTAAATTTGGGGTTAAAGATGTAGAGTGAGGGGAGCATGAGAGAAATATAACCATGGGACAATGATAAACAACATTATTTTTTATATTAGTCTAGCTTGATTCCTAGTTTTTCTAAAGTTGTATTTAAAAATCAAGAAATGTGATTATCTGTAACTTTAAGAATTATTGTATTATTTTCCCCATTTACTTTCTTTCCCTCCACTATTTATCTTTTGTGGCTAAATTCTTAGAGAATATCTAAGTAGATATTCTCAGATTTCAATATCTGAGATAATGCTGGTTTTAGTAACACATTTTGTGTGAGAGGAGTGCAATGGTTTGAGGGATTGAGGGACAGGGAAGGTGATTTGACATCAGAGTTTAACCATAGGCTTGGGACCAAATGACAGTTCTATGGCTGACAGTGTCTATTCTCCCAACAGAAGAATTGGTCTTGATATTTTGTGCAACAGGCTCACATATTTCTGGTTTCCCTTAACTAAAAGACAGACCAGCTCTCCAATTCATGTCACCATAACTGCACTTCTCATACCCCACACGCATTTCTAAACTCCTCCATCAACACTACTATCCAGGGGTGGGGTAGAGCCTATTTTCCCTGGTTGAAAATCACTGAATTATCCAGTTCTTAGGTGCTGGGGTTGCAATATGAAGGGGCACCTCCTAGGTCATGGAGAATATGGCTGTAGGAAGAAGGCTTGGAAAGATGCAGAGCTCTGTGCTAATGGCATAGCCCTCTTTTTTAACTCCATCCTGTATTACAGCTAGAAGATAATATTCTTACTGCAATATTTTCCCAGGAGAAGAGTAGGGGTAATTTCTCTATGTCTGCGTGCCCTATCATCCATGCTGTCTTGTAATAGGTGAGCAAGGTTTGAAAAATCACATCACTTGAAAAAAACCAGGTGGCCTGTCCACAGCTAGGTGCAGTATGGCCTCAGTGCTGTACAGGTGGGAGAGCTGGCTGAACTCAAGCAGCTCACAGATGGATTTCTCAATGTGCGGGAAGAGTGAGTGGATTACAGTATAATTATTTAAATAATTTTGTCTTCTTATTTCTGAAGTGAGATTGCATTCTCAGAGTATGGTGAGTCACAGGTGGTCATCCTAGGGCACTCCAAAGTCCATATGTGCTTCTGTGTTTCTTCTTTCTTAGGACAGGGAAAATGTAGTGGTACTATGACCCTTCCATCTTCCTGCAATAATGGCTCAAGGGTGAGTGCTGTGAAAAAGATATGGCTCTTAGGATTCAATGCCAACAATAGATTCTTATTTCAAAGTGTTACAGCATGATGTGTGGAAAGAGCATGTGTTTTAGCTCATGCTTCAGCATATGTTTAGATAATTGTGTATTTAAATCTCTTGTCCTCCACTTGCTAGAAGAGGAATCACAGGCAAGTTACTCAAGTTCTCTGAATCTCAGAGATTATAATGCCTTCCTGGCAGGGTGAATGAGAAGATGATTCGTGATCAGTGCTCAGCACGAGGCTCAGGCTCTGGTAGCTGCTCAACATGCCACTGCTATTGCTATCAATAATAATAAATCAGATGAACCTATGGATAAGACCATCACCTATTTACAATTCATTATTGATTACTACTAATCAGTGATGAGATGGGTATCTTATACATTCCTAGAAGTAAAGAGTAAGGGTCCTTTTCTTTGTCAAGGCCAGCATCCTTTTGCATGTGGTTTTAAGCACAGAGTTGTGTGAGGCAGAGCTGAATAGTACAGGGAACAAACCTACTCCCAGGTCTGCCTTGTCCAAGGTCTGTGTCTTTAGGGGAAGTTTTTCAACCATAATATGCCTTTCTCCTTCTCTGTAAAATAAAGGTATCTAAACTTATCTTACTGGTTATTGTGAGGATTCTATGAGACAACAAATCATTGGCTGCAGCATCTAATACATATTCGGTGCTCAGAACAAGCAGAATGTCTTTATTGTTGAGTTCAGAGTTTCTCCTTGGCAAGGTTTGCAGTAGACAATGTCTTTGACTTGGTTTCCTTGCTTCTTTGTACTTTTTCCTTTAGTGTATTGAGCTTTACAGTTTTGGAGGCACCCAAAAATAGTCCATTCACATCAGGTGAAGGTAATTTCTTACTCTACTTTCTCTTTCCATTTGGTGAACCTTGCCTCTGTTACCATTAAAGATTATCTGTAGCTTGTGGCTAAATTCTTAGAGAATATCTAACTAGTATTAATTTCAGTATCTGAGACAATGCTGGTTTTAGTAACATATTTTGTGTGAGAGGAGTGCAATGGCTTGAGGGATTGAGGGACAGGAAAGATGATTTGGCCTCAGAGTTTAACCATCGGCTTGGGACCAAATGACAGTTCTATAGCCATACTTATATGGCCCCTAAAATGGTGACAATACATCAGGGTCAGGTGTGCAAAATGTCTTTGGACATTTGAAACTCATACAGGGCCCCTGGTAGGGTCAGCCACAAACAGTGGCTGGACTAGAGTGGAGCACATACATGGGGCAGCGATTATCTGGGGCCACAGTAAGGCCACACAACAACCCACACTGAGATTGGTGTAAGACAAACCCTGAACAATAAGCCAGAAGGAGGTAAAGAAGAAAAGCTGATAGGATCTGTGAATTTCATCAGGCTTATTTGTAATGTTTTACAGGTCTACAGTCCTTTATCTAAAACTCTTGGGGCAAATGTGTTTTGTAATTCAACATTTTTCAGATCTTGAAAAGGTGCTAAAGTAGTACATGTAATGCATATTATATAACACCCCCAGCAAGGTCTGGGGCAGCACCACATTGCCAAACACCATTACTTTCTCAGTAAATATTCCCACTAATTAGAGTAAATTTAGATTAAAAATAGTCTTCTGTCACTCCAGGTCAGGTTTTTCCACTAAATGAGATCAAGTCAGGTTATATTTTGACACCAAATGAGTTAGGAAAATACTTTTGGTTTTCAGAAGTTTTTGTATTTTGGCATTGCTAATAATGAACTGTGAACCTGAATCAGAAAGCAGACAAATGCAAAATTATGGTCAAACATGAGTCAAGGTAAAAACAATTCTCACATTCTGTTATCCTTGTAACTAGGGTTCATTTCTCTGCCCAATAAATGTTTATTGAGTGACATCAGCAGGTCAGTCAGGGGCTACAACAGTCCAGCAACACAGAAAAAACCCCTGCCTTATATATGCATCTTCTGACACAGGGCCAGGCACACGGACACTTATCCTTCTTTCGCTTTGCTTTCTTTTTTACATAAAGGAACTACTCACTTCACTTACTTTCACCTTTTCTGTGAGATTTCCTGGGCTGATCCAGGAAGAGAAAGCAATTCTCTCCTCTATATGGTAGCATATAGTACAACGTGATTTATTCCTTTTCTTTCTTTTTTCTTTTTTTTTTTTTTTGAGATGCAGTCTCACTCTGTTACCCAAGCTGGAGTGCAGTGGCACAATCTCGGCTCACTGCAACCTCCACTTCCCTGGTTCAAGTGATTCTCCTGCCTCAGCCTCCAAGTAGCTGGGACTACAGGCACGCACCACCATGCCCAGCTAATTTTTGTATTTTTAGTAGAGGCAGGGTTTCACTATGTTGGCCAGGCTGGTCTTGAACTCCTGATCTCGTGATCCACCTGTCTCAGCCTCCCAAAGTGCTGGGATTACAGGAGTGAGCCACCACGCCTGGCCACGTGATTTATTCTTTCCCATGTTACTCCTCAGTTAAACTGAGAGCACCTGAGGAAAGGGAGTTTTAGAGATTGGATTACTAGTCTAGGGCCTTGCACATGGTAGCTGTTCAGCAGATGTTTGGTGAACAAACATCTCGTCCTCTGGATAATTGAAACACCTTCAAATTTCAATTTTATTAAATTCTATTAAAAAAAGAGAGAATTTAGTCACTCTCCATTTGCTGACTCTCTGAATTGTTACCTTTTCTTCTGAATTATTAAGTTAAAATCAAGTAATAAAGCATATTTTTAGCATCATATACCAGCAGTGAATCACCAGTAGTGATGGTAATTTTACCTTTTCCTCCTGTCTTAGCTCTACAACATTATTACCCTCTTGAACTATCAGATATTAAAATCATATTAATAATCAAGGCCTCTATTAGATCTGTCTAAAAGTTAAATAATGTAATAGCACATTTGAAGGTTAGTGGCACCCATTGGTTATAATTCACCAAGCACAAACTTAGCTCCTTGCCTCTCTGGTTATAACAACGAACTGTATTGTTTTCTAGAAGATAAATTATCATTATGATATCTTGAAATATGCAATAAAATCAATGTAATTTGGCTGACTAGGAATTTTAAGTTATCAATTAAAGTTAAGAAGGCAGTCTCCCTCACTAGAGGCAGGGTATACGGGCTGTTTACTTTGGAATAAATGTCTTATTGCTTTCCACACTTCCCTAATGTTTTATTTGGTTTGATCAGAAATAAGGGTCTGAGAGAGAGCTCAGATATGATATTTTGGGGTCTTATTTGCATCTGACTGGCTAAGTGTCTGATATGGTTTTGATTTGTGTCTCTGCCCAAATCTTACTGAATTGTAATCCAAATTGTTGGAGGAGGGGCCTGGTGGGAGATGGTTGGGTCATGGGGGAAGATTTCTCCCTTGCTGTTCTTGTGATAGTGAATGAGTTCTCACGAGATCTGGTTGTTTAAAAGCATGTAGCACCTCCTCCTTCTCTCTCTCTTCCTCCTGCTCAGGGCATGTAAGACATCCCTCCTTCCTCTTTGCCTTCCACCATGATAGTAACTTTCCTGAGGCTTCCGTGGCCATGCTTCCTGTACATTTTGCGAAACCATGAGCCAATTAGACTTCTTTTCTTTACAAATTACCCAGTCTCAGGTAGTTCTTTATAGCAATAAGAGAACAGACTAATACAGCATCTTTGCGCACTTAGCCTCCAAGGACTTGGTTTTTCTATTTAGTGAAAGATAAATATCTTCCCCTTTTTTCCCCAGATAGTACTGGGACATTGAATGTGATATTTCTTGTAAATTTATTTTCAACTCTTGAAAAGATAGTTATGTCCATTCAAGTGTAGACCGGAAATAATTTAAGATCTGCTTTGATCCTCATTGGCTATACTAACTTAAGGAAGAGCCTTCACTTTTCTGTTTTCCAGTTTTCTTATCACTAACATAGGAATAACATTTTTACCTTGTCTACCATGAAGCAGTGTCAAAATTGCCTCTGCAGAAATTATAACTTAGAAAATTATGACACTGAAAGAGATCTGACCTAACCCACTCCATCTTGCTTCTAATCTCCAAGCTTTCCTTGTTCAATCCTGGGCGTAACCCAAACTAACTTTGGGAGGAACTTAGTTTGGAGTTTAACTTTGAAACAAAGATGTTAACAACCTTTCCTGAAACAAACTCCCTCCCTGCCTGGGGACCAAACTGCTTTTGTAAGGCTAACAAATTAGCCACAAGATTAGAAATTATGGTGTAAGAGATTTGCAGCTGGAGACTACAAGATTCTAAACCTGCCCAGTTGCTCCTGGGGATAGCGTTAGTATTGTAAAACCTAAAACTGATGCTCAAGATATTTTCAGACCCTACACTCCATGGATCAGCTGGCACCACCCACCACCCAGATGTGTAAACTGGTTCATCGGGTCTTGTGGGCCCCACCTAGGAATGGACTCAGCACATAAAGACAGCTTCAACTCCCTATGAGTTCATCTCTAACCTAACCAATCAGCACTCTCCACTCCCTGGCCCCCTACTGACCAAATTATCCTTAAAAACTCCCAATCTCCGAATTTTGGGGGAGACTGATTTGAGAAATAGTAAAACTCCAGTCTCCCATTTAGCCGGCTCTGTGTGAATTAAACATTTTTTCTACTGCAATTCCTCTGTCATGATAAATCAGCTCTATCTGGGCAGCTGGCACAAAGGACCCCTTGGTGATTACACTGCTGTAAAACACAAATGCTTGCAAAAGCAGTTTGTAAAACATCAGTTGCTGTGTTATATATACATAACACACACACATACACACACACACACACACACACACACACATATATATTTATATTTACTAATGATAAGATGAGATTATTCACATCAAAATGATCCATGAGTTCATACTCATGGAACTGAGACTTTTGTCTATGTTAACTGGTACCAGTTACCTCTTACGTATGAGGTGCCTCTCTGAGAGACCATGAGATCTGAAGACCATGAAACTCCTATAGGAATTCAAATAGATTTTCATAGTCCTGGGTGTACATACACATTAGGTTCTTAAGGACACAAGTCAAGCACCTAATTGAACAAAGACCAGGTTAACAAACTCTCTGGAACTGCTTCCTGCAGCATGAACTATAATAGGAGACACTAGGAATTGATAATCTAATCTTGCTCTTTGTGAGCTCAGAGAAGAATTTCTCATCCCACTAAAAGACAAAGACAGGATTTGTCCTCTGAGTCTCTAAAAGCAACTAATCCAAAATTCTGAGAGTTTGAAGTCAGACTAACAGATTGACCCAATGAAAAAAGAAATAACCAAATCTTTTTGAGTATCAACTAAAGCAAAAAGAAATAAATCCAATAGGGGAAAAAAGATTTGGGGGAGTATTTCCAGAGACTTAATGCTGTGAATGCTTAGAATCACCTTGAATTTCTCTCCTAAGCTCCTGACTTATAGAATCTGATAAATTATAATGCAACATGTTAGAGGGAAGCCTTTTTGTCTGTCAAGATTAAGATAAATTGACTTAGTCTCCTGTGGCTGTAGAAGCTCTTCAAGATATTAATGAATCTGGGGGAGAAGTTTTATTCTCAGCATTTTATTTGCCTCCTGCCTCTTCCATGAATGCTACTCTGTACTTTCCTATCTTGACCCAGATGTGAAATCACCCTTTCTCTTGAGACGCATAAAAATTTCACTCAAAGAAATTATTTGGGATTCCTTTTGCACATCTACAAAAGGATAGGCTCTACTGGAATGTGTTGTGTCAGTTTAGTTATGACGAGGGATCTCTAATTTTAGCCATGATCAACTAAACAAGAGAAGAAAAAACCCTTTCTGTTATCAAGTAAAGCAAACCATAAAGTAATAGTTTGCCAAAAGAAGAAATTGCATGGGATTTAAAGGTGAATTGAATTTAAAGGGAGTTGAAGCTGAAATCCGTGTTCTTAGAAGATTGTTGTAGTCAGAGGGTGCTATGGTTTAAATATTTTCTCTAAAACTCATGTTGGAATTTTATTGCCATTGTAGCAGTATTAAGAAATGAGAACTTTAAGAAGTGATTACATCATGAGGGCTCTGCCTCCATGGAATGGTTAATTATGGTGGGAATGAGTGAGTTATTGTGAGAATGGGTTCCTGATAAAAAGGATGAGTTCAACCTGATTTTCTTTCTTTGTCTCACATGCTCTTTCATCATGTGATGCCTTTCCACTATGGGATAAATCTTTCCAGATGCTGGAGCCATGATCTTGGGCTTTCAAGCCTCTATGAGCCAAATAGATCTCTTTTTTAAAAAAATAAATTACCAAGTCTTTGGTATTTTTTTAAAATAGCAGCAGAAAATGGACTAAGATAGATGGTGACAGGTATACAAAGAGGTGCCCTGAGCATCCCAGCTTGTCTTCATTTTTCTGTGCATCCACTTGTTTACTCAATTGTTGGTTCTGTTCACAACTGTGGCTCCAAGCCCACCATCAGATCAATATCTGTGGGCCCACTGAGGATGTCGCTAGTTGAAGTCAAGGGCTTCCCCCAGAAGAAGCAGGGTCCACAGACCTCTACTTAGCTTGATCTTCGTGTTTCATTTCAAAAGCCACATGTGCTTGGACCCCACTCCATCCACATCAGTACTTCAGACAAACTGATTTATTAAGGTTTCCCTAATCGTTTCAGTCACCTTTCCAGACATTCACTTCCTCAGCTATTCCACAGTTGTCCAAATTCTAATTCCTATGTTAAATTCTGTTCCCATATTACTTATAGCATCTTGGCTGATACACAGACTTTACTATAATCCTGATTTCTCTCCCCTGAGCCCACTGTCCTGTTATTTCTCCTCTCTCATTTTCCTTTTTTATCTAAGGTACCATGTAAATTGTTCCCTTTTCTCTAATGATGAAATAAATTTGTTTCTGGATGAGAGCTTTAGTTTTTTACTCCAGTATGATGTCAAGGTATTGCCAATATTTCAATTAATTTCCTTCTTTAGAGGAATGTGAGCATTTACCTGTGCTTTCATGTATTTGGAAGCAATCCAGGTACTACAATATTTGAGAGGAGGCTGGGTGCAGTGACTCTGCCTGTAATCCCAGCACTTTGGGAGGTCGAGGTGGGCGGATCATGAGGTCAGGAGATCGAGACCATCCTGGCCAATATGGGGAAACCCCATCTCTACGAAAAATACACAAAATTAGCCGGGCGTGGTGGCGGATGCCTGAAGTCCCAGCTACTCAGGAGGCTGAGGCAGGAGAATGGCGTAAATCTGGGAGGTGGAGCTTGCAGTGAGCCGAGATCGTGCCACTGCACTCCAGCCTGGGTGACAGAGCAAGACTCCATCTCAAAAAAAAAAAATAATATTTAGGAAGAAAGGTGGGTTCTCTGTAGATGTGATTAAGTGAAGGATCTTGAGATGGGAAGATCATCCTGGATAATTTAGGTGGGTCCTAAAAGGCATCACATGCATCTTTATAAGAGAGAAGTAGACCAAGATTAGACCACCACACAGAGGAGAAGGAGGCAGCATGATGATGGAAATAGAGTTTGGAAGCATGCAGGCACAAGTCAGGGAATGGGGACAGCCCCTGAAATCTGAGGGAGGCAAGGAAACAGGTTTCCTCTGGGGCCTCCAGAGGGAGTGTGGCTCCGCTGACACCACACCCTGATTTCAGCTCATTGAAACAGATTTCCAAATTCTGGCCTCCAGAACTGTGAGAGAATAAATTTATGCTGTTTTAAGCCACCAGGTTTATGCTAACTTGTTACAATGGCCATCAAAAACTTAACACACCACTCTAGTATTGTCTTCTGTGAGTTCATTCCTTGAAGTCATAGAGCCCGTACTGCTTGCCCTTGCCCCTGTGCCTTCACATGTGAGGTTCTCCCTGGAGGACTACCTCCTCCAAAGGTGTCCATTTATGCAACTTAAATTTTCCCTTAGAAATTCAACTCAGACTTTACTGTCTTGGTGAATTCTTTACTGAATCTTGATTTGGCTTAGTGACTCCTCTTTTGCCTTCCAAGGCCACATTTATTTCTCTGCTAGAACACTTGTCATACTATACTTTAATTATGCTAAAGTTAACATCTCTATTGCCTCTAGTAGAAAGCCTCTTGAAGGTAGGAATTATGTTCTCTACAGTTCTAATTTCTAGCGTTATGACAGCATATATTAAAAACACAGTAAATGTTTGGTGAATGAAAGAATAAATTAGACTAGATGAAGGAAGTGAAGGAAATAACTCATATTAATATTTCTGATACTTACAGTTTGCTTCAGAAAAATGATTTATTAGGTGTATACTGTGAAGTTGAGAGATTTTCTTGAAATTGTAATTATCTCTGCTAACCAAGTGTTTTATTCACATGGATTAGGAGAGATGATGACTCAAGAATGAATTTGCTCCAGGGATTGACTCATTCTTCAATGTATTATTTCATTTACAAAATACAGTGTGCATCTAGTTTATCAAAGCCACTATTAGCAAAAGAGAAATGAGTAAAACAAATTCTTACCATCAAGGAGTTTATAGAGTGAGGGAATACAGTCTATTCCTAAGTAATTATAATCAAATGCTATATACTACAAGTGATGTAGTGGTTCATCAAAAAGAAAAGGAATTCCCAGTAGTAACACATCAGGGAAGATTTTTGTAAAGGAGGTAGTTTTATAGCCCAGGTTTGAAAAAGGGACAAACAGAAAGATGGAAACCAACTAGTGGGCAGAATACATGTGGAATGGCCTGAAAATTAAAAAAAAAAAAAAAGTCAGACGTTTTCTGGAAATGGCAATTTCATGAATTATGAAGTTCACAGTAGAATTATGGTTGAGGACAATATTAAAAAGATAGGCTGTATGTAAATTATAGAAGAGAATGAATGCTAAGTCACGGAATTTGGATCCTACTCTGTAGGATTATGGGACTCATAGAAAGACATTGATGAAATGAGTATTACCAGAATCATGTTTTCATGATTCTAATCTACTGAAAGGGGAAATATATATGTTAGAGTTGCAAAGATGGAAGCAAGGAAGTCTCTAAAGAGATCTTAAATAAAGATACAAATCTAGTGAAAGAATAAGTGAACAGAGAGAACCGGGGACAAAGGAAAGGGATAGAGAGAAGGGATAAGACTTTGTGCTTTGACACTGTGCATGAGCAAGATTTGGGGGCAAAGATTACCCTGGCATTTGATTGAATGAAATTGGTGATTATTGAAATCATAAGGAGAAATAAAACAAAATATAAACGTTAGGATAAAAATATGATTGTATACATGATTGATAAAATATCTATTAAACCTAATAAAATTCAATGCAGTATATTGAGAGAGATGACCATTAGATCTGCAGTTTGGAATTATATAATGATCAGTCTTCTTATACTGCCTTCCAGAGGACTCCTAATTGAACTCTATATTGGAAGCAGAAGAACTGTGTCACGGTACTCACCCACATTGACCAGGAAGCCCAGAAACCTGTGTCAGGTTTTAGGCTGTACTGTGAAGACTAGGACACATGAGGTTTTTTTTTTTTTTTTTTTTTTAGAGATGGAGTCTCACTCTGTTGCCCAGGCTGGAGTGCAGTGGCACAATCTCAGCTCACTGCAACCTCCGCCTCCTGAGTTCAAACAATTCTCCTGCCTCAGCCTCCTGAGTAGCTGGGACTACAGGTGCATGCTGTCATACCTGGCTAATTTCTTTTGTGTTTTAGTAGAGACGGGGCTTCACCATGTTGCGCAGGCTGGTCTTGAACTCCTGAGCTCAGGCAATCTGCCTGCCTCGGCCCCCCCAATTGCTAGGATTACAGGCATGAGCCACTGTGCCCAGCTGGGTAAGGTTTAGGAAACATTGGTTGCCCCATTCCACCAAAGACTATAGTGGCTCTTCAACTGCAGAGAACATAACTTTAAAATTCAGGTTGGATTCTTAATATACTCAGAACATCCTCACCATCCAAACACTCACTTTGGGTTTGCCCTCAAAACCCTCTGTTGACACACTCTGGTCTCCTTTGGTTCATGAAATTTTGGCTCTTCTCTTGTCATTAAGAGGAACAATTCCCCAGCTCTTCTTCCTGTCTCTCACCTGCTTTAACTTCCCTTTGTATTATTTGACTTATGACACATTATCATTTGGCTCCTCTCATCCTACTGTACCAGCATTGAGTCTTAATCCCATTGTGTTTTTTTCTTGCTTTCATCTCTAACTAAAGCCTTTTAAAAAAAACTATTCAAATATATTTAATATCCAGCTCCCAACTACACCGTAACAATCAGCAGAGAGGCAAAGGCTAAGAACACAAGGTGACTAAATTGCTTAGGAAGGGAGAGTCAATATGTTTTATTTTGCATGCTAGCTCTGGAAAATGGAAGTGGCATTTGGAACACTGGGTTAAGAAGTATTTCTGTACTCATTGGAAAGAAGTACCATAATTGATAGAGTGTGTTCCTCGTGTATGTGAAGACAGAGAGATGACACTTATGCAGGTACATGCCATTCTTGTCCAAGAGGGCTGAAGGTAGATGTCTGAAAACAAACCGTGGAGGGTTCTTTTTTTAAGGGGTGTGATGATTAAATTTTACATCAACTTAATGAGGTTATGGTTCCAGTTGTTTCACTAGTCTGGATGTTTCTGTGAAGGTATTTTGTAGAGGTCATTAACATCTACAATCAGTTGACTTTAAGTAGAGGAGATTAACCTTGATAATGTGAATAGGACTTCTCCTATCAGTTGAAGTTCCTAAGAGCAAACAGGGAGGTTTTCTGGAGAAGAAATTCTATACCAAGACAACATACAAATCCTGCCTGAGTTTCCAGCCTGCCAGGCTGCTACCAGTTTAGGCTTGCCAGTTCCCACAATTACATGAAAAAAATTCCTTAAAGATATATACAACATGTGTTTGTGTGTGTGTCACACTTTTCCATCTTGATTTTTATAAATATTATTATTATTATTGTTTTGAGACTGGGTCTCACTCTGTCACCCAGGCTGGAGTGCAGTGGTGCAATTTTGGCTCACTGCAACCTCTGCCTTCCAGGCTCAAGTGATCCTCCCACCTCAGCCTCCCAAGTGGCTGGGACTATAGGCACTCACCACCATGCCTAGCTATGTTTTTGTATTTTTTGTACAGGCAGGGTTTTGCCATGTTGCCCAGGCTGGTCTCGAACTCCTGAGCTCAGGTGATCCACCCACCTTGGCCTTCCAAAGTGCTGGGATTACAGGCACGAGCCACCGTACCTGAGCAGTTTTCCATCTTTAAAGAGGAAATCAGTTTAACATCAGTTTAAAGCATGGCAAGAATTTTACTCCAGTTATCCCTTTAATGAAAAAAATAGTCATACCTGTTACAAGTTTGTTTCATACCTGAAGATTTTTAGTTTCTGTCCAAAAAGGGGCTACATTAGGGATCAAAGATCCCCTTCGTATTCCTAGAAGCTAAGGTGGTGCCATGTTATAGGAAACAGAATTTATTGAGCCAGAGCAGACCTTGTTTCTGCAAGTACTTCCTCTTGCCCTTGCCTGTGCATGCCACACAAGTAACATTAAGTGATAAAGTTCGGAGACATTGATTAGATGAAATATGACAGATGGCTGACTTCCTTCCCTTCACATAAGGCATTCCCAAACACTTAAATGCCACTTGGCTTTTCTAGCGAAGTTTATTTTTTGTTACTCCATCATATTCTTTCCATGTGACCTACAACAGCTGTTCTTTCACCTATTACACCATTTCTTTCCTGAAAAATTAAAAACAATTCTAATTAAATGCTATAATGAAACTATCAATCTATGTTACTTAGGCAGAACTTTAATGTAATTAGTTATTGATGCCACAAAGCAAGGTTTGGTTAGGATGAGAGTAGGATGGGTGGCTGGCTCTGGGATTCTTGTAAGACAAATGACCATGGTTGGAGATATATAAGTGATTTATTTGGTTGTTTCCCCAAAGGACAGTTATGTTAATATGGTCCATGGGAGATGAATAGTAATATTGTTTTGAAATATAACACACAGTTTTGTGATACTACCAGTGAGGCCTACAGGAACAGAACAGGTTATTTTCCTTGGATAGCCTTAGTAATAAATAAGTTCTATGGAAAGAGCAATTAATTTGAGAAATAAGTAGAAATTGTAGAGGCATAATGAAAACTTTTCTAGTTTGGATGCCATTTTTAATCCAAGGAAACTGTGATAGTGAGAGCTTGAAAACTGAGACTATCTCCTATTATTAATTTCATGCATTTCATATTTGCTACTGTTTGTATGTAGAAAGCATTCAATAATCGCTCACAGAATGAATGCCTTAGTGTTTAGGGTGATTGTATTAGGCAGGCCAGTTGCATTTTCCACTGTATTGTATTAAATTGAAATACCAGTAATAAAAAGTATGCCTATAAACACAACCTCCTTTCAACAACTCAAAAATATATGCACCAAATGTATAAACAAAGAAAGATGTGAAAATCTATTCACTTACTAAGATTAGGTCACCATATCCCCTAGAATGCAAAACATGTCTAGTGTTTAAAGTTTAGCATGTTGAAATGAACAAGATCAGTTTATTTTGCATAGAAATATGATATTTTATGATTAATTATTTGTTTAATAACTAACTATAAAAGTGTTTTGCATTGCAAAAAACATTTAGTTTAACCAGTAAAGTAATTTATAAAAGGTCATTTTTAACTTATGGCTCTCCAGGAGGGTATGAAAACCAGACTCTTGAGCCACTAATTTAGGGACAATTCTTAGTTAACCCAAAGGGCCTTTGTGGGGGAAATGGTACCTCATTACAGTTTGGCTTCCATGATACTCAGTTCTGGATGTCAGAAGCTCTGCCACTGCTACCTGCATGAAACATGGTGCCACCCCCATCACAGCTGCCAGAATGTCAATTATCACATGCTCAGAAGTGTGTGTCTATAACCTTCAGAACCCAAGTCTGCTCAGGTACTTGTGAGTAGCAGAGTGTAGATCACATAGGTGTACCCTAATAGCGGGGGTGTCTGGTGATACAAGTTATCTGGCCCTACCTTGGAATGGCAGGCTCCCTGAAAGTAGACAATGACCAACATGTAAGAGACGTTCAGAGCATGTTGGTGCATGTTTACTACACAGAGGCAGTCCAGGTGGATGGTTTGTACACAGTATTAGAAGCTTATGGGCGCTTCATACACTTGAACCATTTTCAGATAGAAGGAAAACTCACCAATCTATAAGTTACAACTTTGTCAAGTTATTCATAACCCTCCCAGACTAGTACAAATTTGCACTTATATGGCAATGAATGTGGAACAAAATGATCTAATTGATAAGAAAGTTTTGGTATTGCATGATGCAGAAGACATACAAAGACATTGTCTGACTTTAGTGACACTTTCTTTGTGAAGGAATTTATAAATTGTAATAGAAATTAGCACTGGATATATTATATTGGTTTGTAAAGAATTAATTTATAAAGGAGTTTGAAAAAAAAACATCTAAATGCATGACTTAGCAAAATACCCAAGGGCAAGGCCAAAATGACCTGTTATTAGTATTGAATATATTTCATAGAGGAAAAAGTTTAACTTTTAATAGTGAGGTCTATTGAAGAAAATAAAGATTTATCCCTAAGGATGTTTTAGGGTATACCAGAAAGTCAAGGAAAACTATGCAGTAGAAAAGAATACTTTTGTCACCAGTTTCTCTATTTTAAAGAGATTTAAAGTTTAGTTTTATAGGATTGCTTAGAGGCAAAGAGATCAGCAAAATCAGACTGTTTTATTCTAATTTATGCTAATTTCTTCTACCTAGCCACAACTTTATGCTAATTTTCTCCTATATAACCTCATAGACATTTTTTCTTATTTCCTGGGAAAGTTTTGAAATACTAAATCATGTGTTTCTTCACCACTCCTGATAATTCCATCCTCCTGAACTTTCTTATTCAAACAGCTAGGACATCCTGGGCTGCTGCCTCAGGAGAGGGAAACAGCAAACTGGAAAGAAAAAAAAATAGCCTGCCAATCTCTTCCTGGCTTTCATTTAAAGCCTAAATAGCTTAAGGTAATTGAGAGAGCTCCAAGCACAAAAATGTTTGGAGTAATATGAAATAGAGAAAAACTGCTTCACCTCCCCTGCTGGCCCAGCACGTTTTGCAACCCCATCCCTTCTATGACCATGACCATCTTTTCTAGAATAGATTCACCTAAGCTGAGCTCTAGGAAGCAACAATATTTCTAGAAAATGCTGCCTGCTTAGTCCAACCCAGTGAGGTTCTTCTGGAGCCTCAGAGAATGCCCCAGAGTGACCCAGAAGCTGAAATATTTCTCTAACACCAAACGTTACACCAAAGCAGCAAAGACTCTGTACCTGTAGGGTTCACGTAAATGGGAATGAGGCATGTCTCTGGAGCTACCTATGTGGACCTAATGACCAAAGTCGAAACAGAATGAAGGACTTAGCATTAGATACCTATATGGAGAAATGACACGATGGAACAGAATCCCCACCTTGACTGATGTAGCCTCCACAAAACTTATCAGAACATGAAAACTTCCTCAGGGAGGAGAAAGGAAAAACATCAAATTGGCTGAGATTTCAAGACATTATCCAGGTCTTGAAAGATAATTATGCTTCTATGGAAAAAAAAAATGGTTCTTTGTATGTCTGAACTGCAGACTACGATGCTACCTGCACAGTGAAATTAGAGAAAACGCTTTTACGTTGCTTTTGATTAGAATAAATTTAAATATGATTATTTTGCTGAACACAAATGTATTTATTTTCCATTTATAAAGTTAAGGATTCTATTTAAATAATAACAATAAATATATTTTCTTTATTCTCTATACTTTACTGGTGGAGTATGTGATTTAGTAATATTTATTCACATGAATGGGAACAAATTCAAAGGAAAGTTTTTTATTTGTTTGTTTTCTGTTTTTTTTCTTTTTTTTGAGACAGTTTCACTCTTGTCACCCAGGCTGGAGTGCAGTGGTGCCATCTCAGCTCACTGCAAGCTCCGCCTCCCAGGTTCAAACAATTCTCCTGCCTCAGCCTCCCGAGTAGCTGGGATTACAGGTGCCCGCCACCATGCCTGGCTAATTTTTTGTATGTTTAGTAGAGATGAGGTTTCACCATGTTGGGCAGGCTGGTCTTGAACTCCCGACCTCCAGTGATCTACCTGCCTCGGCCCCCGAAAGTGCTAGGATTACAGGCGTGAGCCACCGCACCTGGCCAGGAAAGTGTTCTTTCTAACAGTAGTAACTCCTTATCAGCTAATGTTTTAGGATCTCTTTTTGTCTCTTGCCATTATTGACCTCTTGTTTTCTACTGTATTTTAATAATTTCATTTGACTTGGGTTTAATAATTTCATTTGATCTGGGTTTAATAATTTCTTTTTGAATGTGAACAAGGGGAAATAAATAAATACAACTACATTTTGAAGTAGGAAAGTGTAGACATTGAAGATATCAATGCATTAAACTATTTATGTATTTGAGAGCTAGGTTTAAATGAAACCCATGAACAAGATACAACTTGGTATTCTTATCTCACTTATTTTTGACTGTTCTTAATCCAGGTATTTTTATACAGGCTTAAGGGAAATATTTCTTTTGCCAGCTGGTGTCTTTCATCTCGGCTCAGAAGTCTTTCCAAGACTCACACATAATTCTGTCTCTTGTTCTTTGATAATTTAGAGTTTTACATAATCTCTCTCTCTCTTTCTCTCAGTTTTTTTCTTCTCTACATTTATTCTACCACAAAAAACAAACACACAAACAGAAGGAAAACCCTCCGATTTTCTTCTTATAACTTGCTAGGGTAAAATCTACATTCAATTAGAAAATTCTTTACTCTTATCATACTACCTTTCTCTTGCATCTTAATTGAGCAAGAAGAACAGGGAAATAAGAAAATTCCATATCACTGACTTCATAAAATACTGAGATCTAAAAAAAAGGAGCAAGTTTTCCTCTCCGTAGAACTCTTGCTATAATTTCTCTTCTATTCTTGATCTTATAATAGCTTTCATAGATATTCAATCAACTAATGAGTTTATATGTACAAATGAATAATTGGGTTTACATGAAGAATAAATTTCTTCACTGAAGTTTGAGCTATAATACAATAATTTTCAACTCTTACAACTTTCTTTTAACCCAATCTCCTTTAAGTAAAAAAGCTTTCTGTCTCCATCCAGGTTTGCCCTGCTGTTAAAAATCATACTTATGTTTATTGCGGCATTATTCACAATAGCAAAGACTTGGAACCAACCCAGATGTCCAACAATGATAGACTGGATTAAGAAAATGTGGCACATATACACCATGGAATACTATGCAGCCATAAAAAATGATGAGTTCATGTCCTTTGTAGGGACATGGATGAAATTGGAAATCATCATTCTCAGTAAACTATCGCAAGAACAAAAAACCAAACACCGCATATTCTCACTCATAGGTGGGAATTGAACAATGAGAACACATGGACACAGGAAGGGGAACATCACACTCTGGGGACTGTTGTGGGGTGGGGGGAGGGGGGAGGGATAGCATTGGGAGATATACCTAATGCTAGATGATGAGTTAGTGTGTGCAGCGCACCAGCATGGCACATGTATACATATGTAACTAACCTGCACATTATGCACATGTACCCTAAAACTTAAAGTATAATAATAATAAATAAATAAATAAATAAATAAATAAATTCATTAATTAAAAAAATACTTAAACGTTTATTTGCAGAAGTTCTGTATCTACAAGCCACTGTGCTATACTATGCCTGAGAGATGAGGATAAACCAAATTCTTGTAGAAAAGATAAGACTTATAGATATTTAACGATAATAAAAGTAGCAAGTAATAAATACCACAAGAAAGGTGCAGATAAATTGCTATGAATGTGAAAGGCTGGGGAGATTACAGAACACAACAAGCTTTTAAAATAGATATAAGGTGTTCCCTTCAAAATGTAAATACTGTAAAACAGTGTGTGTATTTGTTTTGTGTGCCTCTTGAATATATCTGAATACATTATTCTTCTCTTTGCTCTAATTTCCGAAGATGGTTTACTGATGACTTTATGTGATACAGAGTTTGTCTTTTCATTTGGGAAAGCCTGGATGACAATGATGCCCAGAGATTATTGTTGCACTCTGTGTGGAAGGTACCATTTTAATGGACCTGTTAAGTCTGAAGCTTGCCAAGACATAGAATGCAGTAACAAAAGGGATTGTTTTTTTGTGTAAGATATTCATTAAGCTTGATGAGAACAGGTGAGGAAATAAGTTTTTGGTATATTGAACCACACAAATCTCTCTTCCAAATGCAACTATCTTATGAGGGAACTTTTATAATCTGGTTGTAAGATTTTCTTCTCTGATTGATGTTCATCAAAATTTTATAGTTTCTATTTGCTTGTTGAGTTTGAGGAACTAGAACAACGGTTGGCATTTAAAGACCCTGAATGCAGAGAGTATTTGAAACATACAGAAAGAAAAGCCTTTCCCACAGGAAACAGATGGGATCATTTGTTCTAATGGGCCATGTGTTCTTGGCTGGCCTAAGTCCGAGTACGCTGACTCCCTGTGCCCATTTGATTTATACCAAAAAGGAATTTCTTTTCAAGCAGAAGCGCTTTGGCACCAAAACTCAAGTTTGGCTTCTATGATTTGTACTTGTTATTTTAAAATTATTTCTATTGTACATAAGCAAAACTTTGCTTAAACCAGATAAATTAATAACAGGAATTTATTGCTTATGTAATTAAAGAGGTCAGAGTGAAACTTACTCAGATGCAGATGCAGGGACTCAAAAATTACCATCAATTATTGGAATTTTTATCGTCTCTCAGTAAACTTTGCTTCTGTACTGCTTTCACTTGCAGGCGCCATATGGTGGTCTCAGGTCTGACACAAAAAGGGAGCTCCTGCCATGTCCTGAGATGCACTTATTGGACCAAAGTGGGTCATATGTGCACAATTCATGAACAAATCACAGTGGCAAGGAAATGCCTTTTGCTGATTGGCTCAGACTGTGGTACATTCCTCATCTAGGAACAGGAGTAGTGCCCCACCCAAAAAGTTCACTGAGAATGAGAAAAGGGTAGGGCGTGATCAGAGAAAAGTAAATGGCCATTTGCAGTATTTTGGAGGCCTTGCTACTTTTTAGCCTAGAACAGATGCTTGCCAGATGGCAAGTAGGCCCAAGGACCTATCTACCTACACAGAGTTATTAAGAACCACAAAAACCTCAAGCTAACCTTGAGTTACAGGGGTAACGCTAAAAATAGAAAATATGGATGCGCGCGCGCGCGCGCGTGTGTGTGTGTGTGTGTGTGTGTTATGTGTTCACAGAGTGGGAGGAGATACATATGCATATATATTTGACAGGAAAATCCTGAAAGGAGATATATATGTATTTAAAGGGATATCTATCTATCTATCTGTCTGTCTATCTATAAGTTATAGCAAGTTAGCTCTATTGACAGGAAAACTTTCTCCTATTTTTTAGTCATTAGTATTTTATGTGGTCAGTGATATCACGGAATTTTGTTATTTTTCTGTTACTTGCTCAATTAAGATACAAGAGAAAGGTAGTATGATAAAAGTAAAGGATTTTCAAATTAAATGTAGATTTTACCCTAGCAAGTTATAAGAAAGAAATCAGAGGGTTTTCCATCTGTTCGTGCATTTGTTTTTGTGGTAGAATAAATAAATAAATAAATAAATAAACAAACAAATAAATTTAAAGGGATATATAGATATCCCTTTAAATACATATATGTATCTCCTTTCAGAATTTTTCTATCAAACATGTATGCATATCTCTCTCCTCTCACTCTGTATACACATACATACAGAAACAAACATATCCACATTTAGAAATAAATATATCTATATAAAGATAGAAGTGTAACTATATGTAGATAAAAATATATCTATATATAGATAGAAATATATATGTATTTCTTCTATAAAAGATTTGAATAATAGTTTAGTAACACTAAAAAATGCTTTTACATACATATATAAAAACAATATTATTTATGTATATTTCCAAAAATAATATTAAAACATTTTAAATTTTTGCTTATCTCAGTTTTCTTACATATAATACAATCACCTATAGTAAATAAAATAGTGATTTTATAACTATGTAATTGAAATAAACAAAATCACAATGTTACTATTATTTGAAGTAAATCTTTGTTTTTCCTCAATTTATTTACATATAGAAAAACCAACATAAACCTGATAATTAACATAATTCATACTTAGGAGATGCTGAGAAGAAGTTGTGCCATACTGAGCTGTAGTCTTCTCTGAGCTCCCTACTTGCCACCTTACTAGGCAGAAGAAAAACAACCTTCCTTTTTTTTCCTCTATGAATTATTTGTAGTAACTAGGAGTATATTTGGGGCTGTGCTATGTATCTACTTTTTCCCTCCTTTAACAAATGTCAGTAACAACAACAAAAGTAATGTGAATGACAATAAGAATAATAACACAGCAGTTGCTATTTATCAAGTAGTCACTATGTTTCAGGTACAGAACTAAGTACTTTGTAGGCATTATCTAATTTGATCTATACAACAACTCTGACATTCATTTATTTACTTAAGAGATATTTATTGAGCACATAACAATCTTCTAAGAAGTGGCATGAAAGGTGGATATTTTATTACAGGGGCGAATTGTCCAAAAACAAAAGTCACTAAGGGTAAAGGGATGGAGAGTGGCCCATTCCAAGAATGAGATGGATTCCTTGAAAGCAAACACCTGACTCCAGGTAGCTCCTTTGTGGTAGGAAGCAGGAATTGTGAGGGAAGAGTGGGGTGTGCATACCTGTGGACTGAAAACTTAGTACCATGCTGGAGCTTTGTTTACAGAGTAAATGAAGGGAAATTGGGATTTGCTTTTAAGATTAATGCCATGCTTTCTGCTAGTAAATGTGTTCCCCAAAATTCATGTGTTGGAAACTTAATCCCCCATGCAACAATGTTGGGAGATGGGGGTTTTGGGGAGGTGTTTGTGGTCATGAGGGCTTTGTCCTCATGAATGGATTAATGCTGCTATAAAAAGGGCCTGTCGAAGTGGGTTCACTATCTCCCGCCCTTCTGCC
This sequence comes from Homo sapiens, assembly GCF_000001405.40. Lineage (NCBI taxonomy): Eukaryota > Metazoa > Chordata > Mammalia > Primates > Hominidae > Homo > Homo sapiens. The sequence continues at coordinate 42,569,489 of NC_000011.10, read as the reverse complement.
TTCTGCCATGTGGGAATGTAACAAGAAGATCCTCATCAGATATTCTTGTTATCTGATGATTACAAGATAGCAAGAGCCGTGATCTCAGGTTTCCCAGCCACCAATACTGTGAAAATAAATTTCTGTTCTTTATAAATTACCCAGTCTCAGGTATTTTGTGATAGCAACACAAAATGGACTAAGAGATGCTCTTTTTGCTAGAGCCCTCATCTGAGTTCTGTGTTTGCTTCTGACATTAACTTACAGAAGGATGGCCAGGACATTTTTTTTCTCTTGTAACTTTGGTTTCTCTCCCTATATCTTGCATAGTATGGTACTTGTTATTAATATTCAAGAGTGAGGGCACTGGTGTTTGAGAGATCTAAGTTCAAAACTCAGATCTGCCACTCACTAGCGAAATGATCTTGGTGAAATAACCCAACCTTTTCAAGGCTTAGTTTCCTCATCTGTAAATTGGCTTAGTGTAGTTCTTTATAGCATTTATAAAATGCCTACAGCAGAGTACTGTAGAGAAGCAATGACTTTTAGTGGTGAATAGCACAGAATGGAGTCAGATTGTTGAGTTCAAAACCTGGGTCTACTTCTTACTAGCTGAACTTGGAAAATCTACTCAATTTCTCACTGCCTCAGTTTCCTTATCTGTAAAATGAGGATTGTAACAGGAACAGTTCCTATATTATAGTATTATTGTGAGGATTACATGTGTTAATTTTCGTAAAGTGCTTAGAACACGGCTGGACTCATAGTAAGCCCTATATCCATGTTTACTTTTAATATATTAATACTTTCTTTAGACTAGTTGAGAGAATAAAAATAGTGTCTGTTTATTAAGAAGCACTTAGCATAATGCTTCTACATACTAAATGATCTGTTAACTTATATTAATGTTAAGAAACCACAATATTAAACAGATTGACATGAACATTGCAGGCTAGCAAGCACACTCCAGGATTCGCCCTCATTTTTGTTCTTAAATTAGGGATTCAACAGTTATCCTAGAGTAAAATCATTTCAGTGATGAGATATCTACATAAAGACTTCCTTTTGTAACTTCCCTAAGTGTATCAGTTTATTTCAAGGAGTCCCTTATACTCCTGTGAACAATTTGTTTCAACCATCTTGCCACCCTTTTTTAGTATCTATTGCTGGTTCTTCCTCTTCATTGTCTGCATTTTTTCTCTGTGTCCTAGGCTTCAACTCTAAATGTTGGGGAGCCTTGATATTCTATCCTGTGTCCCTTTACCTTCTCTTTCAGTTGAGTCTTCATAGATGAATTAATCAAGACCTACAACTTAAATATCATCTAATAACTAAGCTAATATTCCCAAACACTATCTCTAATTCTGACCTCCCAGAATTTCAAATGCCTACATGGTATCTTCCTATGAATATCTAGTGGATATTTCAAATTTAACATGTCGTGCTCAAAACTGAACTCTTAGTTCTGAGCCCTCTCTCTTTGACTTCATTTTTTTAAGCATTATTTTATTTTAAGTTCAGAGTACATGTGCAGGATATGCAGGTTTGTTACATAGGTAAACGTGTGCCATGGTGGTTTGCTGTACCTAATGACCCATCACCTAAGAATTAAGCCCAGCATACATTAGCTATTTTTCCTGATGCTCTCCCTCCCCACAACCCCCAACAGACCCCACTGTGTGTTGTTTCCCTCCCTATGTCCATGTGATCTCATTGTTCAGTTCCCGCCTTTGAGTGAGAACATGAGGCATTTGATTTTCTGATCCTGCATTAGTTTGCTGAGGATAATGGATTCTAGCTCCACCCATTTTCCTGCAAATGATATGATCTCATTCCTTTATGTGGCTGCATAGTATGCCATAATATATATGTACCACATTTTCTTTATGCAGTCTATCATTGATGGGCATTTGAGTTGATTCCGTGTCTTTGCTATTGTGAATAGTGCTGTGATGAAAATACACATGCATGTATCTTTATAATAGAATGATTTATATTCCTTTGAGTATATACCCAGTAATGGGATTGCAGGGTCAAATGGAATTTCTGCTTCTAGGTCTTTGAGGAATCACCACACTGTCTTCCACAATGGTTGATGTAATTTACATTCCAGCCAATAGTGTAAAAGCATTCCTATCTCTCTGCAGCCTCTCCATCATCTGTTTTTTTCTTGACTTTTTAATAATCACCATTCTGACTGTCATGAGATGGTATCTCATGGTGGTTTTGATTTGCATTTCTCTAATAATCAGTGATGCTGAGCTTTTTTCATATGTTTCTTGGCTACATAAATGTCTTCTTTTGAGAAGTGTCTGTTCATGTGCTTTACCCACTTTTTAATAGGGTTGTCTGTTTTTTCTTTGTACATTTGTTTAAGTTCCTTGTAGACTCTGGATAGTAGACCTTTGTCAGATTGATAGGTTGCAAAATTTTTCTCCCATTCTGTCAGTTGCCTGTTCACTCTGATAATAGTTCCTCTTGCTGTACAGAATCTCTTTTGTTTAATTAGATCCCATTTGTCAATTTTTGCTTTGGTTGCAATTGCTTTTGGAATTTTCATCATGAAATCTTTTCCAGTGCCTATGTCCTGAATGGTTTTGCCTAGATTTTTTCCTTAGGTTTTTGTACTTTTTGGGTTTTATATTTCATTTTTTAATCCATCTTGAGTTAATTTTCGTATGAGGTGTAAGGAAGTGGTCCAGTTTCAATTTTCTACATATGGCTAGCCAGTTCTCCCAGCACCACTTATTAAATAGGAAATTCTTTCTCCATTGTTTGTTTTTTTTCCTCAGGTTTGTTGAAGATCAGATGGTTGTACATGTATCATCTTATTTCTGAGTTCTCTAGAAAACCCCATCATCTCAGCCCCAAATTTTCTTAAATTGATAAGCAACTTCAGCAAAGTCTCAGGATATAAAATCAATGTGCAAAAGTCACAAACATTCCTATACACCAACACCAGACAAGCAAAGAGCCAAAGTATTAATGAACTCCCATTCACAATTGCTACAAAGAGAATAAAATACATAGGAATACAGTTAATAAGGCAAGCAAAGGACTGCTTCAAGGAGAACTGCAAACCACTGTTCAAGGAAATCAGAGAGGACACAAACAAATGGAAAAATATTTCATGCTCATGGATAGGAAGAATCAATATCATGAAAATGACCATACTGCCCTAAGTAATTTAGAAATTCAGTGTCATTCCCATAAAACTACCATTGACATTCTTCACAGAATTAGAAAAAACTATTTTAAAATTCTTATGGAACCAAAAAAAGAGCCTGTGTATCCAAACAATTCTAAACAAAAAGAACAAAGCTGGAGGCATCATACTACCTGACTGCAGCCTATACTACAAGGCTACAGTTACCAAAACAACATGGCACTTGTACAAAAACAGGCACATAGATGAACTTCATTTTAATTTTCTGAACTAATCATCCGTTCAGGTATTCCAGATCAAATAAAAAAACAGAAATAAACCAAAAAAAGGAGTATAATCTATGTGATCTCTCTCTCCTTTATTACACACAATCCATCAGCAAGTTCTGTCAAAATTTTTTTCACTAATTCACTCAAATAATTCATTTCTCTCTATCCCTCTTAGTACCGTCTTTGTCCAAACCACCATTATTTCCTTTTGAAATACTGCAACAGTGTCCAACTATCTAGTTTTTTTTGCTTTTAGTCCTATCTTCCTACAATTCACCCTGCACATAATAGACCATGTTGTGTTGTGTGTGTGTTGTGTGTGTGACGCCTTCTTGTAGCTGCACGTTGCATAATATTAGATCAGAATTCCTTATCCTGGTTTGCCTAATCTGTCTTCTCTTTTCTTCTATAACTTCACTTTAAACTGCTCTCCCCTGTCTCATTCTGTTTCATTCACATTAGCCTTCTTTCTGACCCTGGAATAAATTAAGCTTATAGCTTGCTCATAGCTTTCTCACAGCCTTTGTCTTGGATTCAACATATACTTGGAATGCTATTTTCCATAATCTTTGTTATTGACATTCAGATCTCAGTTTAGATACAAGCTCTTCGAAAAGGCCATCCTGATCACCCAACCTAAATTAGCCACACAATTGCTTCCTAATATATTATTATTTTGTAATACTTTGCAGAATACTTTTTTCATCTGCTAATTTGTTTCTTTATTTTTAATCTGAATCACAGTGTTTCTTGGGGCAAGCGTGATGGTGGTGGTGGTTTTGCCCCTATAGGTAACATTTAACAATGTCTGGAAACATTTTGTTTATCAGAATGGGAGGAGTGCTAAACACACTACAATGGTACAGCAACTCCCTACAACGAGGGATTATATTCCCCCACATGTCCATAGTGGTAGAGGTTGGGAAACTGGATCAGAATGAAACAACAGAAGAGCAGATACATTTCCTGTCTTATTCATGTTTTATCCCCAGTGCCTAGAACAGTAGCAGGCACATACAGAACATTCAATAAACATACTGAAAAAAATAAGTGCATAAACATGAGATTTTTAAGACTTCAATAGGATCAAGAATTTTCTTCTAATATATATTTCAGCAATTTTTTATCTCAAAAGCTTGATAAATATAATGACCTTAAAAAAATCAAAATTGATGGTATTAGGCATTGATGGGGTAAAAAATATATAGGACTTGGGAAATAATGGTCATCAGAAACCCCACTCCTACTGCAATTTAGAAATGAAGAATCTCTGTGAACAATATAAACCTAGGTCAAAATGTTCTCCTTTGAAGGAACTTCCCTCTCCTATGAAAGCAGCTTGCATGGAGGTTATGAGTAAGGACTTAAAAACACACCTCCTTGATTCAATTTCCCCTCTACCATTCCATAGCCATATGACCCTACACAACTTCTTAAACTTCTTCATGCCTTAGTTTCTATTTTGTAAAATGTGTATAATAAATGAAAATACCTTCTCCATGGAATTGTTTTTGACATTATATATGAGATAATATCTGTAAAGCACTTATAGAGCTTAGCACTAAATAAACACTAAATGTGTCAAGTCTCTTCACATGTTAAAAGGAACTGGCTCTATCTGTTCTTGATATATAGGGAGTCCCATGGGAATCTTGACTACTCAGGGGAGAGTTCCCCAATGATGAAAATAAATGTTAGCTATGATAATCATTCATTGTAAAAAATGGTGAGCTAGGATTATAATGACATTAGTATATATGCTATAAAATGATGATGATAAAGATGGGACATTCAATCTAATCATCTCCCTTCAAATTCCCTTGGGCACAGGATTCAGATAAGCAAAGGAAATTCCAGCTCTCACATACTCAGCTGCAAGTTGAAAGCCCTGCATACCAGCTGGGTGCAGTGGATCACACCTGTAATCCCAGCCCTTTGGGAGGCCAAGGCAGGTGCATCACTTGAGGTCAGAAGTTCGTGACCAGCCTGGCTAACATGGTGAAACCCCATCTCTACTAAATATACAAAAATTAGCCGGGTGTAGTGGTGTATGCCTGTAGTCCCAGCTACTCTAGAGGCCAAGGCAGGAGAATCGCTTGAACCCGGAGGTGGAAGTTGCAGTGAGCAGAGATTGCACCACTGTATTCCAGTCTGGGTGACAGAGTGAGACTCCGTCTCAAAAAAAAAAAAAAAAAGGAGAAAAAGGAAAGGCTTTCATGCCTATCCGCCATCACCACTACAAAGCTGTTCAGGGTTTCCCACTCCTGCTCTCTCTGGTGTCACCTTCTTTGGTTATAACTCGTTTTCCTGCTCTGCCTCTTGACAATGGTGAAAATCAATAGAAAATAATAGGTGGGAAATGGTTGTGTTCCTTGGAGGAATTTCTGAGTTAAGCGGGAGGCCTTGTAGTTATTATATGACTAATGAATGCTGTTTTCCCTCACTGCACTCAAACGTGGGCAGTATTATTGAATCTGGCCTTGGTCAACTGTGGTATTGATTTCCTTTTGTGATTTTAGATTCTCTTCTCAAGTAACCTTAACTAAAGATTTGAAATAAGAAACCCAATTCAAATTAGACAAAGTGTGCACTGAATTTCAGGCCTAGATTTTAAATGATGGTTTTTGGTAAAATCTTAGGTTGGCTTTATTTATTTATTTATTTATTTATTTATATTCCTTATGTGTTTTGATTATTCTTTTTACTATAAAGTGTCCTTTATAGATGCTTCATTGATATGTGGCAAATGATCTTTCTTTTTTAACAATTTCATTTAAGATGTAATTCCCGTACTATAAAATTCATCCATTTAAAATGTACACTTAGATGCTTTTCGTATATTTAAAGAGTCATGCAACCATCAGAGCAATATAATTTTAGAAAATTTTAATCACTCTAAAAAGAAATATGACCGTTATCATTTATTCCTTCTTCTCCCTCCAAGCCTTAGGCAACCACCATACTACATTCTGTCTCCATAGATTTTCTTATTCCGGACACATAATATAAATGGGATTATGTAAGACGTGGTCTTGGTGTCTGGCTTTTTCACATGGCATATTGTGAATCAGTTTTATTAAGATCTCAACTTTTACATCGATCATGGAGAAACTCTGAAATCATGACTAATTTTTTATTCTGTTTGGCTGAAAGCACATTGAATGATGTTTTGAAGTCAATGTTCTGAGGCTTCATTCTGGTGAATATTAGGAAGGCCCTTACATATGAACCACTACAGTATTTCCCCTGATTTCACCTCAGGTGCTAGTGAAGGTTTGTAGGTTTGTAGGCTCTTTTGAAGGGGTTAAATTTGAGTCTCAAGGACACTAGTGAATTGGTAACAGGTTCAGTAGGTATTCAAACATTGGTTTGATCTTTCCTTCTCCCATATAACTGTGCTCTTGTACAGAACTTTGTGGGTGCTGATGAGTCTCCCTATGACTCTGTGCAGTGAAGACCATTTGCCTTGAAACACTGGAGTCTGTCCAGGGATCCAGGGAGCTCTGCTCCTATATGGCATGCAAGCCAACTTCAATCTGGTAGGGAGGCACAGGTCCCTAAAATCTGGATTACTTCTAAGCCATTGGCTTCTGACATTAACCTTCTTACATAGCACTTAGTGTAGACAGTATATCTGTTGACCTGTCAACAATCATCCCAGAAAGTCAGAGATTGATATAAGAGTCACTCAGTAAATGCTTGAGAACAAAATACAGCTCATGAAATGCAAGCATCTATTGAGTAAACACTGTGTGTTTGGCCCAAATATGGGGTAGGTAAGCATGATAAAGACAACCATTACAACATTGTATAAAAGAAGGCCTAAAAATAATAAATATTTACTTCCTGCTAGGCACTATGCCAAGAACTTTAGATACCTTCCCTGTTTGTTTATGTACAAAACTTCAGTGATGGTAGCAATATGTTGCATTAACTGATGCCTTACTCTGCCTGGCAGTGTTCTAAACATATTTCATATATTACCTCATATGATATGTATATAATAAATCCAGGAAGTAGGTATTATTATTAATATCCCCACTTTACTGGTGAGTAAAGTATAATGATTAGGCATACCTGGTGTAATTATCTCAGTGCTGTCTTCTAAAAATATCCAGCTTTAGGCCAGGCATTGTGGCTCATTTCTGTAATCCCAGCACTTTGGGAGGCTGAGTTGGGTGGATCACCTGGGGTCGGGAGTTCAAGACCAGTCTGACCAATATGGTAAAACTCTGTCTCTACTAAAAATACAAAAATTAGCCAGGCGTGGTGGCGGGCACCTGTAATCCCAGCTACTTGGGAAACTGAGGCAGAAGAATCACTTGAACCTGGGAGGCACAGGTTGCAGTGAGCCGAGATCATGCCACTGCACTCCAGCCTGGGCAAGGGAGTGAGACTCCATCTCAAAACAAAAACAAAACAAAACAAAAAGCTTACCAGTTTTCTTTTCTTTCTCACATAGTAGGGTTATATGCCTTGGCTCACTGGTGTTTGGATGAACAACACATGTTTATTGACTAGCCAGAGCATTTAATTGCTGCTGCAAGAGTCAGTAGGGCTCCCATTTTTTTCACAGTGACCTGAAATGTTCTAGAGGGTAGCAGCTATACAAGGCTGGCTTCCAGACTGAGGACAATGTGGAAGCAGAGCTCTTGGTCAATTTGGGTTGAACAGGTAGCATGAGTGGGAAAGAAATCTTTATTGTTTTAAGTCACTGAGATATCTGTTTGTTACTGCAGCACAAGCTTCTCCATCCTGACTTCTATGCTCAGCTAGTAAGTGGGAGAGCAGTAACAAAACATGGGCTAATTGATTCTAGAGCCTGAGTCCTTAACTATTATTCCTAATTTCTTCCTATGATGTAGGTACTTTATTTCTTCAAATTTAAAGATAAGATAATGAAGGTTCTTATCTTCATTAGTGTCAATGAGTGCCAGCAGGGGAAATGCCAGAGCTTTTAATGCTGGCTCAATTTCTCAGAGTTAGTAAGTGAAAAATCTGGGTCTTGTACACAGGTTTATACTACTTGACACTGTTCCATAATGTTTACCTAAACATAAGACATAGTTTCTGTTGTGGACTTTGCTGGGCAGTTTATGCTATAATACAGTCAAATGCATAGCAATGTAGAAAAACATAAAAAGGAATGACTTCTTGGCTGTAGGTATAAAATCTTTTACAGAAGGGGTTACAGATGCAACATATATTGATAGATCCGGTAGGCAGAGTTTTAACATACACCTAAAGATTCCTTCTTCTTAATGTGTATAACCTAAACATTCTCCTTCCCTTGAGTGTGGGCAAGACCTGAGAATATGATGGATGTCACTCCGCTGATTAAGTTTTATTATGTGACAGATAATGTGGATGGCAGATTTGGTAGATATAATAATTCTATAACTTTGAGTTAATGAAAAGAGAGACTATCTTAGACAGACTTGACTGAACTAGTGGAGAAATAGAGCTGACCAGGAAGAAAGTCTGGACTTCATGTCTAGATTCTGATGTTTAAGCACAAGCAGAAAGCAGAGTTACCGAGTATACCACTCTGTGGTATCCTTTCAGAGGTTCTATGATATATAGTCTTGATTTCATTGCAAAATAACTGCTGATTTTGCTTTCTCCCCAAAAGAAGATTACAGATTGTAGAGATGTATGACCATGCCCATGTGACTTCTCTCCTTACCAAAGAGACAGACCATGAAACAGGGTAGAAGGGAACTGTCAGACATAGGACTGACTCATGGCACCTCCACTTACCAGCTGACTGATCCTTGGCAAGTTCCTTTACTTAGCCTCATTTTCCATGTGGGTAAAAGAGGCAATTATAAATGTCCTGGGGCTATTGTAAACATTGTTAGGTAATATATGTAAAAAAATTTGCACTTAGTAGGGACTCAATAATCAATTACTGTTTGTATTAATCTGTTCTCACACTGCTATGAAGACATATCTGAGGCTGGGTAATTTAGAAAGAAAAGAGGTTTAATTGACTCACTTCCTCATGGCTGGGGAGGCCTCAGGAAACTTACAATCATGGCAGAAGGCACCTCTTCACAGGGCAGCAAGAGAGAGAATGAGTGCCAGCAGGGGAAATGCCAGATGCTTATAAAACAATCAGGTCTCGTGAGAACTCACTAACACAAAAACAATACGGGGGTAAACCACCCCCATGATTCAATTACGTCCACCTAGTCCCACACTTGACATGTGGGGTTTATGGGGATTACAATTCAAGGTGAGATTTGGGTGGGGTCACAGAGCCAAACCACATCACTGTTGTCAAAAGCAGTGTGAAGTAGAGAAAGAGCTAAGGCTGAGGAGTGAGAAGATCACCAGACTTTGAACCTTAGTTTTCAATCTATTAGCTATGTGACCATGAGCAAGTTTTACCTCTTTATTACTCTCTATTCACTCATCTATAAAAGGAAATAATATTTTTCTTGAAGAGTTGACATAAGAATTAAAAATAATATTTACAAATTTCCCATTCCACTGTCTGTTATAAAAATCAATAATTGATAACTATGACAATTTATTTATTGTTATCAAGGTGGCCATGGCCAGTAAGGATCTCTCTAAGCTGGTGGTATAAAATGCCTGAAAAAACATGCCTCACAGCTCAGAGTGATATTAATAATCCTACTCAAATACATTAAGTCCTTAAAGTTGGGGCGCCATTCACTTCTCCACTCTGACACTCTGACTGATAGACCATACACAGAGAAATGTCAATGAATTAGCAAAATAATATAAAACAAAGCTCTCTCCAATGTGGGACTTTCTGTTAAAAGCTGGCTAAAACAAGGTAAGACTAATACCAAAAGGGGATGTTCATCTCACATGTTGGATTTATACTATGAATCTGCAAATTCAGGCATGCCCACAAAGAGTGTGAGCAAGAACAAGAGAAAGACAGAGATGAAACTGAGATAGAGAGGTATGGCTGAACATGAGCAAAAAGTGCAGCCCAAGTCCACTTACCCAGCCTATTGCATTGGAAAAGTGAGTGTTTCCTCATCTATGTAGCCAGAGCCATAAGTAGAAACAATGTGTCAGGGAGGTCCAGCCCTGTGTGTATACTGGATAGGAGCAAGATATAAAGAAAAATTTGCCTTACCAGAGTCCAGAAAGTGAAGAGGAAGGGGCTGGTGGGAGCCAGGATCTTTGCCCATTAGTGAACACATATGTTGACTGACCAATGTGGGTTATAAGGGTATGGCCCACTTGCTCCAATATGGATCAATTCTGAAGGACATTCCAGTTCCAAAGTTCCCGTGGGGTCTGCTGAAGTCTTTTGTTGTTACTGCATTTTGGTTCAACATCTCCCTCTGCCCAGTCCTGCTTCTTTCACTCGCCTACAGGTCTTGATCCTAAGAACATTTTTTTTTTTTTTTTTGAGACTGAGTCTCACTCTCTTGCCCAGGCTGGAGTGCAGTGGTGTGATCTTGGCTCACTGCAAGCTCTGCCTCCTGGGTTCATGCCATTCTCCTGCCTCAGCCTCCCGAGTAGCTGGGACTACGGGCGCCTGCCACCACACCTGGCTAATTTTTTTTTTTGGATTTTTAGTAGAGACAGGGTTTCTCCGTGTTAGCCATGATGGTCTCAATCTCCTGACCTCGTGATCCGCCTGCCTCGCCTCCCAAAGTGCTGGGATTACAGGCCTGAGCCACCAAGCCCGGCCAGAACATTCTTAATAAGACCCCTGTGTAAACCTCCATCTGAGTCTGCTTCTCAGGAAGGTAACTGAGGAAACCTTCACTAAGTCCTCCCTCACCCATTTTCAGTGAAAATTAGGTTCCTTTTCCTGAAATCCTCTAGCTGTTTTAGATGTTTCTTTTACAGATTTGGTACATGACTGCCTTGAAATTTCTATTTGTGTTTTGTTTTCCTTATCGCACTAGTGACTTTCCAAAAACATGGTCTTGTCTGATCCATTGCCATCTATTCTACATTTCCCAGCTTTTTGCCTTGCATAGATAACAAATATCTGCTGAAATAATTAATTACACCCAGGCAATATGAATTGTCAGCCCAATGCCATCTCAAGAACTACACTTTGAAGAATAATTATGGAGCACATGGAGAAAAGCAGCTTATTTAAGGAAGTTAGTATGTCTACACAGATTAAAACTAGGGCTTTAGCTTTATTTCCAGGGGTAAGGAGAAGGAGCTACAGTAAATGTGAATAGTGAAGCAAATGTTGGATAATAGTTGACTGCTGAGCGTGCAGCCTTGGACTACTAAAGAGGGCAAGACTGCTACTCAGATTTAGCCAATTACTGCCATATGGGATGTATTGCACATCCTCCAATTTTTTCAAGATAAGCTGGAAATTCAGACTTTACATAAAAATTTTAAATCTTTCAAATACATGTAGGCCAAGCAAATGTTTATAAATCACATTCAACCTGGGGAGCCACAAGTCTGAAACTCCTGGGAAGGAACTCTTAGGTTTTAAACACCTTTGGTTTTCTGAATTGTGTGTACCTGTCCAAAAGAGTTGTATTTTATGAGAAAATGATGAACTGTATTCATTTGGAGGGTCATTTCTATCTACTGTTATGTACTTAATATTTCTCACTGAGAGGACTAGATGAAGATGGTTAGGTGCTGAGCACAATATTTGGACCATAATTTCCAGAATGTTTTAGGAGTTTCTGAAGAAAGGTGCAATACAGCTGTGAGATAATTGTTGTTATTGTTTTTAATGTCTCTTTTTTCACCTTCAAGATAAGCTTGTGAAATGGCTGGCTAACAATCTCACTGTTTATTGAAAAAGGCAGCCAGATCATTCTGTGCCAGCATTATTGCATTTATATTTCAAGGATACAAAAATAGAAAATCCAGACCCAAATCTAAATCTTTTCTTCCAGCATACAAAGAAATATATCTCTTCTTTCTTCCATCTGATCACTCCTGACATCTGTGCAGTAAATATGGATTAGATAAGAGCACAAACACTAAATTTCTTTTGTTGCTTCTAACTCATAAAATAAGATTATTAGGTATGGGTAAGAAAAGAGCCTTGGCTGTGCACCCAGGGTTGGCTGTGCACACTTAAGGTTGGTATTGTAAATGGAGGAGGCACACATGTGTGTGTGTGTGTGTGTGTGTTGTGTGTCTTTGTGTGTTAATCATCTAAGCTCAAACTATCAAGTGGTAGGGGTGGGTCGGATGTGCAGAACTCCTTTGTGAAAATGCTGGGAAATTCAATGGCCTATTGAGGAAAATGCTATGATTTCCTAGTATTTCAATGGTGGAGAATTCAGCTCAAAGAGTTATATATTGTTTGCTAAGGAGAGAATCATTAGGTTAGAATCCGATTTACTTAACTTGGGACATTAGTGGGGCTAAGCAACTAAGAAACAAATAACTATCCAGATTTATAAATCACTGTGCTGAAATTGTCTGTGAAAAATACTGAGAAAGTCCCACTTTTTCTTTCTTTTTTTTTATTATACCTTAAGTTTTAGGGTACGTGTGCACAACGTACAAAAGTATGCTTTTATTTTGTATAAAGTGAGAGAAACCACATGAACTGAACAGCTTATGGGTTGTCACCATTTATACAGAGTTAGATTATGGCATGAACATCAGTCATAGATAAAGAATAGAGATAAGAGGTAAAGGATAGTATATCTTTTTAAATCAATTAGAATTATTTGTCTATTTGGACTAAAATGTCTCACTTTCAATAGTAAGTACATCAGATTCAATTAAAAAATTAAAATATTATCTGAAGGTTTTCTTAAACTTTATATCTTACTTTAAACATGAAGATTTAGTCTCAGTTGATATTCTTTAAAAACAATTCTTCATAAATAGTTTACAGGCATTAATTCAACTAACGGAGTTTTAATTTGTATAATAAAGCTAGCAACTTGATTCTAGTGACCATGCTAAATGTTTTTACTTGTTTTATATATAATTCCACTGATTTTGAAGAAAAGATTTATAAATGTCCATAAAATGGACCTACAAATGTTATTTTAAAATAGTTTTCTTGCACCAAGCATTTTCTTTCCACAGGGTTTTCTTGGGTCACGCCCTCCAATTTAGTAAGTGGAGGAACAAGCACAAAGAAAGAATAAAAACAAGTATTTCAGAGCTGATGAGAAATAGAACCCCTCCAATTTCAGTGGCTTTTCATTCACACTGGACAATATCCCTTTTTTCTCCATGGTACTTCTCAGCAGCATTGCTGGCTAAATGGTATTCTCATGACAGCACAAGCCTGTCTCTCCTGTGACTATTTCACCAGGAAGTGAAGAGTGGGCTGATTTCATGTCATATCATCAGACTAGAGTCCTTGTCCAGTTTTCAGAGTTTTGTAGCAGCTACACAGGGAAATTGAACCATTTGGTTTCAATTTTTCATGTTCCTGGCATTTTATGCCAGGCTTCTGTATGGACCTAAAGATGAGTCTCTGCCAGATACCGACAATAAAGTACATGGATTAGAGACCAACAGAAGTCTTTCAGCTTCTGAAGGGCTTATCCACTTACATCTGGCTTTCTGTATTAAATGTCGATGAAAACATTTGGGTAGCAATTACTGCCCTGGACTTCTGCTAGAGGCTCCTGAATTCAAGGATCTTTGACTCTTGACTAGTGAATCTCATCTTTATGGCACCCTTAAGCAACCTGGACTCTTGTTCAGACTTTCACAGCTCTCTCTTAGCTCTCATCTACTAAGAACTCAGCTGACTCATCCCTAGTAATCAGCCAGGCTCTATCGTGCTCACAGTGCTGAAACACCTCCCCCCAGAATCAATGTTTCTAGAATAATATTATTCAAATTTTCTCACCAAAGTACCCTTAAATAAAGAGGAGAGTGAACATATATTTCTATACAGTATAGGGGAAGAAAATGGAAGAAATTTGTAGGCCAAATTAAAAGGTGATGCTAATGACATGTGAAGCTATATCCCAAAGCCTAATTTTTAAAATTGTAATTTACCTTATAAATTCACATCACAGTTTAACATTTAAGCCTATAATATATAAGGCCAAATTATATGATACAGTACATAATTTTACTTTGACACTATTTAATAATATATTAATATAGAACACATCAATATGTACAATAATGCAATTCTTACCAGTTCCATATAAAATATTTCCCCTAAATATTTGAGTAAAAATAATTGTCCAGGATGTTGTGTTAATTTTATCCAGTGTTTTTTTTTTTACTTTTATTACATACTCCTCCCAACTCATATCCACCACTACCCAGAGGTATAAGGAATGTATGATGAAAAACATTGTCTTATCAGAACGCTAGCTAGTTGACTCAACTGCCTGAAACACTTGCTCAGAGGCCTAAGATTTTACATTTTTATGCAGTTTTTACTTTTAATATAGTACATCTATTTCATCCCTTCCCTCTTTAAAAATGTCTATAAGGAACAGCAGAGTAAATTCACAATTAGGAGCGTTGTCAAATGTAATTTCTTTGGAAGTGAGTCACTTTATCTTTTAATAAACTGTATGGAGGTGAGAATTGCGTGCAGAAAAAGAAAATAAATCTAAAAATAATGGAATATAGTTAACTCAATATTGATTATTTAGAGTGAAAATATTTTATGGGAGGCAGTAAAGCCTTTTAGGATTCTAGTGGGAAAATGTGGGTGTAAATGTGGAATAAATTACTACAGTTTAATCACTTGGTAAATAACTAAAATACTGTTGCTGGATTTATGGTGTCACAAAGCAGCCTCCTATGAAATATAGAACATGTTAGTGATTCAGGTGTGATGGATTTTAAAGAAACTGTGTAAGAACCATTGCTGTCTGTATAGCTTGCCCTTAGCATTTCTCTTCATGAGTCTTCCCTGAATGTGGTTCCATTTCTAAATGTCTTGTGTTTGTAAAACAATAAATTTTTATTTAAAGGAAGTCCAGTGGATTCTGAAGTATCCGTTTAAGACCCTTATTTACCTGTGCTACTCACACTCCTGATTGTTTTTATTGAAACCTTTTATGATTCTACTTTACTTTACTCCTTTGCATCCAGGCCTGGTGCTTTCGCTGCAATCCCGTGGCTGTATTTGACTCCAGTGTGTTTTGTGGTGATGGCTATAGTTATAATTTTGTGCAAGCTGACAAAAATAATCAATCTCCAGATATTTAACATTTTCTAGCTCCCACTTGCTTTATCATGATAAAGCATTGATCTGGAGAAGTAGAAAAACTGGGCTAGTAATAGAGCCTCTCATCAAAACTATACACACTGTGGGAAAGTTAGACATTGACTCCAACAAAAAGTAAGGCAACACAAGCCTGGGCAACACAGTGAGACCCTGTCTCTTAAAAAAAAAAAAAAGTAGCAGGGCATGATGACACACACCTGTGGTCCCAGCTCCTCCAGAGGCTGAGGCTGAAGGAATGCTTGAGCCTAGGAGACTGAGGCTGCAGTGAGCCATGATCTCACCACTGCACTCCAGCGTGGGTGGCAGAGAGAGACCCTGTCTGAAAAAAAAAAAAAAAAAAAGGCCAACACACATGTCCATTATCCCTCTCATCAAAATACTCTTCTACTCTTCGAAGTTCTCAACAATTCTGATATTTTAGGAACTTTTTCTTAACATTTTTATGATAATGTTTGCCTCCTTTGTCCCATTTTTCATAATTGACTAGAAAATAGGGAAATATTTTAAGCCTCACTAAGTTGTAATTAATCAATAAAATAATGTTTTAATTATGGATCATATTAATTATATATATATTCAGATATTTATATTAAAATAACAAATACAAGAAAGTACAAAATGATAAGAGCATGAAATACAGAAAAGTTAATATTGAATTACAACGCAGCCTCTAATACTAAATTTAAAATCATTTTCTTGTTTTCAGTAAACTTTACGTTTTTTCTCATGTGTGATATTTCCTTTGCCAAATGACCTTCCATCGGATGGAACCACATGAGATTGCCAATATCTAAGTGCATCAGTCAGGGTTCAACCCAGAGAAAGAGAACCAACAGGATGTATAAATTTAAAGATTTATTGCAAGGAATTGGCTCATGTGATTGTGGCGGCTGGCTAGGCAAGTCAGAAATCATAGGGCAGGCAGCCAGAAAGGGCAAGCTGGAACTTTCAGTACAGGCTGAAGCTGCTGTCCATAGCTGGGATTGCTTCATCAGGGAATCTTAAGCTCTGTTCATAAGGCCTTTCAACTGATTAAATGAGGACTATCCAGAATAATATCCCTCACTGAAAGCCAATCGATTATGGACTTTAGTCATACTTACCAAGTATCTTTGCAGGACACCTATGTTAGTGTTAGATGGAATAAATGGGGGTTGTAACCTGTCAAGTTCACTCATCAAAGGACCATCATATGAACCTTTCTGGACCACTAGACAAAGCAACTAGATGTGGTTTGACTGAATTGTTAAACACAACTTCCAAGATTCTTCCTATATCTATATAACTTACCTATTTTAGGACTTAAAAAATGCTTTGAAATTACCTTGGACCCATCAATGGGAAGACATTTGATAGCTTCTTAGATTTTTCCATGGCCCTGAATCATATTAGAATGTTTATTATTATTCCACATGAAAACCGTTCAGTTTTTTGAAAGGCTGCCTTTAATTAGTCTTCTCTTCTAGACATGACCAGCTTCATTAATTGGGCCTCAAGGGAAACCTTTATGGTGGTGACTAAGAACATGGCTTTTGAAGACAAATGAGAATTCAAAACCACTATCTGTTCTCTGTAACATAAGTTACCTTGGACAAGCCACTTAACCTTGCCTAATTTTACATTTCTCACCTATACAGTAGAAATGTTAATACATACCTTATAAAGTTGTCATGAAGATGAGGTGGTGTCTTAGTCCAGATTTACCCTAGAAACAGAACCTGAGACAAGGGTGTATGTGCAGGTGGATTATTTTCAGAAGTGACCACGAGAATTTGGACTGTGAAGAGCAAAACAAGGAAAGAGGAAATGCTAGTTCAAGGTAAATTCTTGTTCCCATACCTACTAAAGGCAGCTGGGAGTTGATCCAATAGAGATCCTGCTAAGTGCCCCCCAGGATTTCCTGCTTCAAGGAAGAGGGTAGTGTTTATCCTCTAACTCCCACCTCTCACTGGACATAGGCTATTAACTCCTTCCCATTTCTTAGTTGCCTCAGCATCTCACATCGAAATATTAGAGGAGATTTGTGTTGCATGATGAGCCTGAGATGAGGTACTATCAAGAGGTTGTACCTGCATGCAGCTGTTTGTTATGGTAAGAGCTGGAGTAAAAATGTGAGAATAGGATACAAGGGAGGGTAAACTGGTGCTTGAATCAGATGAAGTAACATGTGCAAAGTGTTCAGACTGGTAGCCAGTATATAATAAGCACTAAATAAATGCTAGAATTTGAAAATACAGTAATAAGGTTGATGGCAACAATAATGATAATAGTGATAAGTATAATAATAAATGCCATGGTTTTCAGATCACCCTGTTTTTCTGCTTCTAAAGACATGCTCATGGTTATAAATCTCCTTAAAATGCATTGCTTAAAACAGAATTAAATACTGCAGATTAGTATGACCAGCTCAAGGTAAAATGGGATTAGCACTTTACTTCTTGTGACCATATGAATTCATATTATTTCATCTATGATTACTATTTTGGCAATAGTGATACACTATATTTGTTACTTATTTTGAAGTTCAAATAATCCTTAATCTTTTTTTCCAAAACAAATATATTTTAAATATATTCCATAACTGTCTTAGTTTTTGAACCTCTATTCAGGATTTTATGCTTATTTTAATATATATGGAAAATATTATATAGTAAAACAATGATTGGCTTTGAATTTTGTCTTTGCCATTCACTAGCTATCCAATACTGATAAATTAACTGAGCTTTTTTAGGCCTTTGTTTCTTGATCTGTAAAAAGAGAATAATGTTGCCTGATTTATTAGATTATTAATATATGAAATCATATATCATTTGTATAAGGTGCATAAATAAATATGTACTAATTTTTGTTTTGCTTTCTTTGCCCTTTATAGTTCTGGCATACTATTTCAGTTTCACCAAGGCCATTTTAAATTTTGATTTGTCATATAACTTATTAAGTTATTCATTCCAGGTTATTATTCACAATTTTGTAAGCAAATTCTTTATGTTTTAATTGATTTTCAAGACAGTTCTAAATCCAGTGTCCCTTTGTTTCAAGGATAATCTTCACCTAATTTGATATACATGAACTTTTCTGGGATGCCTCTATTCAGGCCAGCTTTGGTTTCATGTTACTCTAAATTCTCTCATTTTTTTCTATTTAATTCACAATAAAATCATAGGATGGTATCTGTTAAATACCTTACAGAAAGTCTAGTGCATTTTTACTATAGAGTTTGTATGCCCCTAAGCCTTGGAATATGACAATAAAGAAAGCAATAATTTCAATTATTTCCTCATCTTGAACCAACCAAATCTCAACCTATATTTACATACACAAAACGGCCCAGTTATTTTTTATTTTTAAATAAACAATAAGCTGACTTGGCAGCACTCACAAGAATAAATTACGAAGCAAATTTTTGACCCAAATTCTGAGAGTTAGACTTCTCACAACAGGTAATTTTTTGAGGGAGGATGGGGGATATGGTTTTATACATTACTCTTTACACAGTCCTGAGAAACTTTGAAGATCTAGCTGCGCTTCTTGGATTAACAAGCCAAGGTACCAGCTTCGCTAAGGAAAGCTTGGTGAAAATGTCAGTATGGGCAATGAAAAATAGCAGTTTAAAACTTCACAATCTTAAAATAGATGCTAGAAAATGTCAACGCTGTAAACAATTGATTGCCAGCATCTAGTGTTGCCTGACGTACTTGAGTCAGTACGTTTCCAGCATCAAGGTTATGAAATTTGCAGATAGTAAATCTATATTATTTACAGCAAAGGACACACCTGTATTATTCTTGTTGTTTTTATTTTGCTGCCAAGTGTTGAGATAAATCAAGGCCCTTATACTCTGAGTCAATAGAAGCTTTATTGGCTTTCAATCATCAATTCTCGCTGCAGCAGCTGGAAAAATAAAAGTGGTATCTGTGGTTAGAAAAAGAAGAGTCTTTTTCTTTGCTTTTTATCCTCCTGTGTAGTTTGAAGGCATTTAAAATCACCATGTCATAATGGAACAAGTGTGGATCTAGCTAGAGATTGCTGAGCCATGGCATTGAGGTGGAAGTTAAGGCAGTGAAGTGAACCGGGAGGTTTATTGGATCTTCAGCATTTGCAGATGCCAATAGCTACATCAGGACCAGCATCCCAACAGCTATAGGATGGAGCACCTTCAGGGGTTACCTGAAAGGGCAATAGACAAGTATAATGATTTGACCATTCTCAGATCCAGGGTGATGTAGCACAATTTGCCATTCTACTGTCTCTGTGACAGTCTGTAGTGAGCCTTACTTTCCCTAAGACACGGACAGTTTCTCTCCAGGAATAAATAGAGAGAGGGCCAAATAGAAATTATCTTTCTTTAAGGGATAGACAAAAAAAATGGATCAATGATTCCCAATAATAGTAATAATGCTTAATGATATTCAAGGTTGAATTTATTGATTTTTGAATTTACTATGTGTCTGTGCCGTATGAGAAGGGTGCAACTCTTATCGTCTTTCTCCACATAGGGAAGCTAAGGCTGACGGAGGTTAAGTAATATTGCCCCAAGTGATAAGCTACTGGGTGGTGCATTGAGGATTTGGATTCAGATCTAACTGTAGCCCTATTGTCTATACACTGATGCATAAAGCTAAGTGAAAGAGACTTTTCCAAACCACACCATCAACCATGAGAATTATTTTAGTCTCCTCAGTACATTTTATTTTGTCTTGTACATTGTGCCTTCTTTGCTTGCCTCCTGCCTTGTTGAAACACCTAACTCCCATTTGGCTCTCAGTGGCTGTCTGTTAAACACTACCCCTTCTTAGAGGCCTTCCCTACGTCCACAGTTTAGGTCATGCCACTTTTTTGTGGGCACCTACAGAATCCCAGACTTATCTCCAGTATAACCCTGATTACTTGCTGTTCTTCATGAGATTCTGAGGCTCTCAAAGGCAAAGGAATTTATATTTCATGCTAAATCTCCAGGGCTTAGCAGAATTCCTAGAACACAGTGTATACTTTGAAAATGGTAGTCAAATGACATGAATTAGTAATATCATGACCAAATCCTTCGTTTAATATAGGCTTCCTTCTCTATTTTGAGAACTTTATATATATGTATGTATGCATATATATATGTATATGTATATTTGTTTTCATATGTTACATGTGTTTATGTGTGTATTTGACTTCAGCATTTTATTTTCTATCTATTTTGTTCTTTTAGTGACTTTTGCTAATTTCATAAAAGGGAGTCAGATGAACGTACAACTGAAACCCAGACAAAATTAGTTGTTTAATGATACTAGACCACAACAACAAAATAAAACCAAAGAAACCTCCTTTTGTTTCCATTTTAACTCTTAGCAAAGGCCTTGATGCTATCATCTTGGCTGCTATACTTTCTTCTTACCCCTTATTTTTCTCCTTTCTTGTGGCTGCCATTGCTAATTCAGCATGAAGACACATCCCTGATTAACTGATGTGTCAAATCAGTCATCATCAGACTGTATAATCTTGGTTACCATTTATTAATCAATTAATTACTTCAACAAAGATGCCAATGTTGGCATCCTTGCTACTATGCCTGGTGAGCCAGGGCTCCATGAAGTCTTGAGACATTTGCTAAGATCATTAGCTAGAAACCCTGAGTGGATTGATGGTGTGCCAGGAAACATCAGTTGGAAATAACTATTATATCTTGTCACCCCTTAATATACTGCTTCGATTATATTTTTATTGACATTAAACTTATTGGGAACTTTTCTTGGAGTAGAAGTTGATCTTTATGAAATTTCATGATCGATGTGAGAAAACATTATGTATATAGTTTATAAATACACATATGTGTGATTAAACATATGTATAACAGGTGAAAAAAGCTAATTTAAAGCTTGCATTGATTTAATGATATTTATGAACTGCGTAAGATTTTTTTCCCTATTGACAAAAACACTTTCATGCAATCTGGTGGGTTTTTTTATAGCATTCAAAGAGTGTTCAGCTTTTAGATGTGTAATTATCATACCTAAAAGCAAGGTACAACATCTGGAATGAGGAAAGGAGCAACAACAAACAGTAGAAGCTCATTTATTTCCAAGCTGGAAGGTGGTAAAAGGAAATCACAATATTCACACCTGGGTGTGCAAATTAATATCTATTACATTCCATTCAGAATGCTGGCAGCCCCTATTATAAGAATTGTGTGAATGTATAAGATAACTCTGCCACAGCCTTTTGGTGTTATCATGACAGCTGTATGATGGAGCACCTTGCATCTAGAGCAAGGAAAACTTGGGCACAATAAGGCACGTTTAACAGGATTTTACTATATATGTTTTGAGTCAAGTAATGAAATACAATTTCGTATCATCCAATCACCATTTCTGCTGCTGACAGAATAACTTCTGCCTTGGGAAACACATTGCAAAAAACCACTGCCTTCCTTGTGTTTAGGGACCAATGATTGAATTAGGCTTGTAATACAGGTAACTATAATTTAGAGGTAAGCAGATAAGAATATAAGTAATGATATTCATTTGAGGTATACGTTGCTAAAGGTTGGGGACCTCTACCAGGAAAAGCAACTGCCAAGCTGCTTGTCTGGTTTTATTAAAAAATAGTTGTCAAACCCTGAAGGACATCTTTCCTTCCTTTTGTCAAGGGTGGATTATTTCATAATCAATGTTCTACTTGTGTCTCCAGAGATAGTTGTTGTTTAATTATGTATTGCCTAAATGTTATCTTCACAGCATAAATAATATATAGGCAATTGGTCTGGGATATTTGTACAGTTTGGAAAGGTAATATTGATCAGAGCTTCCTAGACATAACTGCTTCTGCATGGCCCAGAGCTGGAGAACACAGCACACATTTTATTACTTGATGAATTCTAAGGAAAGGATTGGGTTCTTTCTCCTGCTTGCATGCCATACTCCAGACTAAATGTGTGTCTATATATACATACACACATGCACACACACACAAGCATGCACACACACACATATATTTCTTGATTGTAAACAAAGTATATGTTTATTAAAGAAACTTGGAAAATATAGAAAGTCATAAAAAAATTAAAATTACCCATATTCTCATTACCAAAATACAAACATTTTATAACTATCATTCAACATTTATTCATTTATCAAATATTTACTGAGCATCTACTGTACACAGGCAGTTTTCCATGTGCTGGAAATATATTAGTAGCCCAAATAGGCAAAAATGTCTATCCTCTTGAAGATTACATTTCAGCGAGAGTGAGTCAATAAACAAATAATTAAGTAAACTTTGCAGTTGTTTGATACTATCCACTTGGATATTTCCACACTGCTCTGTGTCCTAGCAATAGGAATTCTAAGGATGAGCTCCTTTGCCCTCTGACTTCTGATTGGGTTCAGAAAGTGGCAGGCACTGGGAGAGATGAGAAGGTGGAGAGACAGAGGCCAGGGTATTTATTCCTGTTGGGCTGTGGATTCACATGGCTTTGTTCCTTTGTACAGGCCACAGCTCCTATCTCTACAGTTACAACTTTCTTATTCTAATAACTGCTCTTTTCTCTTGCCCCTTCATTCCCAGAAAACATATTGGCTCTTCCATTGTTGCTCATCCTGTAATGCTTTACAATTTCTTGCTGGTTTCCTTTCCTTCTGCTCACACCCTTGTACAGGGTCCCTCCATTAAATTCATCTCAATTACTATGGCTCTGTGTGCCATCCGTTTCTGTCTAGGACCGTACTGGATGCATTTAGTATGGTACAAATTTGCAAATGCTAACTTAACATCTTGAATTGTAGCTCCCATATTTCCCATGTGTTGAGGGAGGGACCCAGTGAGAAGTAATTGAATCATGGGGGTGGGTCTTTCCTGTGCTGTTCTCATGATAATGAATAAGTCTCATGAGATCACACAGTTTTATAAGGAGGAGTTCCCTTACACAAGCTCTCTTGCCTGTCACCATGTAAGACGTGTCTTTGCTCCTCCCTCACCTTCTGCCATGATTGTGAGGCCTCCCCAGCATTGTGGAACTGTGAGTCCATTAAATCTTTTTCCTTTATATATTGCCCAGTCTCAGGTATGTCTTTATTAGCAGTGTGAGAATGGACTAATAGAGCTAAAGAGAAAAATAAACAAGGGAAAGGAGATTGAAGGTTTTGAAGATCTTGGGATTTTAGGTGGAGTGTTCAGAGAAGGCTTCATAGAGAAAGTGAGTTTTGAGTGGGATCTGAAGGAAGCAAGCAAGTACAGTTTACACACACTCACACAGGCTGACACAGAAACTGACAGAGAGAGAGAGAGAGAAAGGGAGAGGGAGAGAGAGATCGTTCACTCTAGGCATGACACATTAATATATTACAAGAATAGAATCTGATTTTGGCACATCATGTTCTTGTAACTTAACAGTGCGGGAGCATTTCCCCATGCCATCAAATATACTTTTATTTTTCAATTGTAATGGCTGTAGGGAGCTTTGTTTTAAGATGATAACATACTTTATTTAATTGATCCCCTGCTTTTGGACAATTAGATTGACTTTACAACTCCATTATTATAAATGAACCCTGTTGACAGTTCTTACTTTCTGAAAGCATTGTACCAATTTTCAGGGCCTATTGGGTCATCTTTCAGGAATCACTGTTTTGCTCTTAGAGAAAATGGCAGAATGGGCTTGGTTCTGGGGGCTGTTAGTGTCAGTCTTTGGGAAAGATTCATCATTGGCGTGCAAAAGGGTAATTTCGGAAATGAGAGTGGGCTATATAATTACCATATTGAATAGCAAGAAGCAACATCTGGAATAAGGGAAAATGTAACAAAGGGAGTAATACCTTTATTTTTTTTCCTAAGCTGTATGCTTGTGAGGTGAAATGGAAGTACAGTATTCATTACTGCAGCCTCATTTCACCTGATGAGTCTTTGCCTCACCCACAAGGTTCCTGTTTCTCAAGCTGATCAGTAAATGAAGAATCCCTGGAAGTGCTAACTATACTGTTTTTCTGCCTAAGCTCCTCCCTTTGGAGGAAGGTACATGAAGCTTGTGTTGGCATGCACGCAGACTCATGTGATTGAGTTTGAGGACAGAAAGGTCTTCCTGCTGGCTGTGTTTGGAGTCTGAGTGAAAGATGAGGGTGGCGTATCGATTCGCTTTACCTTGTTAGCCCTCCGTGGACTATCCTGTTCTCAGCCAATCTCAGATGACATGTGTCACCCACAGAATGAGATTCTCACAGAAACATACTTTTGTCAGGACCCTGAATCTCCTGCCTCTAATTTTTTCCTGAGACAGATTTTATTCTGCACTGATTTATTTCTGTAAAATAAGAAACTAAATGATATTTATAAAAAGTAATGCTTTGTACATATTTAATAAAGATTTATTATAATTACATCTGAAGATACTTTACATCATTTATAGCTATTATTGACATCATTCTTCCTTTCTCTTTCTTGCTCTTTCTCTATTTTAGTCAAGATCCCTCTCCTTAGTGATATTATGCAGAAAGAGGCCTCAAAAGGTTATTTAAAAGTCAACCCAAAGTGAAGAGATAAACTCCTGTGCTTGCTCTGGCTTTTAAAAAGTTCTGTTTCCTCTTGTCTTTTTTTATATCTCAATCACACCTCCTGAGACTCCAAATGCCAGCATAAATATAGACAGAAGTCACTAAGTTTCTCAGGCACTGACAGAAAATGAATCAACAATGGCAACTGCACTGCTCAGACTTGAAGGGGCCTTCATTGTTAAGCAAGTTTGGCTCAGAGGTTTTTATCTCTGAGGATATTTGCTATCTTTTTCCAGCTGTGGAGTGAGTTATAATAACAGCTCTGGGGTATGAAACACAGGAAGAGTTCATGTAATCAAAGAAATCCCCTATTCTCGTAAGTGATGACTTTGCAAATATTATTATTGCCTACTCACACATGAAGAAACTGGGGCTCACAGAAACCCAAAACTATATAGCTCTTGTGTCAGAACTCAACAGTAAATCTGAACATACAGAGCATTCACCATGACTGCCATGTGTGTGCATGGTCCATGTTGGGATGGGCTTGGGATGACTCTACAGAAAGTTGCAGGGCTAAACCCATTTTAAAAGTTGCACAGCTAATCCAATAAGGTGTATGCTGGGATCCCCTAGTAGAATGATTTCAGAAAGTTTCCAATGCGGGATTTCTAGTTCTGCTTTTTATACACTAGAAAACTGAAAAAATAAAAGAGGACCTATCGGAACATAAAGTTTAGTGACTTTAGTTATAACACTGGATGTTCTATTCTTCTCGTGTTAATTTAGAGTGGTTCTTCAGAGACTAAAATAATGGACACATTCTGTCGTGACACTAAATTATTGAAATATTCAGTTCCTTGAATATTCCAAGTATGCCTCCACATGATTTCTATCATTCCGGGCCATTCCATTCTTCCTGTCCCACTGTCCTTCCAGGGAATGTCTTCCATATTTATGCTCACACATTTTGTTGGTTTCATTCCTGGTTATCCTTCAGTCCTCATTTCAGGTCACCACACTTGAGTGGAATGAATATTTCTCCTCAGCGTTCCCATCACTTTGCAAGTTTTACCCATTTTAGCTCTTAACCCTTAGTGCTGTAATTGTCTGTTTACTTGTCTATGTTTCCCACTAAATTGGAAATTATATAAAGGTAGGGGTATTGTCTGTCACATGGACTACTGTATGCCTAGCATCTAACACAGGACTGGTACATGACAGGTGCTTCATAAATCCTTCCAAAATGAATGGATGGATGGAAGCACAAATGAGGCTGGGCGTGGTGGTTCATGCCTGTAATTCCATCACTTTAGGAGACTGAGGTGGGTGGATCACCTAAGATTGGGAGTTCAAGACCAGCCTGACCAACATGGAGAAACCCCATCTCTACTGAAAATACAAAAAATTAGCTGGGCTTGGTGGCACATGCCTGTAATTCCAGCTACTCAGGAGGCTGAGGTAGGAGAATCGCTTGAACCTGGGACACAGAGGTTGCAGTGAGCCAAGATCGCACCATTGCACTCCAGCCTGGGCAACAAGAGTGAAACTCTGTCTCAAAAAAAATAGAAAGAAAGCATGAATGAATCAAGAGAATAAGTTGATAAATTCCTCTAGCAATTAAAGAGTTCTTGTTAAACCCTTTGCCCTCAGATCTACTACTCAGCTCACATCACTCACTACTTGAGATATTTGACTGATACATTTGAAGAGTGATCATTTAAAAAGCTTCATATCCCTGCTTATACTACCAATATCCATGCTTCAGCAGACTGATTTTAGGGTGTCCCTTATGTCCCCTCCTCATGATATCCACAGTTACTGTCACCACACAGAATGGAATGGCCCAACATAAAAATTTGGTTCAGGTATAGAGACTGATGACAACACACACACCAAGAAAGCATGCAAAGCTTTATGACTCACATAATGAGGCTCTCTGAGAAGAGTGGAGTGGCTCCCTGAGAAGGTCTAAAGTGGCTTGAAAATAGGAAAAAGAGGTTATCTTGAAGTTTTTGTGCTGTTTAGGCAGTGCAGCTGGGGTGAGGATTCCTGTGCATGACCAGGGTCATGTATGGTTTGAACCCCCTGCTCGTGTCAAATGGGTGGGCTCCCAGGCTTTCTTATCATCTTGACCCTATGTGGGGCACAAAGGGAAGGGGGAGGGGGTAGCTTAAAAACTGTCACAAGTCAGGCATTTTAATACACACATCCTTGTATAATTATACCTTCTTGAGTACAAGTAGGATTTGTGACTTAATTCTAATTAATATATTAACCAGGATAATGGATGATCTCCATTAAAACCACTCCTGTGATTATGTTACATTTAATAAGACTCAGTCTTTGCACATTGCAGCTAGAAGCTTGGTGAAATAAGTGGCCAGATTGGTGAAGCCCACATGGCAAAGAACTGTTTTTGGTCTCTAGGAACTTCGAGTAGTCTCCAAAACCTGATGGCAATCTCCAGCCAACAGACAAGAAGAATCCATGTCCCCAAATCCCTCAGCTACAGGGAAATTAATTTTTCCAACAACCTGAATGATCTTAAATGTGGATTCTTCCCCAGTCAAATCTGCAGATTAGAACACAGCCCAACACGGTTCCTCCATAATTGCCTTTCCAATCGATGTCACACTGTCACTATAAGTCCTTTCTAGATGGTAACTTTTCAGACTCACTCAACGTCTTCACTACTGTGCCAGTCTGATATGTGTGGTGAATTTTCAGAATTTTCCAAGTCTTTGATAACCCTGAATCACCCAACAAGGAAAATGGCACCTTAACAATGGCTTCTAATTTTTGAGAAATTTTATTTTCCAGTACTGGAAAATATTCCCAGAATAACTTTCATAAATTATACCATTCAGTCCTACATTAAACTATAAAATCAGTAACATCATTTTCCCTAAGGAAATGGAGACTCAGAGACTTTGAGGAGCTTGTGAGAAATAACCCAGCTATTCAGATCTGGAGTTCATGACTAGATCTATGCTTACTACAAACATTACTTCTCTTCTGTGGGAGGGTTTTGGCAATTTATATCTCCTGCTGATGGTAGTGCAATTTTACAACACTTTTACAATATAGCTTTCATTTTTACCTTTTTTACCCTAGGACCAGTTATTCTATAATAAATCTAGGCTTTTCATATTCAAGAGAGTTTAATGCCATGAATAAAGCACCCAAATTCAAGCGCATGGAATTTGGTTTCCTTAAGCCAGGGTCAGATTTGTTTTCATCATGATACACTCCGACTTCTGAATTATCGACTTGGGGGAAAAAAAAAGATGCTTTATTTCTGCTTTACAGTTTTCTTTGAGAATAGATCCTATTCTCATGGCTTTAGGTTATAGTATGTCCTGCTCAAAGAAAAATGTAAAGCAGAAGCAAACATAATTTTTATAAGAATTATTAAAAGAGACCAGCTGGCTGGGCACGGTAGCTCATGCCTGTAATCCCAGCACTTTGGGAGGCTGAGGCAGGTGGATCATGAGGTCAGGAGTTCAAGACCAGCCTTGCCAACATAGTGAAACTGCATCTCTACTAAAAATACAAAAATTGGCCGGGTGTGGTGGCACGTGCCTGTAGTCCCAGCTATTCAGGAAGCTGAGGCGGGAGAATTGCTTGAACCTGGGAGGCAGAGGTTGCAGTGAGCTGAGACCAGGCCATTGTACTCCAGCCTGGGTGACAGAGTGAGACTCCATCTCAAAAAAACAAACAAACAAACAAAAAAAAACAAACAGCTAAAACCAGAAAATTTGAGAGCAGATTACTTTTTTTCCAAGTGATACCTAATGTTAATTTATGCCTGGGCTGAAGGTCTACAAGCCAGGCACAGAAAGACAAACCTCACATGTTCTCACTTATTTGTGGGATCTAAAAATCAAAACAATTGAACTCATGGATATTTGTTAAGCAGTATTAATGCAGGAAGGGAATCTAGATGTCCTTTTGAGTCTCAGTGAAGCAGTACATCTCTTTGTTTACCTCTTAGGTAATTAATTAAGGCTTTAATTGTATTAGGTAAGGGGCGGATAATTCTTAAAAATATGTTTAAATGATTTGCGGAACATGAATTTATTCTTATGATAAAAGAGCTGTCTTTTCCAGTTGCCTTTTGCTGCATTGTTTCAGTTCTTTTCCTCTCTAATAAATCACAGAGGCTGGGATCTGGTCCCTTGGCTGAGAACTGTGTCTGAAATGGATGTTGTAGGTGGCCTAATAAAGCTTTCAGCTTAGGAGTTCCATTTTTGACCATTGATCTGGGTTGTATATCTTCCTCTGAATTGCTATCCTTTTTCTGGCCTTGGCCTGAAGTTTACCTTGGACTCAAGGAGAATATATGGGTTTTCCCCAATATTCCTGGAAATGAGGCTCATGAAAGAAAGATGCCATTCCCATCCTAATAAAAGGTAATAATAAGAAAATAATTCCACTGCAACAGACCCTGCCTATCCCACCCAAATCCCCTAGAATCTTCTTCTATTTGTTCATATACGTCCCATTCCCACTCCCCTCCTACCTCCTACCTGGTTCCTGTTACTCTGCCCTTAGATTACTCCTGCTGCTTTGCCTGTAGATGTATAGGACTAGAATAGAAAGTCCTATGATTTTTGAAGCTCCTTTTTTCCTACTACATCTGCTATGTTTTTTATTGAATGACTGAATAATGCATAAGTATGAAAGCTCATTTCCCTTCCTCGACTTAAGGGGGTGTTGGGAGATTTGGAGGGATGGCAAACTGAGGTGCAATTTATACTTTAGTTTTCTCCTGAAGGATCAGGCTGAACCTGGAACTTTTCCTGTAAGTGCATCTTTGCTTGGCTCCTTCTCCTTCCCTGTCCCACTTCCCCACTCCCTTCTGGCTCTCTCCTGGGAGCACACACCTTTGTTTTCATGATTTGCTTCTGAAGACCTCCGCCTAAGACAGCCACCAACCTTTTGCTGAGCCTACATTGCTGGTCGGTCACATTAAATTACTTAATTCTCATGAAAATTCTTTGAAGTAAATGTGACAAATTAATGTAGGGAAGAAATAATTAATCAGTTTTCCCAAATAGCCAGTAAATGTTGCAGCCCAGATTTGAACATGGATTCATGCAACCCTAGAACTCATTCTCTGACCCATGTGACATATGCCTCTCAACAGTAAAAGGCTGACATTAAGAGTCAAGAGTTTCATCATAAAATGGTAACCAAGGAACTGATTTATGAGTCGGAATTTTGGAATTCACACCACCCTTTTACTTGGCATGTGGGTTTAGACAGGTTGCTTAATTTTTCTTATTTATTTATTTGAGACGGAGTCTCGCCCTGTCACCCAGGCTGGAGTGCAGTGGCGCGATCTTGGCTCACTGCAAGCTCCGCCTCCCGGGCTCACGCCATTCTCCTGCCTCAGCCTCCCAAGTAGCTGGGACTACAGGCGCCCGCCACCATGCCTGGCTAATTTTTTGTATTTTTAGTAGAGACAGGGTTTCACAGGTTGCTTAATTTTCCTAAGCGTGAGCTTCTTCCTTTATAAAAAAATGAGAAACTAATATCTGCCCTCCTTGTTCTTGCTATTTAAAAATTATGATAGAATAATATGATGAAAGGCTGGGATTGCTTTGTAATTGAAAAGTATTAGAGGAAAGAACTAAAACTGGATGTGGATTTAATGCTGGGTTTCACAACTAACTAATAGTGTGGTCTTGGACAAAATAGTTCACCTCTGTGTGCAATGTCTGCTTCTATAAAGCAGAAATAATCATGCTGTTTTCATGTAGGTGCCAAGATTAGATGGAGTAGGCTGCTATAGCAAATTCTGTCATGGAAGTAGGCTATGTCCCCTGTCTGGCACAAGGCAGTTGCTTGGTAAATGTTAGATGTGCCCATCTTCTTTACTTCCCTTCTTTAAGTAGATGCTTGGATTCAGAAATAACCTGGAATTGTTATTTTTTTCTCCAGCCACTTGCTCATAGAGGATGTGTATGTATGTGTATGTGTACTCACAAGCACATATTTTGATTAAGCTTTTCTTTGCTTTTATCAGTTGGTATACTTTCATTTTTACTATCTTTTAATGTATATTTTATGCCCAGTCAATGTCAGAAAACTTAATCTTGTTTGTTTCTATTTTCTCCCTTGATTTCTACCCAGCTCTGCACTTTAATGAAGCTTATTTTTCTCCAACTAAGTTCTTTTAATTTAAATTTTTTAAATCAAACACTCAGAAAAGAAAAGGGATGTGTGTGTGTGTGTCTGTGTGTGTGCGTGTGTGTTCCCTTCCCAGTGGCAGGTACTCTGGGCCATGCTCACAGTTAGGTACTGAATATTTGGACTAAATATTGGTCCCCAGTGACTAAAACTTGCTCTCTGGGAAGCATCGTAAACATTCAGATCAAGTGACTGGAAAGACCATTCAAGTTTCGCATTTGCAAGTAGAAAAGTTGAGAGAAGGCAAATGGCTTGTTCAAGACTAGAGCCTAGGACTTTTCACTTCAGATCCAATGCTTTTCCACCAGGCTTTCACCGAGACATGGGAGAGATATAAAAGTCCTATAGAAAATATTTTAAAATATTTTTAGTTGCTACTGAAAATATGTTTGTACAGTTTGTGTCTTCTCTCCTCTTGGCAACTGTTCAATAGTAGTACTCCTTTGATACAGTTAAAATTCAGTCCTTTCATAGTTCCCGACATCACCACCTTTGTAAAGATTAGACAAACTGAGAGAAGAAAGTCAAATGGTCCTAAGATTTTAACTATATCTATAACTGGTTGCATAAACTTGAATGGTTGTTTTGTCTCTCGGTTTCTTTTCAGTAAATTCAGAATGATAACATCCATCTTGATGCTTGTGCGGTAGAAAATACAGAGGCAAGTGAATGTGTCTGGGTTCCAATAAACTTTTATTTTCAAAAATAGGCGGTGGGCTGGAATTGAATTTCATAGGTTTAAGCCAACCCGTTTAAATAGTGACTACGAGGTAAAACCAGTATATGAAACCAGTTTTGTCTGCCTTTAGAGCTTAGTCTCTACAGTCTCCTTAACAAGTTTCAAGATTAGAAAGAAACCCAAATATATCATGCAAGATGGTGGTTTCTCAGTTTCCAAGATTGAAAGAGAAGGTGGCTTATGGACTGGCATGACAGATTCCTCAGAGGCAATTCCTGGAATCAGAGGCTTTGTGTCTGGGAAGAAGTGGCTGTATGTCTCAGGCAGGCTTTGCAGGTTTGGCCCTATTAAGTGATAGCAACATGGTACCAATAGGCCAGATGCACTTTGATTGTGCCTTGACATGTTCTGGCCTGGACCACAGACATGCCAATGCTTTGAGTTTACACTGAGGATCCCAGAAAGACTTCCCTCAGAATTACTGTAAATCCGTCTCCCAAGAGGCGAGGAACCTGACATTATTCAAGGGTGAAGGAAATAGCTAAGCCAGGATTCAGATCAGGTAAAGAAGAATCTGGATGTGGCCAATGCCTCCTGGTAAAACCACAGTCCATTGGCTTTGAAAAATAGCCCAATTATCTTCAATTTCAGCATGCAGGAAAATGATGCAGCATTGTGACCTCATACTATAAATCCCACACACATAAACACTCCCTATTCAATTAGTTGTTGCTCTAAATTGCTCTCATCTAAGAGAAACGAATAGCCAGTTCTATCTGTCACCCAGGGGAAGCATAAAGCAGTCACAGGAATAAGGCCATTCCGCTGTCTCAGCCATCAGAAAAGAGAAAGGTTGGGTTTCTAGTTTAGTGAATGTACTAGCTATCAGAGCACTTGTAATATAGCACAGCGAATTGATGGAAAGAACCCTGCCATTCACAGTCCACCAACATGATCTTGCCAGCCACAAAGGGTGGGAGAAAAGATCCTGAAATTCAAAATCAGGACCACTGGCTTCTGTTTTAAAGTAAGACCTTAGGCAATTGTAGGGGGGAGAACTGGGGACCCAGTGTCAGATTGTTTGCTTTTAAGCTCTCAAAATAATCAGCTGGGTGGCCTGGGGAAAGTTACTTAATGTGACATAGATTGCTCTACGTTCATGTAAACCCATTCTCTACTCTTTCTAAGGAAATAGACTGCATTCTCCAGTCTCCTTTGCAGTTAGTTTGACTGTGTGGTTGAGTGCTAATTCATGGAATGTAGGTGGAAGAAATGACGCCACTCTGAGGCCTGGACTATAAAAATTCTTCTTCATTCTCTCTCCCACCTTCCTCAGCTGTAAGTCAAGTAAAGAGGATCCTTCCAGGAACCTCAAAAGCCTAGAGATTGACAGAGGAGTCTTGATCCCTCAATAGAACAAAGTCCATTTTCCTCTCTCCATGCCTCTCACCATGTTCAGCTTGCCAACTGGACTTTATATAAATGGGTTAAGCCACTGAGATTCCTAGATTGATCTGTGGTAGTAGTTAGTGTTCACTTCGCATCACCATAACAACAATGAGGCAAAACAGCTCATTTTTCTGAGGTCTTACATTCATTAAAATAGGAATTAGACCATCATGAATTATCTCTTATGAATTTCAAAATAGTTACTTTGTTAGATAAGTTCTATTATTTTTCCTAATTCAAGGTTGAAGCTGAGGCCTGCAGAGGTAATGTAGCTTGCAATGGAGCTGTGACTTGCTTAAAACACCAGTTTTCTCATCTCTGTAATAAGGATGATAGTATCTGCCTCATCTATGCAAAATGTTATATGCGTCACATAAGTTAAGATATATAAAGGCACTTGAGGACTAAAAGCATTGTATAAGTGCTAGGTATCATTAATCTCTCTAAGCCTCAGTTTTTATAGCTATAACATTTGTTCTACTTAATCTCTATTTTTAACACAATAACATGAAATATTTATGTGTTCCGTGGAGGCCGATGGTGGTGACAAAGATTCCTTGCTATATAAATAGCATTTAGTGGGTAATAAGTGCATGATAGAGCAGGGAGCATGAGTGGTGAGTGTATGTAGAAAGATGAAGCAGGAAGAAGGCACTAACAAGGATTCTTCTCTTGTCTCATTCTCTTCTCTACTTTCTTCAGCTACATATTTCCTCTGATCTGTAATTAGACATAATGGCACTAACTGCTGGCTGACGACACTAAATGACTCCATCATTTCTTGAGTAGCTAATGTAATACCCAGCTCAGATCTCAGGACCTAAGGGAATGGGAAAAATCAACTTTTAAGCTTTTCTAAGAAAATATAGAAAATTGTTATACCACATGCTACTTGATACTAACGTTCAATTCTGATACAATTCTCAGTCCAGGCCAGATCTAAGGACACAAATAAATGGGAAAAGATACATTTTATGGCTTTTCCTTTAGAAAAAAAGAATAAAAATTATTATATCATATACTAATTTATTATGAAGTTTAAATCAAAATACATGGCAGATTAGTGAAGTACATGTTTAACATGTCTGCCGTCCAAGTTCTAATTCAAAAACCACAAGTTACAGGATTCTGGCATATCTTGGACTTGCAGAAATGTTTGGTTTAATTCACAGTGTCATCCCATAGAGTGTTAAGTTGGTAAATTGGTATTAGGAATTTTTTTACACACCCACATACACACACTCATGTACGTGTGCACACACACCATAATCTGAATCTGCTAGGCCATAATAAATGTCTAGAAACTTTGAGGTCATGTCTGTACATGACAGTTGTTTGGAATTAAAGAATGCTTCATATCAGGACAGGCCTGCACTCTCCACATTATCATGGTCTTCGCCACTCCCTGTTCTCCCCATTGCTTCTTAACATGATGGGCAATTGTCATTTCCTATTTGCTCCCTTTCATGTTGCCTGTTTACCTCATTTACTCTGGTATTCTGGCTTCTGTAATTAATCAGCTATCTTGTCTTTAGACTATAGCTTTCCTAGGAAGACAATATTACTGCCACAAATAAAATTAGACTTTTCTCCTCCCTGTTGCTTTTGGAGCAGAGAGAAAGTACTGTTCACTCTGGTTAGTAAATGAATCAGGCTTGCTAATATCTGTTCAGATACTGTCCATTCTGCAGAAAAATCCTTCCTTACTATCTTTACTTTAATATCTCCTATTTATCATTTGAAGAGTCACTTGTATGTCACCTCCCCTGACCCCTGGAAGTCCTCCATAACCTCAACCACCTCAGCAGGCTAAGGAGGTTTTCCTTTCTCTGTCTTCAACAGCAACATATGCTTGTTTCTGTCAAAGGACTTAACATTGCAATAATTGATTTACTTGTCTATCTATCCTCTAAAACATAAGCTTGAGAGAATTTTCACCTCTTCTGCATACGTTGCACTCTATCCAGTCGCCATGACTTTGTAGACACTGTTACCTCTTCTTATAATGCCCTCCCCTACCTGCAGCGCTCTCCTCAGCACAAGTAAATACTACTCATCTTTGTTTTTTTTTTTTTTTTAGCTTTATTTTGCTGCATATAATGAGCCCATTTCCCTACTACTGTTTCCAGGACACACTGTGATGAACAGAAGTGCCTGGTCAAGCATCCCTAATTGATTTCTGATCTTGAAAAGAATGTACGTAATATGTCTACTTATAAAGATTAGTGGCTTGTGGGTTTGGGTATACACCCTTTATCAGGTTGAGGAAGTTCCCTTCTGTTACTACTTTTCTTGAAATTCTTACCATGCATAGATAGGTATTGGACATTAATAATGCCATTTCTATGTCTATTAATACAAAACTGTGACTTTTCCATGAGGTTATTAATTGGTGGATTTCACTGATAAATTTTCTAATATTAAATCATCCTTTAATTTATTGCATAAATCCTATAACAATGCTACTCATCTTTGAGGACTTCTCAAGCATTACATTGTCAGTGAAACATTCTACAGAACCTCCTCACTGGCTTGGTTCCACTAACCTATCTTCTCATAATGCAATTTTGAGCCATAGTACCTAGTACCTATCACAATGTACTCTACCTCTCACAACAGACTGTCATCTCTCTAACATTAGGAAGATTCCTGTGCAAAGGAGACAGTCTTTATTCTTCATAACTTTAGCATTAGTATGCCTGGGATATGATAGATTTTATATACATTTATCATGATAGATTATACACATACATATATATGCATATATATATTATATATATACACACACACACACACACACACACTGAAGGATAGGAGAAAGGAAGAAGAGGGAGGGAGGGAGGGAGGGAATGAAGGAAGGAAGGAAGGAAGAAAGGAAGGAAGGAAGGAAATTATTTCTTTGTGCTCTTATCTAAGTTCCTAGTGTTGATCTCTGCCCTATTCTATTCCACTTTAAATCCAGTTGACCTACTTGTTATTGCTCATTTGAATACCATTGGTATGACTGGCCTGCTCTCCTTTCCTTATTTTCTAGTGATTTCTTATGAAACTGGCATGTAGTTTCTTATTTGGTCAGACAGCCTGTCAATGGATTTCCTTATTGTTTGAGTCTTTATAGCTTGCCTTTGGTGCGAACCCAGGATGCGGAGCTTGCAGAGAACTGAGACCGCGCCACTGCACCCCACCCTGGGCGACAGAGAGAGACTCTGTCTCAAAAAAAAAAAAAAAAAAAAAAGGAAAATTCCTAAATAAATATCTATAGCTCTCTTGTGGAATTTAGTGCTACTTATTCTTGTTTTTTCCAGGCTCTATCATCACCTGAATCTTTTATCAGAATGGTCTCTGCAATCATTAAGGTTGTTTTGGAAGCAAGTGACAAAAATCTATCTTGAATAAGTTTAAAAAAAAGAGATGCATTGGATGCTTGCCCAAATGTCATACAGCACAACTACATCATAGAAAGAACAGGCTCTGAGGAAAGAACTGAACCTAAGGAACAATTGTATTTGAAGACTTTGGGATCATCATGACTCCCTCTATATTTAATTTCTTTATCTAACAGCTCTAGCCTAATTTATTCTAGTGTCCCAAGTCCAAAAATTTTAAGGAAGAGCTACTATGATTAGCAGTTTGATTATGGTGTCTCCTCTGGTTTAAGGACCCATCAACTCCACCTGGGAAAAAGTCACACATTTTAGAAATTGGCTACTTCTGTAGTTACCACATGGGAAGTGGAGAAACTGTCAGAAAAGCAGGGCAGAAGGGGCAAAACAGTATGTCCATTATATTTCCTGGCTAAGTATTTGGGAATAGCTATCCATTTAATTAACAAACACTTGTTGAGCATCTATTGTTTCTAGGGACAAGAAGTGCCCCAATGAATACAATCCACAAAAGCACTCCTACCATGAGAATTATTTTTTCACTCATTAACAAATATTTACTTGGTACTTACTATATACAAGGATGTTCTGGAAACTATGGTGAGGTGAACATAAAAGACACAAATATATATAGTCTCAGCCTTCACAAATCTTACAAATGAAATGGGAGATAGGATGTTTGAACAAGTGAATGTTACACAAGACTGCTCAGTCTGCTCATTTTTGCAGTCATTTACTGGGTATGCAGCATATGCCATTATGTTAAACACAGAGGATATACAGATAAACAAGAAACTGTGGCTATTAAGATGTTCATAGATTAGAGCAGAAGTCTGACATATAAATGGTTAATTCCAACCAAGGATAATTCAATATTTTCTGACAAAGCTGTACAAGAAAGGAGATACCTATAAGAAGCAAAATGTTTTAGAAGTGTCCAGGAAAAGAAAGACTATAGTTAGCAGGAAAGCCTAAATAGAAAGAATAAATCTAACCCCAGTGAAAGTAGCTGGAACAAAGATGCAGAGGATATATCTAGAAAATGGTGTGGACAATCAGTGAGGACTTTCAGAAGCAATATAGAGGATAACTCTGGAAACGCACGTGGGAACAAGTGATAGCATGTTAATAAGAAGTTTAGAGTTTTTTGCTTGACAATGAGTAGTCACTGATTGTTTTTGAGCAGGTAGTACCATGATCAAAATACATTTTTAAGTGATAAAATAATAGATGGGGTACTTCTTGCTGCTGCTGGAGGGAGTGGATTGCTATTTGATGGATGAAAAGAGACTAAATGGCTGTTTTAGGCTATATTGGTGATAATTTTCTCTTTAAATTTCTATTACATCACATAGATCTTGAGGGGCTTAACTTATATTGCAGCTCTCTGGGTTATCATCTTTCCAGTTAAACTGCAAGCAGTTTGAAAATAAGGAGTGTTATTCATTTTTTGTATCCCCCAAAGCCTAGTACAGAGTCTGGTTGAAAGTAGATTATAAATAAATATTTACAGAATGGATGCAAAAATAGGTGAGTATTCACTATTAATATAATGAATGGTATAATGAATGGCTCCAATAGAGTAATCTAAACACCCAGTACCTGAGAATTCCCAAGATTTGTTCAAATCTTGAGCATCACAGGGAGACAGCACATCGTGTTGCAAATCTCGATTCTGTTACTTTCTAAATGTGTAGACTTATAAGTATAATTTTCTTAATTTCCTGAGCCTCCAATTATTATTTTTTCTGCTTAAATGGGGATAATAATTCTTACTTTCTCACAATGGTAGTGTGAAGATGAAAAGGCATACTGTATAAAGCACTTAGCTTGTTACTAACACAAAGTTTAAACTCATTAAATGGTATAGCTTACATTTATATGTTTACAATAGCTTACTAATGATAGACAAGGCTGGAAATGGTCTTTTGCCTTTTTTCATTCCTTTATTTATGCACTTATTATCCATCAGAAACATTAATGTATGCCTATTATTAGATTCTAAAGGCACAAGAGTGGAAAAGTTATAGTACATCACATTCAAATAACTCGCTAAATAATGGAGAATGCTAGTAAGTTAACAGGTATTTATGATACAATGGGATAAGCAAATGCTGCTGTAAGGAAATGTATTTTGAGGATGCCATCTTTAAGCAAGCCTGGAGGATGAGGGAGATCATGGCTTGTTCAAGACCTGTGAGTAATTGATTTGGCTAGAGCTCCAAGTATAAGTGTTGTCATGAGGCTGAGAAGTGAGCCAAGTCAAGTCACGGTGGACTTGCCAGTTCTTCACAACATTGAGAAGAAAATCTTAATTTCCCCATGGTTCATCC
The DNA here is from genome assembly GCF_000001405.40 of Homo sapiens. Taxonomy (NCBI): domain Eukaryota; kingdom Metazoa; phylum Chordata; class Mammalia; order Primates; family Hominidae; genus Homo; species Homo sapiens. The sequence goes on along the minus strand of NC_000011.10, from coordinate 42,530,406 downwards.
TCTTCAAATTCAAATATCTTTCTACTCAGGCCTGGTTCTTTAGGTCTTTTTCTGACTCTGCAGAGCAACCTAAGTCTTAGAAAATGCACTGGCTTCCCAGAGAGCCATAGCTGCGCTGGATGGCAGATCACTTTTCGCTGGAAGCCAGGATGCCTCTTTGGGCCTGCCTTTTCAGCAGGGGAAAGGACCCAGCTGGGACTGACTTGAGTCAACTTGCAAAACTCATTTCACACATGTGTTCTCTGGGAGCAGAATAAGAAGCCCCTCACTGGTGGAGTTAAAAATCAGTATTTGTCAGTCTGTTTGAGTATGGGAGGTCTGATGTTGGCTGTGCAAGGAGAATCTGAATAGAGTAAAGGAATCAAAAGCATCAATTGGTTTCACTGAGCACCGAGTCTTTAAAAATTAAAGTTGTGTTTCTTCCCTCCCCCAGATCTGCTTTTCTTTTCTTTCTTAGTTTCCTGAACAAAACCATTGTTCTCTGTTATTAAAGAAAGGGTTACATTCCTTTGTTTCACTGTCTACCATTTTATCACTCATTTACAAATATTAGTTTTTCACCCATTCGTTTTTTGCATTAGATTACACCAATAGATGTATTCTATGGAGGTCATTACACCTCCACGATGACATGGTATGACCAATTTGGAACTATAAGTACTGTTCCCTTCTTCATACTTTCTTTATTTGAAGTGTGATCTGGCTAAGAAAACTGATGTTTTTATTTGTTTGTTTGTTTTCCCTGGAGTGAGTGAGGTAAGCAAAACATGATTGGGCAAAAAGGAATGACTTCACCAGACTCTCCTTCTCACTCTCCTGAAAAGAGATGAAAGATGAAGTCCAAATTAGGATAATCCACTCTGATACTTTCTGAGAAATGGAGGTCACCCTTTAGTTGGCCACACCAGTTCTGCTCTGACCACATTAGTGGTCTTTGCAAAGTCACATTTATTTTCAGAATGAATGCTTTCATTTATGTATGGTCACCCAGCTTCAGCATTTCAGAATATCCTTGAAATAAGGTCAGGGAAACAAACGCTCAGGCTTTTCATTTTGAATTATTTAGAACGAGGAGGATGACTTCTGTCTGAAGCCCATGATTTGGCTGAGACAAGCCAAAAGCAAATTATGTTTTCCAGGGTAGTAATCACCCGATCTGATAGGGGCTACTGACGTATTTTTCTGGTACTTGACCTGTGCTAGGGGCCTTACTCACTTAAGTTTATGTAATCCTCACCACCATCCAATGAAAAATGCAGTATTGTCTTTCTTTTATCAGATAATAAAAATGATTCAGAGGTGTCAGTGAATGGTCAATGATCACAAGTCAGTACATGGGGAGTTGGATTTACATCTGAATTTACTGGATTCCTAAAATTGTGTTTGTTCTGCTGCACTCTTAGGGCAAAAGGGAGAGGATCTGGCTTGCATTCATCCATTCCAAGATTAATGCCTCTCCTCTGTGTGTCTCAGGGAGTGCAAGTTTCAGAGTCTTTAAGAGAAATGGCAAAAGGCTGGTAGGCTGCTGAGGGGAATATTGGGGCTGTTTAATTACATTTTCTCTAGTCTAGAGGCATTTTTGGAAAGAGTCTAGATGAAATAAATAAACCAGCAATTTCTTCTCAGTGGTCAAATACACAATATGAGGATCCTGGAATCTAACAGCAACTTGAGAGAATTAAAACTTGGATTTTGATTACAAGGATAGGCTTTGGGGCTCAGACTTTAGATCCATTGCTGAATAAGCATTTTACTTGCTGAGTATTTTTCTGGGCAGGTTACTGCATGTTTCTGGGGCTCAGATTCTTGGTCTGTAAAATAAATACAAAATTACTTTCTTTTTAGTTTTTTTTTTTGATGATTTAATGTGATAAGTAATGCAGGTGCTTGGCACATAATAGGTTGTTTGTAAATGGCAACTATTAATCGCTTCGAGTTAGAACATTTGGGATCTGTTTCTGGTTCTTCTATTATCTCACTTTTAAACCTTTGCTTAGTTACTTAATATTTATGGGTACAAGCTAATGCAAAACCAATGCAGCAACAACAAAAAGCCCAAAGACAAAACAATAAAATTTTAAAAACTCATAAAATAGGGGGTTTGAATTATTTCTCAACATTTTTCCTACCAAGGATTCCTTCTTTTAGTCTCCCTCGATTACTTGAACTGCAATTTATTAATACCTAATTTGTTTTCTTATTTTCTTGTTTTCTTATTTTTAATTAATCAAAGATGTGTATATATATAATAATAATAAGTATTAGGCCTACAATAGAAAGACAAAGCAGTAGTAAATCTGGTTAATGAGTCCTTGTTTTCATTAACAAAAGAGGCCTTGTTTATGTAAATATTCAATTTCAAATAGCTATTTTTTGAATATATAAAATAGTTCAAGGATCCTCACTGATGATTTCTTGGAACCTTGGAGATTTGAGAACTCCAGGTTTGGCACCACAGTGCTGGACCTTGTCTAAGGGCCTTCAGGTGTATTAGGTCTTCAAAACCTTTGGCCTGTCCTTAAATTTCAAGATTGTTTTCCCCTAATTTTCTCCTTTTTCTGTCCTAATTTCTGCAAAACCTATTCACCATTGCTAGAATTCATGTACTCGGACTTTTACTCCCTTTTTGATAATAGCCACTTTTAGGGCCAGGGCATCACTCTGGACCCTTGCTAGTCAAAGTGAGCCAAGTGATACAAATGCACCAACGGCATTTGTATCACTTGGCTGCTTGTTAGAAATGCTGAATTCCAGCCCCCACTTTGGGCTTTCTGAACCCGAATCTGTAATTTAGCAAAATCCCTAAGAGGTTTGTATAGTCATTAAATTTGAGAGGCACTGGAGTAGAATGCAGATTAGAACTCAGTATGGAGCAATTTCCTAGTAAATTCGAATTCCTGATCTGTTACCTGGAACAAGCTATTCAACTGTTGTGAGCTTCAGTAAAAGAAAGGCAAAGAGCTTGCTTGTCTTACCTAGTGGTTTTGTTGTTAGTCGCAGGAAAATAATCAATAATAAAATATCTCATAATGTTGTCAGCTGATCTATGACCCCAAAGTGCATATCATTGCATCACTCTTCGATTTTTTTTTTAAGAATCAGAATGAATTGTAAAGTTAAATAAGTCCTCTTGCAATTCAGGAAACTCCTATAAGTCAAGTCACCACTCCTCTGCAATTCCCCTAGGAATTGTGAAACGCCCCCCTTCTCTGCTCTGTCCATACTGAGTTAGAGTTATCTGTTAGTCCCTCTGCATCCCCCTGAGATTTAGGAGTTCCTTGAAAGCATTGTCATGTAGACCGTATTAGACCCACCTCTGCTTTCTCCCTTACTTCTCTGTGCTTCTCCACCTCCTCCCAGTGCCTAGAACAGAGTGGGCTCTCCATATATGCTTGTTGAGTGAATAAATAGATGTAAGATATAATAATACTTGACAGCATCTCTCTGAAAAAAAAAATGCAGCCAGGGCAGTGGGTACCTCTACCACCTGTTTAATAGGGTTGTTAAGAGAATCAAATGAGCTTGGACACACAGTATCCCTATGTGAGCTGTAAAACACTGGATAAAATGAGAGAGCATTATTAGGCATATGCGGTCTGGCAGGGTCTTACAGATGGCAGTCACCTGTCATTATGAAAACTGTCTTTAAGCCAAAGCCAAAACAGTAGTGATTTCAGAGGCTCTTGGGGCAGTGAATTGTAAGCTTTTATCTCTGCTCCCTCCTGAGACCAAGTTTTCATTTATCATGTGTATTTGCTCCAGGGTAGTGTATCTGCTGTTGTTCTTTTGTTGTCTAGAGTAGTGGGGCCACCTTGTTGAGCTGGCATGCATACCCTGCTTCCGGGAGCTGTGGGCAGCCTTCTGGGGTATTGCATTTGGTTGGCAAGGGCTCTCGTCCTGTCCTGTGCCATGTGCTTGCAGCGTTTTCATGCTGTGTTGCCTCATTAGGGAGACTCACTCAGACTGTTTTGCTAAAAAACAATAAGGTCTGCACTGGGATAGAACACAGTTGAATAGACATTTATCTTTTCACAGGGCAAATCAATGAGTAATTTTCTGGTTTGAATGCTATATTTAACACCCCGTCTGGGGAAATGCTGTCAACCATGTCCTATTCCAAGGTGGCTTTATTAAAAGACTGTAAAAAAATCGTATTTAATATTCCTGGAATATACTTTTTTTCTTTGCTTAAACGTTTCCAGGGAGTAGTTGTTCCTCGTATCCTGGTCCTGATGCATAACCTTCTTAGGAATGGGCTATGTGTTGACAATGTGCACTCATGTGGGGTAGTATTCTTTGAATGCCAGTGAGGTAGAAAGGCAGACAGGCTCTTTACTATATCAAATTCAAAACCCAAGCTCTCTCCTCTACTGCATGTTAAAGGCAAGGGTGTAAAAACACTTCAATCTGTCAATTATTGGACTCCTGCCCATAGCAAAGCAGAGAAATGAATCAGGTGAGGGGCTAAGTCCATTAATGACCAGCCTCGTACTGTCATCAAGAGTAGAATAGTCCAGTTGACTTGAATTTCATTCAGCAACTGAGCCACTTACAATTTGTGACCTAAGAGACCTCCAGCTTCAATGTATTTCTTTGTTTTCAATCTATATTCAGGCATCCCAAAACTGTTTTCTTTCATCCAATCTCGTCAATGTACAGATGAAAAAAAAGAAGTCTCAGAGAGATCAAGCGACCTGTTCAAAGTCACACAGCTCACATTAGCAGAGCTGAGATGATATCCTCTACTGGTGAACTGAACCCATTGTCCTCATAGAGGAATGGTAGGGTTCATGGAGACTGGGAGGGCAGTTAGTTATGTTCACTGGGAGAACAAAAGGTTGAGGCTACTTTGTGGCTGTAGGACCTTGAGAGATCTGCTTAGATATTCTTTAAGGCCTCTCCTCTGAATTAGTCTCATCTATGCAATGGGGATACCAGCACATACACAGGTTTTTGTGTGTATTAAATGAGATCATATTTGTAAACTCCTAGGGCACTGCAGAAACATTGAAGTATAGACACTCCCAACAGACCCTTCCATTTCTGACATATTAGAGTTTTGAGTTGTACAAATACTGGGTTCTCATTCTTCATGTATCAGAAAGCAACTTGGAAAATGTGCTTGAAAAATATAACCATATGACATTAAAACAGTTTTCCTTATATTGAGTTTAGAAATATTTTATCACTGATTTTAGAAAAAACTGCTCTTAGAAACCCTTAAAGACCGTTTTCAAAGAAAGGTCTAATGCAGTGCAGCAGACTTCTCTGACTGGGTAGACTTCTAAGCTTGGGTAAGCTGTTGTTTTTGTTTTGTTTTGTTTTCTCTAGGGACAAATGGGTCATTCATGAAATCTCATGGGAATCCATTATTCGTGATATTCTTACGTTGGCACTAGCTTAACATCATGCAGGATAACAAGCTGTAGGTCCAAACACCAAGGAAGGTAGCCCTGTGCCACGAAAACCAATGTTGTCCTACTTCCCTGGCTAGTGCAAAACCTCTGGGGTTACCTTGATCTCATTTCAGGGCAGTTTCCCGAGCTCAGCAACTCCCTCAAAGCAGTTCTTACAGTTAGCTGTAGATGGCGATGTTGCACCAAGAACCTTCATAGTGGCTGTGGCAGGCAGAAGAGCGTCCAGCTGTGGCCTGCTGAGGCTCAATTCTGCAAACCCTATTTTAAGTTCCTGTGGTTGGTCATAACCCAGCAGTTCCCCTCCTGGGTCCCCTGCCTACCAATCATTCTCCCCAGCTACAAGCCAAGAAGGAGACTTCTGTCTCCCCTACCTCCTCCCTACTTTCCTTTACAGTGGGCTGTGATTAATGGCAGCACTAGTGAACAATTGAGAGGGAGAAGGTACTTGACTAATGCAAGAGCAGAGAGATTAAATGCAAACGGGTGCTGAACCTCTTTAGCGAGACCATCCTTGCAAATTTGTTTTCCCTTTCTTCTATAGGGGCCCCCTCCTTAGTGTGGAGACAGGCACAGTGACTTTATTAATCAAGGTACTTTGCAGGGGCTGATGAATTTTAACAGCAAATTGTCACTTACAATCCTTTGCTGTCTCATGTATCCCTGAGCACTGGTTATTTCATCGTCACCGATTAATCAAGACAGCCACAAAGCCACCCTGGAGTTTATTAGCAGAAAACATATTGTCTCTTCCTCAGAAACAACCTTTTTCTGTTACATCAAATGTGAAAACTACCTTTGCTTTAGTTTTTGATTGAGAGCCACACACAAGACATAGTTACCCTTTTATATTTTTCAAGATGATCATTAATAAGATTTTCCCAAATCTTATTATACTTCCTTGCTATAAGGACTCCTGAGGATTGACAGAAACAGACTTGAGACAAGATACTTTTTAACCTATAGTGGTTCTCAAACCTAACTGCATGTTAGAATTATTTACAGAGCTTTTTAAAAACACGCTCCTGGGCTGCATTAAATGCAAATGATTACAGAATTTCTGGGGCTCTTGCCTGGGTATGGATAAAGTTTTCTCATGCAATTTGCAGCCTGGATTGGCAGCTGGTACAAAACAATCTTGCTCACCTGAAGATGGTATGCTCATGTACAAAACGAGGGACTTTTATCTGTATGGGGTTTTTGTGGTACTTCAATGATGTCCGTCTCTCTCTTTACTGACTTTCTGCAAGACAGAACAACTTTGGTAGCCAGATATTTGCATATTGCATTTCTTCTATTCTTGCATTCATTCACTCACTCATTTATTCATTTCAATAAACATTTATTTGCCATTTTCCTCTGAGCCCGATTAAATCTCTGCCATCACAATTGTTAATATTCAGCAAATACTTACAGAAACTACATTTCATTACAGTTACGATAAAGGCTATGAAGGAGAAACACAGGGTACCATGAGAGCATTTGATGAAGACTGAATCTTGCCTGTGAGTCAGAAAAGCCTCCCGTAGGAAATGGCATTTACAGGGAGACCTGAGAGTTGATAGGAATCGGCCTGATGAGAGGAATGGTGGGAAGAGGGAGTCAGAGAAAGAATAAACTGTGCAAATGGCCGGTAGGAAGATGGCTTATTATAGGTATCAGAAGGAGGCCTAGGGGGAGAATAATAGAGTTTGAGGGTGTAGGGGTGGAAAGAGTGTAGTACCTGTTTTCTTCATCCTATGGGTCATGGCTGGTATTCCTATAACAAAAGACAAGTTAACAAGAGAAAAGTAGAACATATTTAATTAATCCAGATTGTACAGCCATGTAGAAATATGATTGGACAAAAAGGGAATGATCTAATAATAATAGACTGAGTGGGGAAACCTAGCAAGGCCTATCTGTTTGAAACATTCTTGGTCTTGTTGTGACATTTCTTCCGCCCAGTTATGGGGCAGGATCCCTTCTGGAATGATGGTTTTATAATCTACTTTCAGACAAGGTAACTCAAAACATTTCTTTAAAACTGGGTCTTATACAGAAAAGCAGGGGAAGATTAGAGCAATATTTCTAGGTTTTATGGCTGGTTTTGGGGGAGAAGGATTCTGGTTTCTAAGACCCACTTTGGGGAAGAGGGATTCTAGTTTCTAGGGCTTGCCTTAGAAATGGAAGGAAAGCAGCAGAAAAGAAGGGCAGGAGGTGAGAAAGACACTTTGCTTCTGATGACCTTCTAATGTTTTTCAGTTCAAATTTCTCAGTGTACCAAGGTGCCATACTTTGGGGTGTTATTTCCTGAGCCTCAGCAAGTCTAAGGGGTAGGTAAGAATGGATTTCACAAGACCTTGTAGGTCATTTTTGGGACCTTATCTAGAAATTAAAGAAGCTTTTGCATAATCTTTTTTAAAAAGTTGAATGGTTAGACTAGTGCGTTAAAAAATATTTAGGAGAAAAAAATTCCTGAATGGCAAAGTAAAGACCTTCAAAAATCTACTCCTTTATAAAAGCAACAGTGGCAAGAATTATTGAAGTCAAACTTTTTCAGAACTCTGGAAATTAGCCAAAAGCTTGCAAAAATTTGAGGACTGTTTAAGAAAAATGGCTGGAGATTAGTGAGAACGGTGAGAATGTGGTGTTTCGACTTATTCTATTCCAATCTCCTAATCTCCGGGTCCCCAGCAGTGTGGAAAACTAGCAGGCTTATAACCATGGCAGCGAAAAAGTCCAGATGCCTAATAGTTACTACAGGGGTCAGAAAAGGTTGGATGTTTCTCAAGAAGACCTGTCCCCAGGGAATTGTCACTCTTTGACTCACCCAACAGTTCCCTAGAAAAGCTTCTTCTTACAAGGTTTGTCTTTGTTTGATCTGACTCAGAGATCATTCAGTGGGAAAAGTCCTTTTCCCAGGGCATTTGATGAGGATCATTGGCCAATTGTTTAACATTACAACTGTGTAGGGTGGGGATGCCAGTTGAGGCAAATAAGAGACTGACCAAAAACTTTAAAGGAAAATCTTGGAATTGAGATGCTTCTACAAGGCATTGGAAAGCTCTGACATATTCCTGGAATTTAGAAGGCATGTGCATGTACAGGACTGTATACATAACTCCTGGTAGCTGTGAGGCCTCTGGATTAAAACAACAGCAAAAACAACAGCAGCAAAAACCTGAGAAGACCTTAATCTTTCACCTCTTGCTGAACTTGAGGGTCTCTGCAAGCAGGAAGTAAACATTCAGTGTTGACTTTGTGCTCTACCACACACACACAGCCCCATAGCAAATGATGGGGGACTTACCGATTCAAGATATTTAAGAACATCTCTGTTCAGTCATTAGCTAACCACTGAGCTAACCAAGCAGAGACTCCAGTCAGGGATAAAACATAACAAAGTATATAGAGTTTGCAGAACTGGATAAACAAATTCCTTAAACAAACAGTAGTAGTAGCAGCAGCAACAATAACAACAACAACAATAGCAACAATAAACAGCAATAATAAAAAACCATGGTTTGGGGGAGTAGGTCTGATTTTCCAGACTTGCCTCAAATATTATTCAAAATAACCAGTTTTAAAAAACAAATTTAATAGATATGTGAAGAAACAGGAAAGTGTGGCCTATTCACACAGAAATAAAAAGCAGACAATAGAAATTGTCCCTGAAGAAATTCAGATGTTTTACTTACGATAGTGAATTTAAATTATCTATTATAAATATGTTAAAGGATAAAACAATCTGAACATATAAAGGAAAGTGTAAGAAATGCTTCTCTAACTAAAGAATATCCATAGATAGAAACAATAAAAAGAGCCAAATAGAATTTCTGGAGCGAAAAGTATAATCATTGAAGAGAAAAAAAAAAATCACTAGAGGGGTTAAACAGCACATTTGAGCTGTTTAAAGAATCAGTGAACTGGAAGATATGACAATTGAGATTATGCATTCTGAAGATCAGAGAGAAAACAGAATGGAGGAAAACAAAGTGCCCCAGAGCTGTGTGAGACGAGACACCATCATTCATACCAACATATATACATATATACACACACACATATATATGTATATATATGTACACACACACACACACTCACACACACAGTAGTTCATACTTATCCACAGAGATACATTCTAAGACTCCAAGTGGAGGCTTGAAATCACAGATAGTACCAAAATCCTATTTAAACTATGCTATTTTTTTAATTTTATTATTATTATACTTTAAGTTTTAGGGTACATGTGCATAACGTGCAGGTTTGTTACATATGTATACATGTGCCATGTTGGTGTGCTGCACCCACTAACTCGTCATTTAGCACTAGGTATATCTTCTAATGCTAACCCTCCCACCTCCCCCCACCCCACAACAGTCCCCTTTGTGTGATGTTCCTCTTCCTGTGTCCATGTATTCTCATTGTTCAATTCCCACCTGTGAGTGAGAACATGCTGTGTTTGGATTTTTTGTCCTTGCGATAGTTTACTGAGAATGACGGTTTCCAGCTTCATCCATGTCCCTACAAAGGACATGAATTCATCATTTTTTAAGGCTGCATAGTATTCCATGGGGTATATGTGCCACATTTTCTTAATCCAGTCTACCATTGTTGAATATTTGGGTTGGTTTCAAGTCTTTGCTAGTGTGAATAGTGCCGCAATAAACATATGTGTGCATGTGTCTTTATAACAGCATGATTTATAATCCTTTGGGTATATACCCAGTAATGGGATGGCTGGGTCAAATGGTATTTCTAGTTCTAGATCCCTGAGGAATCGCCACACTGACTTCCACAACTAGTCAATGGTTGAACTAGTTTACAGTCCCACCAACAGTGTAAAAGTATTCCTATTTCTCCACATCCTTTCCAGCACCTGTTGTTTCCTGACTTTTTAATGATCATCATTCTAACTGGTGTGAGATGGTATCTCATTGTGGTTTTGATTTGCATTACTCTGATGGCCAGTGATGATGAGCATTTTATCATGTGTCTTTGGCTGCATAAATGTCTTCTTTTGAGAAGTGTCTGTTCATATCCTTCGCCCACTTTCTGATGGGGTTGTTTTTTTCTTGTAAATTTGTTTGAGTTCATTGTAGATTCTGGATATTAGCCCTTTGTCAGATGAGTAGGTTGCAAAAATTTTCTCCAATTATGTAGGTTACCTGTTCACTCTGATGGTAGTTTCTTTTGCTGTGCAGAAGCTCTTTAGTTTAATGAGATCCCATTTGTCAATTTTGGCTTTTGTTGCCATTGCTTTTGGTGTTTTAGGCATGAAGTCCTTGCCCATGCCTATGTCCTGAATGGTATTGCCTAGGTTTTCTTATAGGGTTTTTATGGTTTTAAGTCTAACATGTAAGTCTTTAATCCATCTTGAATTAATTTTTGTATAAGGTGTAAGGAAGGGATCCAGTTTCAGCTTTCTACATATGGCTAGCTAATTTTCCCAGCACTATTTATTAAATAGGGAATCCTTTCCCCATTGCTTGTTTTTGTCAGGTTTGTTAAAGATGACATAGTTGCAGATGTGCGGCATTATTTCTGAGGGCTCTGTTCTGTTCCATTGGTCTATATCTCTGTTTTGGTACCAGTACCATGCTGTTTTCGTTACTGTAGCCTTGTAGTATAGTTTGAAGTCAGGTAGCGTGATGCCTCCAGCTTTGTTCTTTTGGCTTGGGATTGACTTGGCAATGCAGGCTCTTTTTTGGTTCCATATGAACTTTAAAGTAGTTTTTTCCAATTCTGTGAAGAAAGTCATTGGTAGCTTGATGGGGATGGCATTGAATCTATAAATTACCTTGGTCAGTATGGCCATTTTCACGGTATTGATTCTTCCTACCCATGAGCATGGAATGTTCTTCCATTTGTTTGTATCCTCTTTTATTTCCTTGAGCAGTGGTTTGTAGTTCTCCTTGAAGAGGTCCTTCACATCCCTTGCAAGTTGGATTCCTAGGTATTTTATTCTCTTTGAAGCAATTGTGAATGGGAGTTCACTCATGATTTGGCTCTTTGTCTGTTTTTGGTGTATAAGGATGCTTGTGATTTTTGCACATTGATTTTGTAACCTGAGACTTTGCTGAAGTTGCTTATCAGCTTAAGGAGATTTTGGGCAGAGATGATGGGGTTTTCTAGATATACAATCATGTCATCTGCAAACAGGGACAATTTGACTTCCTCTTCCTAATTGAATACACTTTATTTCCTTCACCTGCCTGTTTTCCCTGGCCAGAACTTCCAACACTATGTTGAATAGGAGTGGTGAGAGAGGGCATCCCTGTCTTGTGCCAGTTTTCAAAGGGAATGCTTCCAGTTTTTGTCCGTTCAGTATGATATTGGCTGTGGGTTTGTCATAGATAGCTCTTATTATTTTGAGATATATCCCATCAATAACTAATTTATTGAGCGTTTTTAGCATGAAGCATTGTTGAATTTTGTCAAAGGCCTTTTCTGCATCTATTGAGATAATCATGTGGTTTTTGTCATTGGTTCTGTTTATATGCTGGATTACATTTATTGATTTTCGTATGTTGAACCAGCCTTGCATCCCAGGGATGAAGCCCACTTGATCATGGTGGATAAGCTTTTTGATGTGCTGCTGGATTCAGTTTGCCAGTATTTTACTGAGGATTTTTGCATCAGTGTTCATCAAGGATATTGATCTAAAATTCTCTTTTTTTGTTGTGTCTCTGCCAGGCTTTGGTATCAGGATGATGCTGGCCTCATAAAATGAGTTAGGGAGGATTCCCTCTTTTTCTATTGATTGGAATAGTTTCTGAAGGAATGGTACCAGCTCCTGTTTGCAACTCTGGTAGAATTCGGCTGTGAATCCATCTGGTCCTGGACTTTTTTTTTGGTTGGTAAGCTATTAATTATTGCCTCAGTTTTAGAGCCTGTTATTGGTCTATTCAGAGATTCAACTTCTTCCTGGTTTAGTCTTGGGAGGGTGTATGTGTCGAGGAATTTATCCATTTCTTCTAGATTTTCTAGTTTGTTTGCATAGAGGTGTTTATAGTATTCTCTGATGGTAGTTTGTATTTCTGTGGGATCGGTGGTGATATCCCCTTTGTCATTTTTTATTGCATCTATTTGATTCTTCTCTCTTTTCTTCTTTATTAGTCTTGCTAGCAGTCTATCAATGTTGTTGATCTTTTCAAAAAACCAGCTCCTGGATTCATTGATTTTTTGAAGGGTTTTTTGTGTCTCTATTTCCTTCAGTTCCACTCTGATCTTAGTTATTTCTTGCCTTGTGCTAGCTTTTGAATGTGTTTGCTCTTGCTTCTCTAGTTCTTTTAATTGTGATGTTAGGGTGTCAATTTTAGATTTTTCCTGCTTTCTCTTGTGGGCATTTAGTGCTATAAATTTCCCTCTACACACTGCTTTGAATGTATCCCAGAGATTCTGGTATGTTGTGTCTTTGTTCTCGTTGGTTTCAAAGAACATCTTTATTTCTCCCTTCATTTCGTTATGTACCCAGTAGTCATTCAGGAGCAGGTTGTTCAGTTTCCATGTAGTTGAGTGGTTTTGAGTGAGTTTCTTAATCTTGAGTTCTGGTTTGATTTCACTGTGGTCTGAGAGATAGTTTGTTATAATTTCTGTTCTTTTACATTTGCTGAGGAGTGCTTTACTTCCAACTATGTGGTCAGTTTTTGAATAGGTGTGGTGTGGTGCTGAAAAGAATGTATATTCTGTTGATTTGGGGTGGAGAGTTCTGTAGATGTCTATTAGGTCTGCTTGGTGCAGAGCTGAGTTCAATTCCTGGATATCCTTGTTAACTTTCTGTCTCTTTGATCTGTCTAATGTTGACAGTGGGGTGTTAAAGTCTCCCATTATTATTGTGTGGGGGTCTAAGTCTCTTTGTAGGTCACTAAGAGCTTGCTTTATGAATCTGGGTGCTCCTGTATTTGGTGCATATATATTTAGGATAGTTAGCTCTTCTTGTTGAATTGATCCCTTTACCATTTCGTAATGACCTTCTTTGTCTCTTTTGATCTTTGTTGGTTTAAAGTCTGTTTTATTCGAGACTAAGATTGCAACCCCTGCCTTTTTTTGTTTTCCATTTGCTTGGTAGATCTTCCTCTATCCCTTTATTTTGAGCCTATATGTGTCTCTGCACGTGAGATGGGTTTCCTGAATACAGCACACTGATGGGTCTTGTCTCTTTATCCAATTTGCCAGTCTGTGACTTTTAATAGGAGCATTTAGCCCATTTACATTTAAGGTTAATATTGTTATGTGTGAATTTGATCCTGCCATTATGATGTTAGCTGGTTATTTGCTCATTAGTTGATGCAGTTTCTTTCTAGCCTCGATGGTCTTTACAATTTTACTTGTTTTTGCAGTGGCTGGTACCAGTTTTTCCTTTCCATGTTTACTGCTTCCTTCAGGAGCTCTTTTAGGGCAGGCCTGGTGGTGACAAAATCTCTCAGCATTTGCTTGTCTGTAAAGGATTTTATTTCTCCTTCACTTATGAAGCTTAGTTTGGCTGGATATGAAATTCTGGGTTGAAAATTCTTTTCTTTAAGAATGTTGAATATTGGCCCCCACTCTCTTCTGGCTTGTAGAGTTTCCACAGAGAGATCAGCTGTTAGTCTGATGGGCTTCCCTTTGTGGGTAACCCGACCTTTCTCTCTGGCTGCCCTTAACATTTTTTTACTTCATTTCAGCTTTGGTGAATCTGACAATTATTTGTCTTGGAGTTGCTCTTCTTGAGGAGTATCTTTGTGGCATTCTCTGTATTTCCTGAATTTGAATGTTGGCCTGCCTTGCTAGATTGGGGAAGTTCTCCTGGATAATATCCTGCAGAGTGTTTTCCAACTTGGTTCCATTCTCCCCATCACTTTCAGGTACACCTATCAGACGTAGATTTGGTCTTTTCACATAGTCCCATATTTCTTGGAGGCTTTGTTTGTTTCTTTTTATTCTTTTTTCTCTAAACTTCTCTTCTAACTTCATTTCATTCATTTCATCTTCCATCACTGATACGCTTTCTTCCAGTTGATTGCATTGGCTACTGAGGCTTGTGCATTCGTCACATAGTTCTCATGCCTTGGTTTTCAGCTCCATCTGGTCCTTTAATGACTTCTTTGCATTGGTTATTCTAGTTAGGCATTTGTCTGATTTTTTTTCAAGGTTATTAACTTCTTTGCCATTGGTTTGAACTTCCTCCTTTAGCTCAGAGTAGTTTGATCTTCTGAAGCCTTCTTCTCTCAACTCGTCAAAGTCATTCTCCGTCCAGCTTTGTTCCATTGCTGGTGAGGAGCTGCGTTCCTTTGGAGGAGGAGAGGCACTCTGATTTTTAGAGTTTCCAGTTTTTCTGCTCTGTTTTTTCCCCATCTTTGTGGTTTCATCTACCTTTGGTCTTTGATGATGGTGACGTACAGATGGGTTTTTGGTGTGGACGTCCTTTCTGTTTGTTAGTTTTCCTTCTAACAGTCAGGACCCTCAGCTGCAGGTCTGTTGGAGTTTGTTGGAGGTCCACTCCAGACCCTGTTTGCCTGGGTATCAGCAGCGGTGGCTGCAGAACAGCGGATATTGGTGAATTGCAAATGCTGCTGTCTGATCGTTCCTCTGGAAGTTTTGTCTCAGAGGAGTACCTGGCCATGTGAGGTGTCAGTGTGCCCCTACTCAGGAGTGCCTCCCAGTTAGGCTACTCGGGGGTCAGGGACCCACTTGAGGAGGCAGTCTGCCCGTTCTCAGATCTCAAGCTGCGTGCTGGGAGAACCACTACTCTCTTCAGAGCTGTCAGACACAGACATTTAAGTCTTCAGATGTTACTGCTGCCTTTTGTTTGTCTGTGCCCTGCCCCCAGAGGTGGAGCCTACAGAGGCAGGCAGGCCTCATTGAGCTGTGGTGGATTCCACACAGTTCGAGCTTCCCGGCCATTTTGTTTACCTACTGAAGCCTCGGCACTGGTGGGCGCCCCTCCCCCAGCCTCGCTGCCACCTTGCAGTTTGATCTCAGACTGCTGTGCTAGCAATGAGCGAGGCTCTGTGGGTGTAGGACCCTCTAAGCCAGGTGTGCGATATAATCTCCTGGTGTGCTGTTTGTTAAGCCTGTTGGAAAAGTGCAGTATTAGGGTGGGAGTGCCCCAATTTTCCAGGTGCCATCTGTCACCCCTTTCTTTGACTAGGAAAGGGAATTCCCTGACCCCTTGTGCTTCCTGAGTGAGGCAATGCCTCGCCCTGCTTCTGCTCATTCATGGTGCGCTGCACCCACTGTCCTGAACCCACTGTTTGGCACTCCCCAGTAAGATGAACCTGGTACCTCAGTTGGAAATGCAGAAATCACCCGTCTTCTGTGTCGCTCACACTGGGAGCTGTAGACTGGAGCTGTTCCTATTCGGCCATCTTGGCTCCACCCCGCTATGTTTTTTCCTATAGTAGAAAATGTCCACCTTTTCACTGAAATAAAGCACTTCATGGCTGAAACTGCAGGCACCCACCACCTCGCAGGCTAATTTTTTGTATTTTTAGTAGAGACGGGGTTTCACTGTGTTAGCCAGGATGGTCTCCATCTCCTGACCTCGTGATCTGCCCACCTCTGCCTCCCAAAATGCTGGGATTACAGGCATAAGCCACCACACCTGGCCACCCAGAGTGTCTTTTTAACTCCAAACAGCTGCACTAGCTCCTCAGTAGTGGTTCTTAACCAGGCTAAAAATGGCTGAAATGAAAGATAAAATTCAGAATTGGGATAGCAAAGAAGATCATCAAGATTTAGGAGAAAGTCAAAGTCCAATTCAAGGAATCTAAGGAATTCAATAAAATGATACAAGAGCTGAAAGATGAAATACTCATTTTAAGAAAGAAGCAAACTGATTTTATGGAACTAAAAAACTCACTACAATAATTTTATAATATAATTGAAAATGTCAACAGCAGAATAGGTCAAGCCAAAAAAAGAATTTCAGAACTCCAAGACTGGTTTTTCAAATCAACTCAGTCAGAAAAAGTATAAAAAAGGTGAATAAATCCTCTGAAAAATATAGGACTATATAGAGTAGTCAAACCTGTGACTCATTGGCATCCCTGAAAGAGAGAGAGAGTGCAAGCAACTTGAAAACCATATTTGAGGATATTTTTCATCAAAATATTCCCAAAGTTGCTAGAGAGGTCAACAAGCTAATTCAGGAAAGTCAGAAAACCCCTGTGAGATACTACATACAAGAAATTCATCCTCGAGACATAGAGTCATCAAATTCTCCAGGGGCAACCTGAAAGAAAAAATATTTAAGGCAGGTAGAGAGAAGAGAGAATTCCCTACACAGGGGATTCCATCAGGCTAGCAGCAAAGCTTTCATCAGAAACCCTACAAGCCAGATGACATTGAAGGATTTCTGTTCAGCATTCTTAAAGAAAAGGAATTCCAAACAAGAACTTTATATCCATTCAAACTAAGCTTCATGGGTGAAGGAGACATACAATTCTTTTCAGACAAACAAAAGCTAAGGAAATTTATTACCATGAGACCTGCCTTATGAGAGGTCCTTAAGGGAGTGCTCTACATGGAAATAAAGAGGGTTACTGGCCACCACAAAAACACACTGAAATACATAGACCATTGACACTGTAAATAAACTACGCAATGAAGTCTGCATAACAACCAGCTAACAACATGACAGGATCAAATCCATACATATCAATGTTAACATTGAATGTAAATGGGCTAAACACCCCACATAAAAGGCACATAGTGGAAAGCTGGACAAAGAAATAAGACCCAATGGTATGTTGTCTTCAAGAGATGCATCTCATGTGCAATGATACCCATAGGTTCAAAGTAAAAGGATGGAGAAAAATCAACTAAGCAAAGGGAAAACAAACAAGAGCAGGGAGTTGGTATCCTAATTTAAGAAAAAACAGACTTCAAACCAACAACAGTTAAAAAAGACAATGGAGGACATTCCATAATGATAAAAGGTTCTGTTCAATAAGAAGACTTAACTATCTTTAATATATATGCACCTAACACTGGCACACCCATATTCATAAAACAAGTTCTCAGAGACTTACAAAGAGACTTAGATAAGCACACAATAATAGTGGGAGACTTTACCACCACTATATTGGGCAGATTTTTGAGGCAGAAAATGAACAAAGATATTCAGGATGAAAACTTGACACTTGACCAAATGGACCTAACAGGCAACTAAAGAACACTCCACCAAACAACAAATATATATCCTTCTCATCTGCACATAGCATATACTCCAAAGTTGACCACATGCTCAGCCATAAAACAGTTCTCAACAAATTCAAAAAAGAACAAAGTAATACCAGCCACATTCTAAAACCACAGTGCAATAAAAATAGAAATCAATACTAAGAATATCTGTGAAAACCATACAATTACATGCAAATTAAACATGTTCCTGAATGACTTTTGGGTTAATAATGAAATTAAGGCAGAAATCAAGAAATGGTTTTTTCTTCTTCTTCTTCTTTTTTTTTTTTTTTTTTTTGAGATGGAGTCTCACTCTGTCACCAGGCTGGATTGTAGTGGTGCAATCTCAGCTCACTGCAACCTCTGACTCCAGGGTTCAAGTGATTCTCCTGCCTCAGCCTCCTGAGTAGCTGGACAACAGGCGCACGCTACCATGCCCAGCTAATTTTAGTATTTTTAGTAGAGACTGGGTTTCACCATGTTGGTCAGGATGGTCTCAATCTCCTGACCTCTTGATCTGCCTGCCTTGGCCTCCCAAAGTGCTGGGATTACAGGCACGAGCCACGGTGCCTGGCCAAGAAATTATTTAAACCTAATAAAAATGAAGATAAGACATACTGGAATCTTTGGGACACAGCTAAAGCAGTGTTAAGAAAGAAGTTTATAATGTTGAATGCCAACATCAAAAAGTTAGAAATATCACAAGTTAGCAACCTAATATCACACCTTAAGGAACTAGAGAAACAAAAACAAACCAACCCCAAAGGTAGCAGAAGACAAGAAATAACCAAAATCAGAGCTGAACTAAAGTAAACTGAGACACCAAAAACCATACAAAAGATTTAAAAAAATCTGTAGCTTATTTTTTTTGAAAGAATAAATAAGATTGTTGGACAATTAGCTAGACTAATAAAGAAAACAAGAGAAGACTCAAATAAACACAATCAGAAATGACAAAAGGGACATTATCACCAACCACACAGACAAACAACCTCCCCACCCTCACCAGCAACTACTACAAACACCTTTGTGCATACAACTAGAAAATGTAGAAGAAATGGGTAAATTCCTGGAAAGACACAGCCCCCCCAGATTGAACCAGAAATATATTGAATCCCTGAACAGACCAAAAATGAGTTCCAAAATTGAATCAGAAATAGAAAGCCTATGAACTAGAAAAAGCCCAGGACCAGATGAATTCACAGCCAAATTATACCAGATATATAAGGAATACTGGTACCATTCCTACTAAAATTATTTCAAAAAATTGAGGAGGAGGGATTCCTTCCTAACTCATTCTAACAGGCCAGCATCACACTAATTTCAAATCCTGGCAGAGACACAACTAAAAAAGAAAACTTAAGGGCAATATCTTTGATAAACATAGACCCAAAAATCTTCAAAAAAAATACTTGCATACCAAATCAAGCAGCAGTTAAAAAAGCTGATCCAACACAATTAATTAGGCTTATCACTGGGATGTAATATTGCTTCAAAATATACAAATTAATAAATATGATTCATCAAATGGAACTAAAGGCAAAAACCACATGATTATCTCAATAGATGCAGAAAAGGCTTTGGAAAAATTCAACAAGCTTCATGTTAAAAATTTTCAACAAACTAGGTATTGAAGGAACATACCTCAATGTAATAAGAGATATCTATGACGAACCTACAGGCAACATCATACTGAATGGGCAATAGCTGAAAGCATTCCCTTTGAAAACTAGAACAAGACAAGGAGGCTGATCCTCATCAGTCCTCTTCAACATATTACTGGAAGTCCTAGCTAAAACAGTTAGGCAAGAGAAAAAAAATACATCCATACAGGAAGAGAGGAAATCAAATTATCTAGAAAATTCTGTAATTTCTTCCCAAAAGTTCTTAGATCTGAGAAATAACTTCAGCAAAGTTTCAGGATACAAAATCAATGTACAAAATTTAGTAGCATTTTTATACACCAACAATGTCCAAGCTGAGAGCCAAGTCAATAATACAATCCCATTAACAATAGCCAAAAAAAACTATAAAATACCTAAGAATACAGGTAACCCTGGAGGCAAAAGACCTCTACAACAAGAATTACCAAACGCTGCTCAAAGAAATCAGAGATGATATGAAGAAGTAAAAAATCATTTCATGGTCATGGATAGGCAATATCAATATTGTTAAAATGGCCATACTTCCCAAAGCAATCTAAATTTTCAGTGCTATTCCTATGAAACTACCTATGACATTCTTCACAGAATTAGAAAAAAAAAGTATTCTAAAATTCATATGGAAATAAAAGAGAGCCCAAATAGCTAAGGCAATTCCAAGCAAAAAGAACAAAGTTGGAGGCATTACATTTCCTGACTTCAAACTAGACTAAAAGACTACAGTAAGCAAAACAGCATGGTGCTGATACAAATTCAGACAGACAGACAGACCAATGGAACAGGTTAGATAACCTAGAAATAAAGCCTTACACCTACAACCATCTGATCTTTGACAAAGTACAAAAACAGCAATAGGGGAAGAACTCCCTATTTAATAAATGATGCTGTTGTAACTGCCTAGCCACATGCAGAAGAATGAAACTGGACACCTTCCTTTCACCATATAAAAAAATCAACTCAAGATGGATTAAAAACTTAAATCCAAAACCCAAAATTATAAAAACCCTGGAAGATAATGTAGGAAACACCATTCTGGACATACGATCTGGCAAAAATTTCATTTTGAAGACTCCAAAAGCAATTGCAACAAAAACGAAATTGATAAATGGTATTTAGTTAAATTGAAGTGCTCCTACATAGCAAAAGAAACTGTCAGCAGAGTAAATAGAAAACCTATAGAAAGATATGAAATATTTGCAAACTAAGCATCCAGTAAAGGTCAAATCCAGAAACTATAAGGAACTAAAACCAATTAACAAACAAAAAACAAACAATCTTATTAAAAAATAGACAAATGTCATGAGCTGACATGTCTCAGAAGACACACAGACAGCTAGAAAGCATATGAAACAATGCACAACACCACTAATCATCAGATAAATGCAAATCAAGACCACAATAAGATACCATCTCACACCAATCAGAATGGGTATTATTAAAAAATCAAAAAATAACAGATGTTTGTCTGGTTGTACATAAAAGGGAATGCTTATACACAGCAAGTGGGTATGTAAAATAGTTCAGCCACTGTGGAAAGCAGTTTGGTGATTTCTCAAGGAACTTAAAATAGAACTACTGTTTGACACAGGAATCCCATTACTTGGCATATACTCAAAGAAATGGAAATCATTCTTACCATAAAGGCACATACATGTATATATTTATTGCACCACAATTCACAATACAAAGACACGGAATCAACCTAGATGCCTATCAACAATGAACTAAATGAAGGAAATTTGGTAAATATACATGATGGAATACAATGCAGCTATAAAAAAGAACGAGATCATGTTCTTGCAGCAACATGGATAGAGATGAAGGCCATTATTCCATGTAAGTTACCACAGAAACAGTAAATGAATTACCACATGTTTTCACTTACAAGTGGGAGCTAGACCTTGAGTACACATGGATAGGAAAAAAGGGAACTATAGACACTGGGTCCTACTTGAGGATGAAGCGTGGAGGAGGATGAGGATTGAAAAACTACCTATTGAGTACTATGCTTCTTATTTGGGTGACAAAATAATCTGTATACCAAACCCCCATGACATGATATTTACCCATGTGATAAACCTGCACATGTACCCTCAAACCTAAAATAAAAGTTGGAAAGTTAAAAATACAACAAAACTATAACTTAGCTATACATATTATCTATAGAATACTCTACCTAACATCAGCAGAATAACTTTCTTTTCAAGCACACAGGGAAAATTTTCCTGAATAGAGCATATGTTAGAACCTAAATGTGAAAGGATTGAAATCATACTTAGTATATTCTAATCCAATAAGGAAATGAAATCAAATACAGTTGACTCTTGAACAATGTGGGTGTTATGGGTACTGACCCCCCAGTCAGTGAAAAATTTGTGTATAAGTTTTGATTCCCCAGACCATTCCTACCAATAGCCTTCTGTTGACTGGAAACCTTATCCATAGCATAAACAGCTGATTGACACATAATTTTTGTGTTACATGTATTATAAACTTCTTATGATAAAGTAAGCTAGAAAAAAATGTTACTAAAAAAATCACAAGAAAGAGAAAATATATTTACTATTCATTAAGTGGAAGTGGATTATCATAAAGTCCTTTGTTCTCATTGTCCTCACCTTGAGTAGGCTGATGAAGAGGAGGAAGAGGAGGGATCAGCCTTGTTTTCACATGGGTGGCAGAGGTAGAAGAAACTCTGCATATAAATGAATCCATGAAGTTCAAACCATGTTGTTCAAGGGTCTGTACAAAAGGAAATTTGGAAAATTCAAAAGTATGTGGAAATTTAAAAACACACTTCTAAATAATCAGCTGGCCACAGTGGCTCACACCTCTAGTCCCAGCACTTTGGGAGGCAGAGGTGGGCGGATCACCTGAGGTCAGCAATTTGAGACCAGCCTGACCCACATGGCAGAACCCCGTCTCTACTAAAAATACAAAATTAGCTGGGTGTGGTGGTGGGCACCTGTAATCCCAGCTACTTGGGAGGCTGAGGCAGGAGAATCACTTGAACTCGGGAAACATTTGTCTTTACCATGGCATCAAAAAGAATAAAATACTTAACAGGTTTCACAAAAGAATGCTAAAACATGTTGTCTCAAACTTACAAAAAAGTGTTAAATATGAATTAAATAAATGAAAAGGTATCCCATGGTCATGGATTAGAAGAATTAGTACTATTAAGATGACAGTAGTCTCCAAATTGATCTATATTTTGAATGCAATCTCTAACACAATTCTAACTAGCATTAATGAAAAGAAAATAAACTGATCCTAAAATTTACAAGAAAATGTCACTCTTCTCCTCAAAGTTCAAAGTATAAGCCAAACTGTTTATCTTAGTTTTCTACACATCTATTTCCTTTCTGACTTCATTACCTGTCACTCTTCCTTTTGGTCATTACCTTCTCTGTAAAAACTTCAGGTATAACTCTATCCCAGGACACATACTTCCCAGAACTGTTTTGCCCTCATGAGGTCTGCTTAGCCCTTTCATTCACTTTCTTTTGTGAAATGCCACCTTCTCAATGAGGCCTATTCAAACCACCTTACTTAACAATGGACCTTCCTTGCCCTCCACACACTAGACCCTCTTCATTTTCCTTATTTTGCTTAACTTCTCCTTTTTTTCAAAAATGCTTATAATCATTAAACATGCTATCAGTTTTACTCATTTATTATGTTTATTGCTTGCTTTTAATCTCCATCTGCCAGATGATAAACTCCCTTACGGAAAAAAACTTGCTTGACTTGGTTTGCTTCCCATTACATCCCAAACAATAACTAGAACAATATCTGCCACAAGATAGGTGTTTAATCAGTGTTTGCTGAATGGATATATAAATAGGTCTATGTCCAGCATCAATATTATTGAAGAACATAATAAAATATTCTTGATCTTTTTGGGAATATACAACTAAATGTTGATCCAAACACACTACAGATAAAAAGAAAAGAGTTGGACTGTTTTTTAACATACAAAAAAAATAGCATCTCTAATCCTAGCCAAATATTTCCTAGGATAAAGAAAGTAACAAGCCAAAATAATTAACTGTCCAAAATCTATGCCTCTTTAGGAGTTTTTTCAGTATTAAACAAATCCACATTACTGAGTTTGGTCTTGCACAATTATTTTCTTTAATATTTTTCTTTTTGTTTTTTGTATAGAATATCGGGTTTCTTTGCTATAATTTTACCCTGTGCAGCTTAGATTCCCTTCATCTTAAAAATGTTTTTCATCTTCCTGTTCTTTTATTTTCACATAGAACTTTCTCTGCACACTGCCCGAGCTTCCTTTGCTGATGATAGTTCTGAACTCTGCCCTTTCCTCTGTCCATACTACGTTATTCCAGGCTAGCAGTATGGTTTAGATAATGTCTGTAACCAAACTCTGTCTTAGATTCTTGGGGATATTCCAAAGGAAATGAAACATAAAATTTATAGCTGTTAATATTTTCTTAACTACAAGTGATAATAACTTAACTTGTGCTGGCCATCATACCCAGAAGAGTAAATAATCAGTTGATTTTACTGACTAGTGCTGGGCCTCAGAAGCATTTTTACCAGGGACTCAAATACCATCGGGATCCTCTTTCTCTTTATTTTTACCTTTCTTGGGAGGTTTGCTACATTCACTTTCCCTGCAGTTGTGCTTTAACCACATGGTAGGAAACCTAGTTATTGACAACTCACAAATTTCATATTTTATGGTTTTATCACTGAAAGTGGACTATTCTTATAGTCTCTTTGGCCCAAATACTATATATCTAGAAGAAGGGTTTCATTATCTTAACTGAGGTCTTCTGCTTACCTCTGTGACAAACATGGTGGGGTCATATTTTACAAAAATCGCTGCTTCCATGAAAGCCAACCAGATGGAAACTTGCATTTCGCATCAAAGCAGGTGCTGTTTAGACAAATCAATATATTGTCTACTGGAAACCTATAATCATAGAGTTTGTGTTCATAGACAAAGATCAAATGATTATTGAGAGAAGCGTGCCTTTATAGGAGTGTTTATAATCAATACAACCACATAGAAAGATTGCTAAAAAAGAATGAAGTAGCTGCAGGCTTATGGCATCAATCTGAATAATTTGGAGAAGTTAATATTAAACTGGTAATCATATAAAGCTATGTTTTATAAGGAGAAAGGGACACAGAATCATCTATTCCTTTGATTCTCATAACGGTGTCTGGGCTTTTTGGAATCCTAGAAATGGGGAGAGGATTTTCTTTAGACTATTTTCTTTTTTCCTTTTTGATCATATTTTTATTATATTACATTTCTCTTCCACATTAAAAAAGAAACAATAGCAACAACATTAACAACAAACCTCTATTTGCTGCAAGTACTGATATAGCATAAAGCTATAAGTAAACAAAATGCATAATCTTCCCCTGCCTATTTTCATTTCCTCCCCTTATCATAAAAAGATAGGTATGTGTATAGAGACACAGGAGGGCTGTTTCTTTCCACAAAACAGCATCATATCTTACAGGCTACTTTGAAACTTGATTTTCTTTCTTAGTACTACGCCATGGCTATCCTTCCAAGTCAGTAACTGTAACTCTAAAACATTATTTCAAGTATCAATATACTATTTCATAGCAAAAAAGTACCAACATTTATTTAATTATTCATTTATTGATGTTATTCAGATTCTTTTCAGTTTTTCAACTTTGCAAATAAGGATCCTATAACTTTTCTTTATACTATGGCTTGGAAACTTATACTTGCATTTCAATAAGATGGAGTCCTAAAACTCTTATTTCTGTATCAAAGGTTATATCTGTTTTACATTGTAATGAATATCACCAGATAATTTACAAAGAGTTTGTGGAAATTCACTTCAGCAATATAAGAGAGTGCTCATTTCTCCATGTTCTCAAAGATGTGATATTGTGTTTCTTTTTAAGTGTGGAAATGCAATTTCATTATTACCTTCCTTTGCTCTGATGATTATTGCAGTTGATTATATTCTTATATGTCTATTGCCATTAGACTTTTTTTGTGAATTTCAAATATATATTATTTTAGATCTATTAATTTGTCATTTATTTTGATCAATTTGGATATTATAATAATTCTTTCTCTATTTGTTGCAAATTTTCTCTAGCCTACTGATATGGTTTGGCTGTGTTCCCACCCAAATCTCACCTTGAATTTTAGTTCCCATAATCCCTATGTGTCTAGGGAGAGACCTGGTGGGAAGTGACTGGATCTTGGGGATGGTTACCCCAATGCTGTTCTTGTGATGGTGAGTTCTCATGAGACCTGATGGTTTTAAAAGAGGGTCTTCTCCCTTCGCTACTCACTCTTCTCTCCCCTGCCACCATGTGAGAAGATCCAAGATTGCTTCCTCTTTGCCTTCTGCCATGATTGTAAGTTTTCTGAGACCTACACAGCCATTTAGAACTGTGAGTTAATTAAACCTCCTTTCTTTATAAATTACCCAGTCTTGGGCAGTTCTTTATAGCAGTGTGAAAACCAGCTAACATAGTAAATTGGTACCACAGAGAGTGGGGTACTGCTATAAAGATATCAAAAAATGTGGAAGTGACTTTGGAACTTGGTAACAGGCAGAGGTTGGGACAGTTTGGAGGGCACAGCAGAAGACAGAAAGATGTGGAAATGTTTGCAGCTTCCTAGAGACTTGTTGAATGGTTTTGACCAAAATGCTGATAGAAATGTGAACAATGAAGTCCAGGCCAAGGTGGTCCCAGATGGAGATGAGAAACTTATTAGGAACTGGAGCAAAGGTCATTTTTGTTATGCTTTAGCAAAGAGACAGGTGACATTTCACCCCTGCCCTAGTGATGTGTGAACCTTGAACTTGAGAGAGATGATCTAAAATTGGAACTTATGCTTAAAAGGGAATCAGAACATAAAGGTTTGGAAAATTTGCAGCCTGACAATGTGATAAAAAACAAAAACACATTTTCTGGGGAGAAATTCAAGCTTGCTGCAGAAATTTGCCTAAATAATGAGGAGCTTAATGTTAATTGCCAAGACAATGGGAAAAGTGTCTCCAGGGAATGTCAGAGACCTTCATGGTAACCCCTCTGATCACAGACCCAGAGTCCTAGGAGGAAAAAATGGTTTTGTGAGCCGGCACAGGGTCCTCCTGCTACTCTGTGCAACCTTGGGAGTTGGCACCCTGTGTCCCGGCCTTGGCTAAAAGGGACCATTGTACAGCTCAGGCCATTGCTTCAGAGGGTGCAAGCCCCAAGCCTTCATGGCTTCCATGTGGTGTGTGCCTGTGGGTACACAGAAGTCAATAATTGATGTTTGGGAACCTCCACCTAGATTTCAGAGGATGTATGGAAATGCCTGATGTCCAGAGAGGTTTGCTGCAGGGGTAGAACCCTCATGGAGAACCT
Organism: Homo sapiens; assembly: GCF_000001405.40. Lineage (NCBI taxonomy): Eukaryota > Metazoa > Chordata > Mammalia > Primates > Hominidae > Homo > Homo sapiens. The sequence continues at coordinate 42,503,801 of NC_000011.10, read as the reverse complement.
CTGCTAATGCAGTACAGCAGGGAAATGTGGGGTTGGAGCCCTTACACAGAGTCCCCACTGAGGCACTAATTAGTGGAGCTATGAGAAGAGGGCCACTGTCCTCCAGACCCCAGAATGTCAGATCCACTGACAGCTTGCACTGTGCACCTGGAAAAGCCACAGACACTCAGTGCCAGCCCATGAAAGCAGCTGGGAGGAAGACTGTACCCCGAAAAGCCACAGGGACAGAGCTGCTCAACACTGTGGAAACCTACCTGTTGCATCAGTATGACCTGGATTTAAGACATGGAGTCAGGAGAGATCATTTAGGAGCCTTAAGTTTTAATGACTGCCCTGCTGGATTTCAGGCTTGCAGGGGGCATGTAGCCCCTTTGTTTTGGCCAATTTCTCCCATTTGTAATGGGAGCATTTACCTAATTCCCATACCCCCATTTTATCTTGGAAGGAACTAACTTGCTTTTGATTTTACAGGCTCATAGGCAATCAGAATAAATTACAAATTAATAGACAGACTTTACTTGTCTCAGATGAGATTTTGGACTTGGACTTTTGAGTTAATGCTGGAAAGAGTTAAGACTTTGGGGGATTGTTGGGAAGACATGATTGGTTTTGGAAACTTGACATGTGTCAGATGAGACTTTGGACTTGGTATTTTGGGTTAATGCTGGAATGAATTAAGATTTTGGAGGACTGCTGGGAAGGCATGATTAATTTTGAAATGTGAGGACATGAGATTTGGGAGGAGCCAGAGCAGAATGATATTGTTTGGCTCTGTCCCCACCCAAATCTCCTCTTGAATTATAATCCCTGTAATCCCTACATGTCTAGAGAGAGATCTGGTGGGAGGTGATTGGACCATGGGGGTGGTTTCTCCCATGCTGTTCTCATGATAGTGAGTGAGTTCTCATGAGATCTGATGGTTTTATAAGGGGCTCTTCCCTCTTCATTACTCACTCTTCTCTCTCCTGACACCATGTGAGAATGTCTAAGCTTGTTTCCCCTTCACCATCTGCCATGAATGTAAGTTTCCTATGGCCTCCCCAGCCATTTGGAACTATGAGTCAATTAAACCTCTTTTCTTTATAAATTACCCAGTCTAGGGCAGTTTCTATAGCAGTGTGAAAATGGACTAATACGTCTACTATATGATTTTTTGTTACTTTTGCTATACACACACACACTCATTGTTATTTTGTATATATGTGATTTTCCTTTGTAACTTTTAAGTTTTTGTAGTTTAAAAAAAGTAAGAAAAAGAAAACCCAATTTAGCTTATCAGAAGCTCTCATTTTGAGAGTACATGTACAATTTAGATTAATAAAAAATATAAAACGAAATTATGTAATAAATGAAGTTATCTTAGTAGTTTCCATTTTTCAAAATACAGTCATTCAACAGCAGCTGTCCATGGCCTAAAAATGTTTGGAAATTGCTGCTCTAATACAAATGACTCATTTTATGGTAGAAGCCAAAAAGGCAGAATAGTGAAATTACTTGTATCTATCTCTCCTGTTGAAAATGAGAAGAAGATTTAATGGATCTGTGAAGTAACTTAAAATATTTCCTGGAAAATACATTTAATAAGAAGAGAATGAAATTTACTACCTGTATCTTCCCACTGACTTCTTCCTGGTTATGTGCTTCTTTCCTCTGACTTCTGCTTTATTTTCCAGAAAAGAGCTAGTCCTACGAAGTAGCAGTGGGGAGAGTTTCTCCTTTATAGGTCCTTAGGTATATAATTAGGGGTAAATTTGCCATAACCAGATATGGACCACCTTAAAAGCAAATATGATTTCTAGTAATCTACACTGATTCTTTACTGTTATCATCATGGCAACAGAAGCCCATGATACAACAATGACATTACAGTAAAGAGAAAGACTGCATAAGGAGGACCAGTCAGCTCACTTGAAAGCACATGCAGGATTTTTGGCAACAGGGACACGAGTGTTATAAGGATGGTCCAGAAGAAGGGAGGACCTCTTTTGAACAGTAGATGTGAAGTAGGAGGGACAAGCTGCAAATCCCAGTCCTCAAGGCATATGATGCTTAGCTACAGTTATTCATTAACAGCACAACCTACTAATAAACAGAATATTTTGGAAACTTCTTTGTTTCTGTCCCTTTAGGCAAGGATATCTCTATGAAAAAACTGACAGAGCCCAGTTCCCTTGCCAGAATCCTGAATATTTGAGTCAAGATTCCAAGAACTCCTCATCTACCATTGCAAGTATAGGGACAATGTTGCATATCTCAGTGGAACAGCCTAAGATTTGAAGTCAATAGGAAACTGAGCTTGACATAGGATCTGAACACTCAAATATCAACACAACCTCCAGTCTTGTAAGTATCTGGAGTCTGCTCAACATATCATTTGAAGTATGGGCTACTTGCCTTTAACATATCTTTTCCTTGGCATGACCTACTTGGTGTTCTCATGCAATTGCAATCTTTGGAGGATTTATTTCCGAAAGTGGTCCACGGAGCCCAGCATTTTTCATGTTGAGGGGGCATTTCACTTTAAACTACTTTAAGTAGCTGGTGAATAATGTTGAACTTGTTGTAGTTGTTTGTCAGAATCCAAATTAGTTAAGATGTCAAGACAATTCAATTGTTTATCATTAAGAATTATATGCCTCTCAAGTTTGTCCCTAACTCTTCATAGCCTTCAAGAATCTCTATTTTGGGGCTTCCAGTGTCTCTTACCTAGGTCATTACAATGGCTTCCTCATGTCCTCTTGATTTTCTACCTCATCTCCCTATTATTTTCTCCAAAGTGCAGGCAGATCAATCCTTCTAAAAGGTAAACTTTATCATGCTTCAAGAATCTCCAGGGCTGGGTGTGGTGGCTCATGCCTGTAATCCCAGCACTTTGGGAGCTGAGGTGGGTGGATCACAAGGTCAAGAGATAGAGACCATCCTGGCTAACATGGTGAAACCTCATCTCTACTAAAAATACAAAAATTAGCTGGGTGTCGTGGCAGGCAACTGTACTCCCAGCTATTCGGGAGGCTGAGACAGGGGAATAACTTGGACCAGGGAGGCGGAGCTTGCAGTGAGCGGAGATTGTGCCACTGCACTCCAGCCTGGTGACACAGTGAGACTCCATCTCAAAACAAAAAGAAAAAGAAGAATCTCCAACTTACAACTTTTATACAATCTGGACCCTTTGGAATGGCATTCTGTACTAAATCTCCTGACTTCACTTTTGGATGTTTGACTGCTTAACAGGGTTTAAGGTTCATCTCTATCGTCCCCTCCTCCTTATATCTGGACAAGTTTATAAAAAATGTTTGATGTTTGCTCCTTTGGCAATGACAGATTTAAACCATGTAAGCACCTGTCCATGTGCCAAAATACTCACTGTGGTGGTTCCATATGTATCCATAATAAAAATCTCAAGCCAGTCTCTTTACATCATCTTTCAAGCCATTTTCAGACTATCTTGGGAAGCCCTTCCTGTTATCCCCCAAAAGTCTCATTATGTAATTAATAAACATTTTAATATCCTTTTGGTGAAGATGTGGTATCATCAGTCCTAACATCCAAACCAAATATTGGTTGTGGATCCATCCTATTTATTAGTATAACCATGAAATATACCAGGCTTTTCTGTCTAGTGCTTGCTTACATGTCCGTTTTCACTAACCCAGCATATGTCTGTTGATGACCTACTATATGCTATGTACTTTCTAGGCATTTGATAAATGATGGTGACAACATGAAGGTCCCTGTTCTTAAAGCTTATATTCTAGCACAGTGAAACAAACAATTAGTAAGCAAAGTAATATATAAATTTATATGGTGCTAATTATTTTAAAGAAAGAAAACAGTGTGATGTGGCATAATCTTAGCAGATAGAATTAGACTGGATTGTTTTAGAGGGATCCATTGAGAAGGTGGCATGTGACTTGAGCACTGTCAGCAAGAAGTTCTCACCTATGCAAATGTTTAGGATAAAGTCATTCCAGGCAAGGAGCATAATAAATGTAAAATCCCTGTGTGGGACAGAAGGAACTCGTGTCTTAGAAATAGAATAAAGACCAATAATGCTAAGCATGGAGAATAATTGAGGGAAAAACACTAGGTAAGGACTGGAGGGGTTAGGTAGGTACTAGATCAAAGGACCTGGTAAGCCATGCCAAGGAATTATAAGTTTTAATCTAAGTAGTTCAGTAGATAGCCAATGGAAGGTTTAAACCTTATCTGATTTGCTATTTAATACTCCTAGATGCTGGGGAAAAAATAAATTGCAATGAGTAAGAATGAATGCATAGAGAACAGTAAGTAGGTTTAGGGAAATAATTTCAGATGAGAGATGATGGCAGCATGGATGACAGTAATAGCATTGGGGAAGAGAAGTGGATGAACTTTGAGTATATATTTTGGAAACAAAGTAAAGAAGATTTACTCTTTTATTGACTGAGGGTGACATGAACCCTTTCTTTGGGCAGATGGAACATTTTATAGATCCTGAACACTCCTCTATAATCTACACTGGCTGTTTGATATAAATGTAACCCTCCTCTGCTGCCAGTCCTTCCTGCCTGACCCTATTGTGTTGGGCTCATACAGAATCCTGTACATACTTTTTATCACAGCACTTATCAGGACATATTGTAATTGTTGTTTCTCTAAGTAGGAAGTTAACAGGAAGTTAACGCAGTGATGAACACAGTGCTTGACACAGTGTTGGCATTTAATAAATCTCTGTTGAATAAATAACCAAAAACATGCCTTACGCAACTCTACAATGGAAGGGTATAAATAAGGGCTTTGCACCTTGCAGCAGTCCTAGCGTTTGAGGAGTACTGCCAAAGGTCAGGGACCCATCAGGAGGACTCCTTTTAATTACCCCAGGAACTCTCAAGAAGAATGATCAGAACATTATAAATGGTAATGATCTGGAAAATGGAAAGGGACTTACAAATTGGAAAATGAAAATAGTAACCTCGGATGCAACAAAATTAGCTTAAAAGGCAAGCTAACTGGAGAGAGGGAAACAAGTCATCCCTAGAGAAAATATTAAATTCACCTGAGTACAGGTCAAGTTCTATTACTTAATACATTAATCTTGCAGATTTTTTTTCATTTTCAAAAACTAACTTTTAAGCCCTGACTGGTGCTCTACTTTTTAAGGTGTATTTCATACTATAGAGCCTTATAGGAAAAAACAAATTAAATAGTATGGCAGTGGAAACTTACATAAAACTGGAATTTCTGATTCAGGTCTTGTCTTTCCCTTGCTCTGTTGAGTAAGTGGGTCTCTAATTCTCAATTTCCTATACATTAAAAATAATGATCTAAAAGTAGTACTTTGCATTCTTTCCAACTCTAATATTCTAAAAGTTCTATGACATTCATTGTTATAGGATTTCTTTTATTGGTTTAGTGATAATGTGATAAAGAGGAGGGAGCCATAATTTCTACTTAAAAATAAACAAATTGTTGGTATAAATATAGTAAGTGTAGAGATGTAATCATTGGAATGCTGGTCAGAACATAGGTGTTGAGATGCATGTCAGCTGTGCTTTGCATAAACAAGTTTATTTGAATTTGTGGTTAACACTTTTACAGTTTACAAAGTACTTCCACATTATTTATTATCAAACCCGTTGGCAACTCTACAATATTGTTGGCAATCAGTTCCACTTTAGAAAGGGGTACACTGAAGCTAACAAATGTCATCTCATGAAGTTACAAAACTTGCATGGAGCATAACCCAGGTCTGAACCCAGATCTTCTGGCTCCTTAACTGCAGGAAAACCTCTATAAATAAGATTTTATATGCAATACATTATAAAGTATCTGAACCATCCTATAATGTAGGTCATGATAGTTTCCATTGTTGAATGTGAAAACCAAAACATCTTAGAAGTGAAATAACTTGACCAAGGTCTCAGATGTATGAAGTGACTAAGTTGAGATTCCATGTGCGATTTAATTTCAAAGACCACACTAAAGGACTATTCCCAAGTGCTGTGGGATGTGTGCACCAAACTCTTGTATAAAATTATATAAAACACTGAATAGAATTGGCCTGGTAGAAACAATAGTGTAAAAATAATAAGGTAAATTGTAAACTAACAATTTTTCTTGGAATAATTTGGATGAAGCCATTCTGGGCAGGTATTTGACATGGAATCACATTTATTTATCTCTGCATGTCTACAGAGCAGATATATCTAAATCTAACTTAGCGATACATAAAAGTAATGGCTATGACATAAGAATCTATAATGTTTTATATTTAGAGAATGCATCATTCCTCCTAGGAAAAATCTGTAGATATATATGATTATGAAATATGATGATGATCCTCAGTCTAATGTGTTTTATATCCTTCTGTTTCATTGCTAATGGTCTATCATATTCTTATAAATAGTCCATGAACTATATCCCTTAACTATGTAGGTGTTCATGTTATACCTCATTTTTCTTTTCTGCTATGTATCAAAAAGTACCTTATTAAAATTGATTGCTAGTGATTTGTTAATTCTGTTAATTAAGCTCTGTATGATTCAGGATCATCTTCTCTAGACCACGTGGCTTCTATACAATTTAGTCATGTTATATTTAAGCCTTTTTTTAATTATACTTTAAGTTCTAGGGTACATGTGCACAACGTGCAGGTTTGTTACATACGTATACATGTGCCATGTTGGTGTGCTGCACCCATTAACTTGTCATTTACATTAGGTATATCTCCTAATGCTATCCCTCCCCACTCCCCACAACCCACAACAGGCCCTGGTGTGTGATGTTCCCCACCCTGTGTCCAAGTGTTCTCATTGTTCAATTCCCGCCTATGAGTGAGAACATGCAGCGTTTGGTTTTCTGTCCTTGAGATAGTTTGCTCAGAATGATGTTTTCCAGCTTCATCCATGTCCCTACAAAGGACAGGAACTCATCCATTTTTATGGCTGCATAGTATTCCATGGTGTATATGTGCCACATTTTCTTAATCCAGTCTATCATTGATAGACATTTGGATTGGTTCTAAGTCATTGCAATTGTGAGTAGTGCCACAATAAACATACGTGTGCATGTGTCTTTATAGCAGCATGATTTATAATCCTTTGGGTATATACCCAGTAATGGGATGGCTGGGTCAAATGGTTATTTCTAGTTCTAGATCCCTGAGGAATTGCCACACTGTCTTCCACAATGATTGAACTAGTTTACAGTCCCACCAACAGTGTAAAAGTGTTCCTATTTCTCCACATCCTCTCCAGCACCTGTTGTTTCCTGACTTTTTAATGATCGCCATTCTAATTGGTATGAGATGGTATCTCATTGTGGTTTCAATTTGCATTTCTCTGATGGCCAGTGATGATGAGCATTTTTTCATGTGTCTGTTGGCTGCATAAATGTCTTCTTTTGAGAAGTGTCTGTTCATATCCTTTGCCCACTTTTTGATGGGGTTGCTTGATTTTTGTTTGAAGGTTTATTACTCCAAAATAGTTGTACCATTATTCCTTCTTTTTTTTTTTTTTTTTTTTTTTTGAGATAGAGTTTTGCTCTTGTTGCCCAGGCTGGAGTACAGTGGCATGATCTCAGCTCACTGCCACCTTTGCCTCCTGGGTTCAAGTGATTCTCCTGCCTCAGCCTCCTGAGTAGCTGGGATCACAGGCACGTGCCACCATGCCCAGCTAATTTTTTTGTATTTTTAGTAGAGACGGGGTTTCATCATGTTGGCCAGGATGGTCTCAAACTCCTAACTTCAGGTGATCCACCCACCTCGGCCTCCCAAAGCACAGGGATTACAGGTGTGAGACACTGCGACTGGCCCATTATTCCTTTTTTGGATGGCAATGTGCTTTTAAAGAAAACAGGCAGTTTAGAAACAGATTTCATCTGTTAGTAATGCTTCCTTTTTTGATTGTGGCAGGAAACTCCTTTATCTTTTTATGTTTTAGTTCCTTCTTCAGCTTTTCCAATCATATTGTTTCTTTTTGCTCCTTTATGAGGCCTTTTGTCTTGCCTTTAGGACCTAATGGATTCAGGTTATGAAGCCACTTTTTCTGTATACTTCCTTCATCTCTCTCATCACATCTCGAGATATCCTTGAACAAAAAATAGAGATTACATAGAAGAAAGAAAGAATTCCCTATTTTTGCTTTTGGTTTAGATTTATACATATAAAACTGAGGATATTATTTGAAGAATGTTATTTAAAATAGTGATAATTGAATAATAATGTCATTTATCTTTAATTTTTAAAATGACATCTTTTAAATTATAATTTTAAATATAAATGACATTATTATTTACATTATAATTTAAAGAATGAATAAAATTGTTATTATTTTCACTGCATGTGTCTTTGTGTGTGTGTTTGCCCATATACACACAAATTAGGTATGAAAATGTTTGCTTTACTTTGGTGAAAAGATTCGTAGCTCCTATTATATTCTCAAAGGTCTGTTACCCATATAAAGTTAAAAGTTGTTGCACTTCCTTTTCTCCCACTAATAACATATATGAGGTTTCAAGTAAATGATAGTTGACATAATGAAGGAGAAAAATAGGAAATAGTATTTCCTATGTTTGCTTTTGGATTAGATTTATACATACATTTTATAACTGAAGATATTATTTAAAGAAGAAATTATGTTTAAAATAAGAAATTTTACTTAAAATAATAATTAAATAATATAATGACATTTATTATTAAATGTCATTTAATATTAGATAATATTATAACAAAAATTTCATTTAGTATTAAATAATAATATTAAAAATGTCATTTATTCTTTAAATTATTTATTCTTTAATCTAACCCAAAAGCAAAAACAGGGAATATGATTACTATATTATTACATAATAAATGATATTATATAATATAGAATAAGTATATATTAATATAGAATAAATATATAATATCACATATCATATGTGATATTATTAATATTAATGAATATTAACAAATAAATATTCTTACAATTATTTAAAAACTCATTCTTCAATAATCGACGCCATTTATTTTCAAAAATATTATTTAAATGTAATAAATATTTAAAGAATAAATGTCATTTATTAAGAATAAATAATAATAATTAAATTAGAAATATTATTTAAGGAATAAATGACATTGATGAAGCAATTAGTATATACCCTTTAGACAATGAGTAGGATACTGCTTCCAAACAATGAAGAATTTAATAGAAAATATAGGTCACAGCCAGACGCGGTGGCTCATGCCTGTAATCTCAGCACTTTGGGAGGCTTAGATGGGCAGATCAGCTGAGGTCAGGGGTTCGAGACCAGCCTGATCAACATGGAGAAACCCCGTCTCTACGAAAAATACAAAATTAGCCGGCGTGGTGGTGCATGCCTGTAATCCCAGCTACTTGGTAGGCTGAGGCAGGAGAATCACTTGAACCTGGGAGGCAGAGGTTGCGGTGAGACAAGATTGCGCCATTGCACTCCAGCCTGGGCAACGAGAGTGAAACTCCAGCTTGAAAAAAAAAAAAAAAAAAAAAGGAAATATAGGTCATATATATCACATATATAGAACTTAAGAAACATATTCTGTGGAATTTTAGGAAAATTATAGGCTTTGCTATAATTTTTCTATAATATCCAGTCAAATTATATTTAATCAGAGATATCTGGATTCAAATAATGGATTAAACAAATGACATAACCCTAATCTTGAAAAATTTCCTATTTTAAACTCAGTCTCCTTCCAATCATGTTAATCACAAAGGGTTGCTATGAGGATAAAATGAATTACACATATGAAAATATTAACTAGCATAGACCTCATGAAGGACTTCTGATGTTTTCTTCTTGAATGTTCATCATCAAATTCTTGACTAGCTAAGTGGTTTTCCTTCCAGAGGACTTTCTCTGAATGTGCTGTCTGGGTGGGGACTCCTCCTCATGACTCTCTCTAAGGAAATTGAGGGAAGCTTGGCCTTTCCTCTACATATTCTATCCAGGGAATCAATGAGGGACTAAACTTGACAAAACAGCTTAGTGAACTCAATGGAGGAGACGTTTAGAGTTTAGATTGATTACAGAGGTAGTACTGCTATAGGAAACTCTTTTTATGGCATAATGACAGAATGTCTTGTTCTGAAGAAAATCAATATTATGGAAATTCCCAAAAGATAGAAATTAAGTGTCTTCCAATAGCTTGGATTAATAAGCCTAATTTATGATTTGTACAAACAAAGGACCTCTATAGTACAGAGGGGCTCAGAGGCCTTGGTAAATCACTTACCTTCTATTTTTTCTTAAAAAAGAGGGAATAATAATGCATGTTATATTGATGTCGTTACAAAGTTCAAATGAGAAAACAAGGATGAATGCATTCTGTATAGGCCTACACAGAATGTGACTCAATGCTCATTTCGGTGGTATGGAAATGAGGGTCTAAACATTGAAAGGATTAATGGTGTACATCCTATACACTTGTAGTAGGCTTATTGAACATGACAAACCTAAAAAATAAGGCTATTATCTGAAAATATGAAAAAGAATGGTTGATTTTTGTCTTGGAGTATAAAAATATATGTAAAAAGAGTAAAAGTAGAATAATATATTCCCCAAGACAAGCATGAATAACAGATAAAACTAAAAGAAAAGGTAGCTTTGTGATTTTTATGATACTAAATAATATCATATGATTAGAATGTTTAATTTAAATATTTATTCTTTCTCCCCTGATGAAAAAAAACACATATACCCTTTCCAATGCCTTGGCCCATTTCCTCAAGCCTACCACAGTGCTTTGTTCATCCTGGGAATTCTTTACTAGATGTATTTCTACTAGGCTGAGTTTTCCCTTATAGGTAAATTTGTCTATCAGTGAAACACCACATTCACACCAAACTGGAAACAACAACAAGAAAATGATTACCACCTGATTTTCTTCCCAAGAGTTAGGAAAGACGCTAATAAAGTCTTTTACTTTTCAAGGATAACAAGGGACTGACCACAAACATGCCCTGTGTCTCTAACTACCTGTCCTGAGAAGAATGACAACTAGTTTTATGTAGATGGTGGGGTCTGAAATCTCAACTGTTCGAAATTTGGGGGAAAATTAGAAGGTACTGAGCAGACCTACTTTATGCTTAAGTTTCCTTGTGTGAGAATTGGGGTTAAAATTAAAGTAATTACGGTGATGGTAATAATACCAATGATGGGGATAATAATAATGGTAATGATGGCAATACATACCCACATGGTTGCGGTGACATTTAAATGAACTAATTCTCCTGAAAGGTCATTTTCTTAATTACCTTAATTCATTTCTGATAACCCTGCCCCTAACTAAAAAAGATATAAAAATATAATTCTATTAATTTTAATGGGAAGTTATGATGATTTTGATCCTAATCAAATGAAAACAATTTTTAAAGGTAGGAAAAATATGTTACATAATGAAAACTGTTCATATAAGTAATAAACGTCTATTTGAAAGTATTATATTAATTCAGCTTATATGTAAATTTTAATGAAACAAAGGTTTCTTTACTCACTGAAGGAGTACAGGGAAGACGGATAGGGTGAATGAGGGTGCAAAGAGTTTTCTTTAGAAATGCATTCTATTGACTGGGCGTGGTGGCTCACACCTGTAATTCCAACATTTTGGGAGGCTGAGGCAGGTGGATCACCTGAGGTCAGGAGTTCAAGACCAGCCTGACCAACATGGGGAAACCCCGTCTCTACTAAAAATACAAAATTAGCCATGCATGGTGGCGCATGCCTGTAATCCCAGCTACTCAGTAGGCTGAGGCAGGAGAATTGCTTGAACCCGGGAGGCGGAGTTTGCGGTGAGCAGAGATCGTGCCATTGCAGTCTAGGCAACAAGAGCGAAACTCCATCTCAAACAAAACAAAACAAATGCATTCTATTTAAAAACCATTTTCTTCAACAAGTTTTCAATGTTTGGGGGCTTATGATTATCTTGCCCTCAAGCTAAACTGAATAAATTGATAGCATAGAAAAAGTATTTTATGCTAAAATAAACGCTATAACAGTAACACTCTGAAACACGTGGAAACAGCATACATGCAAGGCAAACTGAAGAGCCTTAGACAATGCTATTTGGTTAACTTCCTTGGTATCTATATGTAAAGCAAAATGATCTAAGTCCATTCAAAATGTAACTCAGTTCAATTTATTCTTCATGACAATCTGTAACCGAAAACTTTAAATTGATGAATTTGTCTTTGCCCAAAACTATCATGTTGAAATATGACCTTCTTTTTTTTTTTTTTGGTCGTTGGGAGGGGCAGAGCCTCACTCTGTCGCCCAGGCTGGAGTGCAGTGGCGCAATCTCGGCTCACTACAACCTCCACCTCCCGGGTTCAAGCAATTCTCCTGCCTCAGCCTCCTGAGTAGCTGGGATTACAGGCACCCACCACCACACCCGGCTAATTTTTGTATTTTAGTAGAGACAGGGTTTCGCCATGTCGGCCAGGCTGGTCTCGAACTCCTGACCTCAGGTGATACACCAGCCTCGACCTCTCAGAGTGCTGGGATTACAGGTGTGAGCCACCACGCCCGGCCTCATCTTCTGTATTATATTTATTTTATGTGTTTTGGGAATAAAAAAAATCATCATATTGAAAACAAGAGAGTCAGTGTCCAAGTAGCAGCATGCCTTTTCAAAATGGAGCTTATTCTGTAACTATTTGTTAAGTATGATGCAATCTGTACTTAACATAGTTCAAGACACGAGAGTAGAAACTTAATTCTAATTGATCTTTCTTCTTCGGCACCTCTTCCCTTCTTTTTCTCCCATATTCCTTCCGTCTCTGGAGACTATATTTAAAACTTAAGCTTTATAGAACACCTCAGAAAAGAGCCTATGATTTTTACCACCTGCAAAATAATGTCTCAAAGCCATTCAAAACGATGTCTCTCCTTCAACTTTGCAAAAATTCAAACTGACTTCAGATCTCCATCTAAACTATGCAATTTTTCTGAGAAAATGAAAATATAGCATAGTCATGTCATGCTGTTTTCCAATCTCCCTGTGAGGTATCGTGATAAATATATACTATTTTTTAAATGAAGCTGCCCAGTGAGACAAAATGAGCTGTCCAGCTTTACAAAATGCTGGATCCCAACCATGTAGCCGCCTGTCCTGTATTACCTTGCTTCCAAAGTATGCTTTTCTCAGAGGGAGTGCATTGGAAGTTCAAACAAACATCTCTTTTTCTATTCCCAGCCTCAAAAAATAAGTTAAGACTTCTACAAGCATCTGTCTGATATGCTTCCTTTAGAAGCTCTCAATTTGTTGCTTGGTTGAAATTCTAGTCATAGCGTATTCACAGACTCATGTAAGCAAGTATCCCCAGCTAAGAGACTCCCACTTTTTGCTAGCCCAATACATTTGAGGGCACACCTATTTCTAATAGTGGCATATTGTTGATATTATAATGGAAATGGTGGACAAGGGATTCCTGAAGGGCCAGGGAATTGTAGTTTGAAACATGTTGCAGCAGCGATCGGCATGTGTTTTGCAAATTCCAACTTTAGGGAACATAGTTGATCAAATGACCCAAGCTGTACAATCTGAAATCTATCAATGTGTTTGAGTCAAGAATATGCTTCCCATGGAATGAGAAATTGGAGTAATGTTTTAAAATTAATAATGTTTAACATTCTACCTCTGATTGCATTAGCAGATAAGACTAGAAAATAGCAACACCACTCTTCTTTGTTATAGGAATGTTACTGAAAATATAGGCCATGATTCATATCCATATGAGACTCTAAGGGAAAAATCTGATTCAGAAAAAAACAGGAAAGCTAATAAGAAAGAACAAGTAAGTAAAGCAAGTGCTTTATCTGAAAATACATATTTATTTTCAATTTATGAATTTTGTAATTAGCCGTGTTTCATTCTTTTTTATTTTTCTTCTTTGAAGTTTGAAACCAAATATACAGCCCTCTTCTTACAAAAATGTTTGTTTCCTCCAGTTTATTATTTTCAGGCTCTACTTCAGGAGACTTTTACTTACCTTTAACAAGTGCTGTGTTGGGCTTCAAACATGGAAATTCCTTTGAACACAGACCTATATAAGTACCATGAACAAACTATAAAATTATCTTACTGGTTTTGAATTTGCTGTGTTCTAAGATAGGGGAGATTTCATCAGTAAAAAATTTCTGAAACCTATACTAATCATAATATGAATTGTGCAGATTATTCCCTGTACCTCTGAGAATATTTCAGTTCAGTAAATGAAGAATCACCCATTCTACAGTCTAGAAATTTGTATTATGATTAGTTTAGCTCACAATGGTGAGACATTTAATGGTTATAAGCCAAACTCAATACATATGTCAAATGAAATGTTTCTCTTTTTGTGTTAGGTAAGAAACCCGAAGTATTTGGATTAAGATTTAAGTCCTAGCAGAAGGATAAAATGGGGCACACTCTTATTATAGAATTGATAAACATTACATTAAGAGACAAAGATATTAAATCTAGAAGAGGTAGCTACCCCACGAAAAATCAAATAAGGAAATCAATAATCACAACTTATTAGTAAATGTGTCATACTACTTAGCAGTTAATATAAATCCTAGAATGACATAAATAGTAATTGTTTTGAGGTTCTCAACACTTTTGCTCTTCCCAGGATGTGGTGTAGGACACTTAAGAAATAAGTGAAATGCCAAAACCAAACAAAATTATGTAAATAAGTGAACATAAACATACATATACTACATATGTAAAACTCTTCACCAGGATTCTCTTTAAAATTATGGAAAAATCAATTAATGATTTTACTCACTTATTTATCATTTTTCCTACTATTAAAATCCACCTTTGATATAATTGTAAATATTAAATAATACCCAACAGCATGTTGACATGCTGAAATTCACCCACTTGAAACTCACAAAAGATAAAGTGAATTAGAACTTAAGATAGAACCATTCTCCCTTCTCTTCTTGATTTCCTCTGACAACTTGGAGCTTCCCAGAAGTACCAAGTAGCAACAGTCATTAACAAAGCTCACTATTAGAAATTTGAGTAAAGGAGTAGGTCAAAGTAATCTTCTCAATAGGTCTTATGTTTTAGATGGTTACCTCCAAGGTCCTTACCCATTGTTGGGGATTCCATTTAAATAAAAGTGGTTAGAAGTAGGACTTTGTGACTTAGATCATCACTTCTCAAATAGTTGACTCATTTTAGGAATGATCACAAGCCACTTGACACCTTCATGCATCTTGATATGGCACCAAAGAGACTAGAGAATATGATAGCCTTCCTAAATGGGACTGGGGAATTGGCTTCCTGAATTAGTTGCCTTGCATATGCTTACCCATTATAGAAGTACCAAAAAACCTATTATGAGTTCAGGAATTAAACATGTATCTTTGCATCTCAACTGAAACCCTTAGAGAATGAAGTGGGTGATATCTTATTCTCATGAAAAGTCTTCTTATTTTTAGACGGTATCTTGTGAAATTTGTGAACATCTTAGTTGTTCCACTTTTAAACATTTTTTTACAGTAGTACCCCTTTGATTTTACTTTCTGTGGTTTCAGTATTGGTGGTCAGCCACATTTCAAAAATAGGTGAGTAGAATATAATAAGATATTTTGATACAGAGAGAAAGAGAGAGACCACATTCACAAAACTTTTATTACAGTATATTACAATTGTTCTATTTTATTATTAGCTATTATTGTTAATATCTTTCTGTGAATAATTTATAAATTAAACTTTAACATAAGTATGTATGTATAGGAAGAAACATAGTATATGTAGGGTT
The DNA here is from genome assembly GCF_000001405.40 of Homo sapiens. Classification (NCBI taxonomy): domain Eukaryota; kingdom Metazoa; phylum Chordata; class Mammalia; order Primates; family Hominidae; genus Homo; species Homo sapiens. The sequence goes on along the minus strand of NC_000011.10, from coordinate 42,488,049 downwards.
CAATACTACCCATGGTTTTAGGCATCTGCTGGGGGTCTTGGAGCACATTCACTGTGGATAAGTGGGGACTATTATAGTTATCTCCTTAGGATCATCTCTTCATCCTTTTACCTGTATTTAAAATGTATTTAAAAATGTAGCTAATGGTTGATTGCCAGGTGACAAGTGAGCTTTATAATTATCTTTGAAATCTTGTCATTTAAAGGACCATTGACTGCCTAAATGACATTCAAACTTGAGTTGCATTTCAAGGAGAACATTGCCTGGTGTATTAGTCTGTTTTCACACTGCTGATAAAGACATACCTGAAACTGGGAACAAAAAGAGGTTTAATTGGACTTACAGTTCCACATGGCTGAGGAGACCTCATAATCATGGCTGGAGGTGAAAGGCACTTCTTACACGGTGGCAGCAAGAGAAAAATGAGGAAGAAGCAAAAGTGGAAACCCCTGATAAACCCATCAGATCACATGACACTGATTCACTATCACGAGAAGTGCACGGGAAAGACCAGCCCCCATGATTCAATTATATCCCCCTGGGTCCCTCCCACAACATGTGGGGATTATGGGAGATACAATTCAAGTTGAGATTTGGGTGGGGACACAGTCAAACCGTATCATCTAGCATAGGACTACTACCATTATCCTCTCTCTTTTTAAAACTCCTGGATGGAAATCTTACTTTAATTCATTCTCCTTTGAAATTTCAAACTGTCCAAAGAATGAATGCATATCTATGGGCCTCCATACAATGGTAGACAGTTGTCATCTGAGTGTCTTATATTCACTATAGTCTTAATCTCAAAAAAAGAGTAAGAGGTAATTTTCGCTCTCAGGAATTCTTCTGTTATTACTGTCATCTTCCCTGAAATATAAATTAATCTCAGGAATTACCATGCAACCTAGAGTGATTTTATTGTTTTAGCTTTATCTGCTGATATTTTTACCCATCTTGGGAGTGCCTCTATGACTATTCTATGTTAACCATTTAAATTCCATTGGAATAGGTAAGTTTTTACTGTGAGGGTGACCTGATTTAGATTTGTCTCCTGTGAAAAATCCTTGCTCATTATGGGAGTGACCATCAGTGCTGTAACTGCCAAAGATCATTACATTTTAATTTCATTAAAGATGAGTTATGAGAAGTTGTACTCAGAGTTTTTCTACCTGACTTCCTAATTTTTTAAAGTAGCAAAGAGGTTTGGAAAATAGAATGATCACAGCCGAACACTGAGTTAGTTCAGGGAAAGGAAGAGAGGTTGAAATATCTGAAAGGCCAAATCAAAGCATGGCGGTGGGTGGGGGGTAGTAAAAACGCAAACTCAATGCAGAAACTAAGCCACAGCTTTTCTTTTATGTAATATTAATGGGATTTTAATCTTAGAAACATTATTTCTTCTCCTACATTAGAATTTTGACCAGGTACATTCCTATACCCTCCCTCCTGCACCTCCTATAGGTTTCAAGAACTTGAATTCAAAGAGAGATGGGGTTGATGTCTGTTTTCCTTCATTTCCACATATTACCTGGATTTCATAAGCAAATTTGATTGTGCAGGCTTCTAGTTTGCATCTTGAACATTTCTTCTCTCATGTCTGCCAAATTAAAGTTTCTGTAGGATACTGCCTTACTTTGGATTTATATTATCATCTTTTACAAAAGAATATCAGAACTATGTGGGGCACTATAAGCATATTTTTTGTCATACCTGAGGAAAAAACTTGAAGATAAACGCAACTGTATTTAAGACTTCAACTTTTTCACTTTTATCAGTTCATGGTACATAAAAAAGGATAAATGGCACTTCAATTATGCTCTCAGATGATACTAAATTGGGAATGTTGCAGCCTACAGGAATAAGAGAGAAATGACACTACAGGGACTAAAGAGGTTTAGCTATGTGGGTGGGCAAAAACAAGGCATAAAAATCACCCCAGAAAAAGTTCCAAGTAATTTTAAACTGTCCTGTGCACACAGGCATATGTATATATGTGGGATTACATGTGCAGCTATTCTGTTACATTATTTCAGTTTGAACACATAATTTCATAGAAGAAAAGCAAGCCGAGATAGACCATCATAATCTAGGGTATCTACTGCTTCCTCTATGCAGTGTTTTGGTCTTGGGAAATGCTTGTATACGTAAGTTCTTTTTTAAGTTTATTTAAAATGAGGGGATTGTGGCCAGGGGTGGTGACTCATGTCTGTAATCCCAGCACTTTGGGAGGCTGAGGCAGGCGAATAACCTGAGGTCAGGAGTTTGAGACCAGCCTGGCCAACATGGTAAAACCCCATCTCTACTAAAAATACAAAAATTAGCCAGGCATGATGGTGGGCACCTGTAATCCCAGCTACTGGGGAGGCAGAGGCAGGAGAATGGCTTCAATCCGGGAGGCGGTGGTTGCAGTAAACGGAGATCATGCCATTACCCTCCAGCCTGGGTGACAGAGCAAGACTTCATCTAAAAAAAAAAAAAAATAGGGGGGATTTATAAGAGCTCTCCAGCCATTAAAATTACATTAATAAATATTTGAGTCATTGTTTTTATGGCAAGTGGAGTATAGAAAATATAGCCATTTGAAAATAAATAGAAAATTGAATTATCTCTGGTGATATTCTTATTATTCAAGGGATTACTCTTTTTGGGGGGGAACAAAACTCGTTTTTTCTTTTTTTTATTATACTTTAAGTTCTGGGATACATGTGCAGAACGTGCAGTTTTGTTACATAGGTATACACGTGCCATGGTGTTTTGCTGCACCCATCAACCCGTCACCTACATTAGGTATTTCTCCTAATGCTATCCCTCCCCTAGCTCCCCACCCCCGACAGGCCCCGCTGTGTGATGTTCCTCTCCCTGTGTCCATGTGTTCTCATTTTTCTTTATAAGTGAGAACATGTGGTGTTTGGTTTTCTATTCCTGTGTTAGTTTCCTGAGAATGATGGTTCCCAGCTTCATCCATGTCTCTGCAAAGGACATGATGCATCCTTTTTTATGGCTGCATAGTATTCCATTGTGTATATGCACCACATTTTCTTTATCCAGTCTATCATTGATGGGCATCTGGGTTGGTTCCACATCTTTGCTATTGTGAACAGTGCTGCAATAAACATACATGTTCATGTGTCTTTATAGTAGAATGATTTATAATCCTTTGGGTATATACCCAGTAATGGGATTGCTGGGTCAAATGTTATTTTTGTTTCTAGATCCTTGTGGAATTGCCACACTGTCTTCCACAATGGTTGAACTAATTTACACTCCCAGCAACAGTGTAAAAGTGTTCCTATTTCTACACATCTTCTCCAGCACTTGTTGTTTCCTGACTTTTTAATGATTGCCGTTCTAACTGGCGTGAGATGTTATCTCATTGTGGTTTTGATTTGCATTTCTATAATGACCAGCGATGATGAGGTTTTTTTTTCATATGTTTGTTGGCCCCATAAATGTCTTCTTTTGAGAAGTGTCTGTTCATATCCTTTGCCCACTTTTTGATGGGTTTTTTTTTTTTTTCCTGTAAATTTGTTTATGATCTTTGTAGATTCTGGATATTAGCCCTTTGTCACATGGATAGATTGCAAAAATGTTCTCCCATTCTGTAGGTTGCCTATTCACTCTGATGACAGTTTCTTTTGCTGTTTAGAAGCTCTTTAGTTTAATTAGATCCCATTTGTCAATTATGGCCTTTGTTGCCATTGCTTTTAGTGTTTTAGTCATAAAGTCTTTGCCCATGCATATGTCCTGAATGGTATTGCCTAGGTTTTCTTCTAGTGTTTTTATGGTTTTAGGTCTTACATTTATGTC